>NC_000006.12:40969090-41272121 GCF_000001405.40 Homo sapiens | reverse complement strand
CCAAGGTTTGTCAATTGTAAAGTAGCCACCCAGCCTCGTGGGGAGATGGTGACCGCGTATGTGGGGCAACATCCTGCAGCAACTACAAGAGGCCCTGGGCCAGCCGGCAGACAGCACATCTGGGTGGCAGATAGAGTGGAGGGGGCAGGGCTCTGAGGGTGGCCCTGGCTGCTGCTGCTGCTGCTCCTGCTGCTGCAGGTAAGGAGAGTGGGTAAGCAGGCTGGGGAAGAGGGGACCAGGGAGAGGGATGTAGACAGCCCAGCAGAAGTGCCCACTAATGGGAGTTTCCTCTTATATCTTTGGGATGGACTGGAATGGGATCAGGTAATGTGGTACAAATGGGAAAGGGAAAGGAGGCAATGCATGCAGACGGTGCTTGTCCAGCCTGACCCAGGAGGGACTGGGCGATGAAACAGAAGCTGGAGGTCCCTCTACTGCATCTTGAAGTTGAGAGAATTAGGTGGATTCAGCAGAGCAATCCCCCAGCACTGTGCTGATATCCTGGGAGATGTAAAGAAAAGCGAGACAGAGTCTCCCCTTAAAAAAGCATTCACTCACTGTGCAGAGGAGGCGTTAGTAGAGCAAAAGGTAAATAACAGCAAAAAGACAGGCAGTAACATGAAAACAAAACTTCTGTGGAAGTCACTCTAGCAGGGCACAGAAGGGAATGTGGAGAAGAAGACAAGAGTTCTGGAATCAGACAGGGCTGGGGCAAATCCTGTCTCAGCCACACTCTATGTATGTGACCTTGAGTAAGGTTTCTAACCTCTATTAGGCTCAGTTTCCTCACTGTAAATGGAACCGACTCACAGGTATCAGAGGGTTGTCTTAAGAATTAAACAGTGGATGTATGGAAAGCCCTTGGCTCAGTATTTAGGGCCTAATAAGTGCTTAATAAATGTTATGATGGGAGATGATGATGATGGAACCAGGTGTAGGGTGATCCGTGATATTTAGGGTGAAGAGGAGGTAGAGACTAGTGCCAGCTACAACTGTTCAGGTTGACTGCCCTCTGGGACCAAATGGGAATATCCATCCCATTTGGGAGAAAACAGAGAAGAATGGGAAGAGCATCTGTCTTGGGGACACCAGGAGCTAATACAAAGAGCTGTGTGAGGCCAAGTGCTATGGCTCGCACCTGTAATCCCAACACTTTGGGAGGCTGAGGTGAGAGGATGGCTTGAGCCCAGGAGTTCGAGACCAGTCTGGGCAACATAGTGAGATCCCTGTTTCTAGAAAGAACAAAAAGTTAGCTGGACATGGTGGCACACGCCTGTAGTCCCAGCTATGTGGTGGGGGCTGAGATGGGAGGATCACTTGAACCCAGAAGGTCAAGACTGCAGTGATTGCACCACTGCACTCCAGCCTGTGTGACAGAGCAAGACTCTGTCTCAAAAAACAAAGACAAAAACAAAAGAACTGTGTACCAGAAAGCAAAAGCCATGCCTGGGCCACCATATGTGGAATAGAAAATGGGTGGTAAATCTGGTGAAGTTCTTTTGTACCTTTTTATGATGAACATTTTCCAGTCTACGAAATGTAGAAAGAGTAGTCACAGTCAACTCATCACGTAGATTCAAACTTCAACCATGATGGATATTTGCCTTATTTGCTCCATATGGGTAGGAATCTTGCTAAGATATATATATATATATATATATATATATATATATATTATATAATATCATATATATGTGCAAACAGACACATATATGATTGCAGAACTATTTAAAAATAATCACAGAAATACTTAATCACTCCTACATGCTTGACAGAGGAGCTAGGAATACTCTTTGTCTGTGGCGCTGTGTCTGTGTTGTGGTCTGAGGTTGGGGATGCAGAGGTGAGAGAAGAAATCATGTTTGCTCAGTGAAGTGCTTGACTTGTCATTCCCAGATTCCAAGCTGTAGGTGACATGGAGGAGCAAATGTGCCTGCTAGAAGGACAGAATCTGACCATGGCCTGTTCTTACAACATCATGAAATATGCCTCCAGCCTGAAGGCCTGGCAGTGGGGTTGGAGCCAGGGTCCCCCAGAGACTCTGGTGCTCATGGAGACTAGAAACAAAGACCTAAACTGGGCCTGGGCTGGGAGGTACCTGCTGGAGGATTATCCCACGGAAGCTATAATCAGGGTCGTGGTGATAGGGCTCTGGAGGCAGGACTTGAGGCGTATTAGTGCATGACCCACCTGTCTCCTCAGGTCCCCTTTGTCCTGCACCATCGGATTTGGCTGGTATTGGTGCAAAGGTGAGCAGCTGCAGGATTCAGGTCATGGAAGGGTCTCCTTAGGCACAGCCAATGAGCTGGACCCCATCTGCCCATTCATGAGGGGCTGTTTGGAGGGCAGCACAGAGCAATGGGAAAAGTTGCAGGCCTGAAACCAGGGGACCTGGGTCTTCCATTCTCTTGCTTTGTGACTTTTTTGAGAAAGTCAATAGCTTCTCTCTGGGCCTCTGTTTTCTCACCTGTAAGACAAGGATGTTGGACTAGGTAATATAAAAAATTATCTTACCCTGTGGCAGAGGGCCGCTAGAGAAACTGGTTAATTGAACATGTGCTATGAGCCAAGCATGTACCTTGTTAATCTCTTTACTCTGAAATAAGTGCTGCTGTCTTCACTGCAGAAGAGAAGACTCAAAGAGATTAAGTTATTCACTATGTCATTCTGCAGATAAGTGGTGCAGCTGGGACTTACAGGAACCCATCTGATTTCATCATACCTGGTGAATCAATGAAATGGGCCCCGTTTGGTCAATGAAAAGCTGTTCCTCTTCTCAGGAATTTCAATAGCAGTAGATGAGGCACAGTTATTAGGGAGGAAAATGAAGGACATTTTGGTGACCTTCGGTTGCTTCTCATTGGTGGAAACACTGCCAATTCCCCCTCCTCCTTTGTTAGCAAGCCTTCCTGCCTACATGGGGAGGTGGAACTGGGATGGTGGAGCTCAGTGCTTTTGCCTCAAGTTTTTCTATAAAACTCTTTTCAAGCTAGTGAATTTGAGAGGCCTCCATTAATTAGCAGAGGACATTGCTCTTCTGCTATTTGAATATATGCTAATCTGAATATGTGAATATCAGGACAGGCTGGGGCTGAAGTCAGACTTCATAGCATCTGCAAATAAACAGTTGACCAAGCAAAGGGACAGAGCCATGGGCAGGATGGTTGGAATCTACTGAACCCATGTAATAGAATAAAATAACTTCCCGGTTCTTGAGAAACATCCAAGGATACCCGGTCACTGACAGGCTGATTACAAATCAATGATGCAATTGGTCAAGCAGGTCCATCACCCACTGCTCCTGACTCAGGAGCATTTTATTAATTTGGTCTTATTGCCTCTTTGTTACATAAATACTAAAACTTCAGTCCTTTGCAAAGGTAAGGGCAGCCATCACAGGGCAATAGAAGATTGTGGATTCTTGGTCCCTCTCTGCCTTGATCATACTTAGTGACCTTGGGGAAGTGCCTCACCCTTTTCTAGGCCTCAGTAAACCCCTGGCAGTGGGGCTTCCCCTCTGTGACATTCAGTGGCTCCAACCTTTTGGGTTTGTTGATCTTTATTGAGTTCAGGGAAATAAAGGCCTATATTTCACATGTAGCAAAGTTGGCCCAATTCAGGCACCAGTGGATGGCTTGGTCCTTCTGGTATGAATCCATCATTGGAGTTCTGCCCAGTTCTTTAATTTAAGTCTTAAAAAAGACAAGAGAAATGGTTGAGAAAGACTGAGCGCATACTGTTAAATGAGAACTGTATCAAGTTTAATAAGGATACGCTTAAACATAATTATCTTCATTGAACCATAAATAACAGGCAGTGCCATTTTGATAGCAGCTTCGTATTCCTTCTCTCCAGGAACTGGAGAAAACTTGAGGCTAATCTAGCCAGAGAAGCAGCATCCCGTACAGATTGTTCTTGTCTAAGGGAATTTCTGATGTTGCAGAGGGACCATAAAGGATGCCAAGTGAAACGTCCTTGCCTATCTCCTGTATGGGCTCCCTGACCCAATCATTTCCCCCGCTTGAATTTGCAGGGAAAAGAGCATGACATTTGGCATCAGAAGGCTGGATGTGGAATCCCATCCTCTCCCACCACTGCACACTGGGCACTTTCGGATAAGTCAGTTCTTCTCCCAGGCTGGAACTCAATCCTTGCATTCATGTTATAAAGGAAAACCTACGCCCTGAAAGATGGCAAGGTCAACTGTAAGCAAACAAAAATGCAAACATGCTGTGTTTTTGTTTTAGCTTTAGCTTTTGTCTTATTTTTTTCACAAAAGATCTTCATGTAACCAAACTGAGTTGACAGACTCCTTATTTCATGGCCCACTTTAAAGGAAACACTTTACCACTCATTTGGTTTCATGTGTTTTCTTAATGTGTATTTTTATGTATAGAGATGGAGTCTTGCTATGTTACCCAGGCTGGTCTTGAACTCCTGGGCTCAAGTGATCCTCCCTCCTTGGCCTCCCAAAGTGCTAAGATTATAGCCATGAACTACCACTCCTAGCTTAATGTGTGTGTTTTTTTTAATCTTTACTACCTTCATCCTGAGCTGCACTGCCTACCCTTCCCTCATAGGCATCTTCTTAATAATCATATTTCATATTTTCCATGTCTATTTGCATGCATGTAGATTCTTGAAAATATATAGAATTGATTTTGTGTGCTTTTGTTTTTTACACATTTCACTCTGTTGTAGAAAAAAATCTGCAATTAAACTGAAACTTCTGCATTATCTATTGCACTCTCTTCTTTATGTTATCTGGTAATCATTTTGTGAGAGAAGTCTAACTTTCACAAAGGCAGGTTATTGATAGACAAGCAAACTCTGCCCTGTCTTCCTTCCCCTGCTGAGAGGGAAAAGCAAACCCCAAACTGATATGCTTCCACGTACAATTCATTTCAATATTCCTTTACTTCATATACATTTGTGCCTTTTGACTTCCATTTTTAAACTGGTATAACATCTTCTCAAATAAATTATGTATTATGAGTTAAATAAAATTTTTAGCATGTGTTTATTTTTGTCTCATGGTTTAAGCTTTTTTTTTGAAAATTATAACTCTAGTTATATGTTTTCAGATAGCATTGTGCTTCTGAGACTATCCGTTGTTGCTATATGTAAATCTAAATCTTCAATTTTTGGCTGCTAGGTAGGATTTCATATAATGTAGGGGCAGTATTGGATTTCATTTTTCTGTTCCCCCTAGTGATGGGAACCTAAGTTGCTTCAACTCTTTACTACCACAAAACAACACAAGCATACAAACAGAAAAACAAGCAAACAAAATACCTCAAAATAAACACTTCCATTCATGCTCTTGAAGGAGCCATATAAGAATTTTTTAAACTACATGTTAAGTTGGCATTAAGCCAAATAGAAAATAGGAACAAAATAGAGGGTTTAGGAACATACCCACACATAGACAGTCACTTGACTGCCACTAAAGGGCCTCTGCAATTTAGTGTGGAAAAGATGTTGTTTCTATCAAAGGGTAATGATCAGTTGGATACCCACCCAGAAAACAAAATAGGTTTTTAACTCTTTCACACTGCACATGAAATTAATTGAAAATGCATCATAGACCTAAATATAAAAGGTGAAAACAATATAGTTTCTGGAAGAAAATGTAGAAAAAATGACCTTGGAGAAGTCAAATATTTTCTAAACAGGACGTAAAAAATAGTATGCATAACAGAGCATAAGTCAGGGATGGAACATTGAGCATGGGATAGCCACATATTTATGCCACAGAGGCTCCAGATTGTTCTCCAGAATGTTGGGTCATGTTGCATTCCCCCCAGCAGGGCTCAAGGATCCCCCTTTCCTCCACTCTCACCAACTCCTAGTGTCATCCACCTTCCATGTGCTCACCATTCAGATGAGTTCAAAGTGACAGTTCCATGTTTTAAAATTAGTATTTCTCTAACTAACACGATCAAACATCTGTTTATGAGTTTCTTGGGCATATAGTTTTTTACTGCAATGTATAACCTATTTCTAACCATTTTCTATTTGGCTTCCTTCCTTCCGCTTGTTGATTTTTAATCAGCCCTTGGTTAGTTTAGATGTTGAAATTATTTGTATAAATTCACAGGATACAAATGCAATTTCATTACATGCACGAATTGCAAAGTGTCCAAGTAAGGGTTTTTAGGGTATCCATCACCTGAATGATGTACATTATACCATTAAGCAATTTATCATCATCCACCCCACCCCCATCCCCTCACTCTTCTGAGTCTCTATTGTCTATTATTCTACTCTCTATGTTCATGTGTACAAATATTTTAGCTTCAGCTTATGAGTGAAAGTATGCACTATTTGTCTTTCTGTGTCTGACTTGTTCCACTTAAGCTAATGGCTTCCAGTTCCATCCATGTTGCTGCAAAAGACATGATTTCATTATTTTTATGGCTGAATAGTATTCCATTGTGTATATATATCATACTTTATTTATCCAGCCATCTGTTGATGGACACTTTGGTTGATTCCATATCTTTGCTATTGTGAAGAGTGCAGATAAACACACAAGTGCAGGTATCCTTTTGATATATTGATTTATTTTTCTTTTGTTAGGTATACAGTTGGGATTGCTGGATCAAATGATAGTTCTATTTTTAATTCTTTGAGAAATTTATTTTTTGTTAGTAGCTGTTCTAACTTACATTCCCACCTGCGGTGTATAAGAGTTCCATTTTATCTGCATCCTTGCCAACATCTGTTCTTTTCTGACTTTTTAACAATGGCCATTCTGATTGGTATAAAATGTCTGTTGATGTCCTTTGCCCACATTTTAATGAGATTATTTGGGTTTAATGGGTTTTTTTGGTTGTTGAATTGCTTGAGTTCCTTGTATATTCTTGATATTAGTCCCTTGTTGGAGGTACAGTTTGCACATATTTTCTCCCATTCTAAAGTGTTGTTCATCTTTTTTTTTTCTGTGCAGAAGCTTTTAAGTCTCATTTGTCTATTTTTGTTTTTGTTGTCTCTGTTTTTGAGGTCTTAGTCATAAATTCTTTGCCTAAACTAATGTCCAGAAGAGTTTTCCCTAGGTTTTCTTCTGTTATTTTTATAATGTTAGGTCTTATGTTTAAGTTTTTAATCCATCTTGAGTTATTTTTGTATATGGTGAAAGATGGGGGACCAGTTTCATTCTTTTGCATAGGGACATTCAATTTTCCCAGCACCATTTATTTAGAAGGGTGTCCTTTCCCCAATGTATGTTCATGTCAACTTTGTCAAAAATGAATTGGCCACAAATAAGTGGCTTTATTTCCAAGTTCTCTATTCTGTTCCACTGATCTACATGTCTATTTTTATACCAGTGCCAAACTGTTTTGGTTACTATTGTTATATTAGTGTTGTAATATAATTGGAAGTCAGGTAACACCATGCCTCCAGCTTTGTTCTTTTTGCTTAGAATTGTTTTGGCTATTTGGGTTCTTTTTGGTTTCCATGTGAATTTTAGGATTATGTTTTTCTAATTCTGTGAAAAATAATATTGATATTTTGATAAGGATTGCATTGAATCTGTAGACTGCTTTGGGCAGTATGGTCATTTTATTTATTTATTTATATATATATATATATATTTATTTATTTATTTATTTAGAGATGGAGTCTCACTCTGTCACCCAGATTGGAGTGCAGTGGCGTGATCTCAGCTCACTGCAACCTCTGCCTCCCAGGTTCAAGCAATTCCCCTGTCTCAGCCTCCCAAGTAGCTGGGATTACAGGCACACGCCACCATGCCTGGCTAATTTTTGTATTTTTAGTAGAGACAGGGTTTCACCATATCGGTCAGGCTGGTCTCAAATTCATGACCTCAGGTGATCCACCCACCTCGGTCTCCAAAAGTACCGGGATTAAAGGCATGAGCCACCACGCCCAGCCTATTTATTTTTATTTTTAATAGTAATCCTATTAACTGAAGTATGGTCATTGTAATGATACTAATTTTTTTGATCCATGAGCATGAAATGTTTTTCCATTTGTTTTTGTTATCTATAATTTCTTTCATCAGTGTTTTGTAGATCTTTCACCTCCTTGGTTAAATCTATTCCTACATATTTAAATTTGTTTGAAACTATTGTATATGGGATTGCCTTCTTTATTTTATTCTCAGCTATATCATTATTGGTGTATAGAAACACTACTGATTTTTGTACATTTATTTTGCATCCTGCAACTTTACTAAACTCATTTATCAAATCTGAGAGTTTTGTGGTGAAGTCTTTAGGCTTTTCCAGATATAAGATCATGTGATCAGCTAAGAGTAGTAATTTGACTCCCTCCTTTCCAATTTGGATGTCTTTTATTTCTTTATCTTACCCAATTGCTCTGGTCAGGACTTCCAGTACTATGTTGAACAGGACTGGTGAAAGTAGGCATCCTTGTCTTGTTCCAGGTCTTAGAGGAAATGCTTTCAACTTTTCCCCATTCAGTCTGTTGGCTGTGAGTTTGTCATATATGGCTCTTGTTATTTTGAGGTATGTTCCTTTGATGCCTAGTTTGTTGAGGGTTTTTAATTGTGAAGGGATGCTGAATTTTTGAATGCTTTTTCTGTGTCTATTGAGATGATAATACATTTTTTGTCCTTAATTCTGTTTATGTGCTATATCACATTTATTGCTTTGCATTGTGGAACCATCCTTGCATTCCTAGTATAAAACACATTTAATCATCGTGTACTTTTTTTTGATGTACTGTTGGTTTTTGTTTGCTAGTGTTTTGTTGAGAAATTTTGTGTCTATGTTTATCAGGAATATTAGTATGTAGACTTCTTTTCTTTGTTGTGTCCTTTTCTGGTTTTGGTATCAGGGATCTATTGGCCTTGTAGAATGAGTTATGAAGAATTCTCTCCTCATTGATTTTTTTGGAAGATGTCTTTTTGAGGAGGATTAGTAGAATTCAGCTATGAATCTATCCGGTCCTGAGCTTTTCTTATTTTTTCTTTTATTCTTTTTTTTTTTTTTTTTTTTTTTTCCTGAGATGGAGTTTCGCTCTTTTTGCCCAGGCTGGAGTGCAATGGCAAGATCTCTGTTAGGTAGAAACCTAACAGGTTTCACTTGTTTCTAAAAGTTTTTAAATTTCTAACTTAATTTCTTCATTGGTCCAGTGATTTTTTTTGGGAGTGTGTTAATTTCCATGTATTTGTATAGTTTCCAAAGTTCTTCTTGGTATTGATTTCTAGTTTTATTCCACTGCAATCCTAGAAGATACTTTATATAATTTCTATTTTAAAAAACTTATTCCACTGTGATGTGGAATAAATTTTGATGATCATAGAAGATATTTCATATGATTTCTATTTTTAAAAATTTGTTGAGACTTATTTTGTAGCCTACTATATGGTCTATCTTGGAGAAGTTTCCAAGGGCTGCTGAAAGAATGTATATTCTGCAATTGTTGGGTAGAATGTTCTCTAGATGTCTGTTGATTTGTTCTAACGTCCAATTATGTCCAATGTTTCTTTGTTGATTTTAGATCATTTTGTAGATAAACTGTTTAATACCGTGAGTGGGGTGTTGAAGGCCTTCATTATTATTGTATTGCTGTCTATCTCTTTAGGTCTAATATTATTTGTTTTATGAATCTAGGTGCTCCAGTGTTGGGTACATATATATTCAGAATTGTTTTATCCTCTTGCTGAATCAATCCTTTTATCAGTATATAATAACCTTATTTGTCTTTTTATGTTGTTTTTCATTTAAAGTCTGTTTTATACTACATAAGTATAGCTACTCCTGATCACTTTTGGTTTCCATTTGCATGGAATATCTTTTTCCACACTTTGCTTTCAGTCTGTATATGTCTTTATAGATAATGTGAGTTTCTTGTAAGCAGCATATAGTCGAATCATGTTTAAAAAAATTAATTCAGCCAATCTATATCATTTAAGTGGAGCATTTAATGCATTTACATTTAAAGTTAATATTGATATGTGGGGTTTTGTTTCTCTCATATTGCTAATTATTTTCTAGTTGTTCTATCAAGTCTTTGTTTTTTTCTTTTTCTCTCATTGTTTGTCTTTGTGGTTTGGTGAAATTTTGCAGTAGTGTCATTTGATTCTTTTCTCTACCTTCTTTGTGTAATTGCTTTACTAGTGAGTTTTATACTTTCATGTGTTTTCATGATGGTTAATATCAGCTTTTCACTTCCAAGTTTAGGACTCCTTTGAGTATTTCATGTAGGACTGCTCTGGTGGTGATGAAGTCCCTCAGCATTTGCTTGGATGGGAAAGACTTTATTTCTCCTTCATTTACAAAGCTTAATCTAGCTGTATGTAGAATTCTTGGCTACCAGTTTTTTAAAAATTTCTATCAGCACTTTGAGTATGTCATCCCATTTTCTTCTGGCCAGGAAGGTTTCTGCTGAGAAGTCCACTGTTAGACTGATGGGGGTTCTTCTATAAATGGTTAGACATCTTTTCTCTTACTGATTTTAGATTTTTTTCTTTCACTTTGACTTTAGACAGTTTGCTTTTAATATGCTGTGGCAAACTTTTTACATTGTATTTGCCTGGGGATTGTTGAGCCTCCTCTAAATAGATGTCTAAATCTTTTGCTAGACTTGAAAAGTTTTCATCTATTATTTCATTAGATAGTTTTATTAAGCTTTTGGATCTCTCTTCATCCCTGGGAATACTGATAATTTGTAAGTTTTGTCACCTTATGTAGTCCCAAATGTCTCAAAGGCTTTATTCATTTTGTTTCTTTATTTGTGTCTGACTGGATTATTTCAAAATACCTGCCTTCAAGTTCAGAAATTCTTTCTTCTGCCTGGCATAGTCTATTATTGAAGATTTTGAATGTATTTTGTATTCCTTTCAATGAATTTTTTAGTTTTAGAGTTTCTGGTTTTTTTTAAGGTAGATATTTATGCTTTGGTAAATTTCTCATTCATATCCTGAATTAATTTTCTGAGTGCTTTGCATTTATTTTGATTTCTTTTGCATCTCTTGCATCTTGAGTTTCCTTAAAATCAATATTTTGTTTCGTGTTTTAAATTTAAATTAAATTTCAGTAGTTTTGGGGGAACAGGTGATTTTTGGTTACATGGATACGTTCTTTAGTGGTAATTTCTGAGATTTTGGTGCACCTGTCATCTGAGCAGTGTATACTGTATCCAATGTATAGTCTTTTATCCTTCACACCCTTTCATCCTTCCCCCTGAGCCCCCAAAGTCCATTATATCATCCTTATGTCTTTGTGTCCTCATAGCTTAGCTCCAACTTATAAGTGAGAATATACAACATTTGGTTTTCCATTCCTGAGTTACTTCAGTTAGAATAATGGTCTCCGAATTCATCCAGGTGAGTCTGCAAATGACCTTATTTCATTCCTTTTTATGGCTGAATAGTATTCCATTGTGTATATATACCACATTTTCTTTATCCATTTGTTGGTTGATGGGCAATTAGGCTGGTTCCATATTTTTGCAATTGTGAATTGTGCTGCTATAAACCTGCAGTGTATGTAACATTGGTGTATTTTGAGGTTTTGTTTCAAGACTTAGAACTCCTTTTGGCAGTTCTTGTAGTGCTGCTTAATAGTGGCAAATTCTCTCAGCATTTGTTTGTCTGAAAAAGGCTTTATCTCTCCTTCATTTATGAAGCTAGTTTTGCTGAATACAAAATTTTTCACTGATAATTATTTTGTTTCAGGATGCTAAAGATCAAACCCCAACCTCTTCTGGCTTGTAAGGTTTCTGCTGAGAAATCTGCTATTAATCTGATGGGTTTTCCTTTATAGGTTACCTGATGCTTTTGTCTTACAGCTCTTAAGATTCTTCCTTCATCTTGACTTTAGATAATCCGATGACTATGTGCCTAGGTGATGATCTTTTGGAGATGAATTTCCCAGGTGTCTTTTGAGCTTCTTGTATTTGGATGTCTAGATCTCTAGCAAGGCCAGGGAAATTTTCCTCAATTAATGCCTCAAGTAAGTTTTCCCAACTTTTAGATTTCTCTTTTTCCTCAGGAACAGAAATTATTCTTAGGTTTGGCTATTTAACTTAATCCCAAATTTATTGGAGGATTTGTTCTTTTTTTAAAAATTCATTTTTCTATGTCTTTATCTGCATTAATTCAAAAGCCTTGTCTTCAAGCTCTGAAGTTCTTTCTTCTACTTGTTCTAGTCTATTGTTGAAATTTTCCATTGCATTTTGTATTTCTCTAAGTGTGTATGTCATTTCCAGAAGTTGTGATTGTTTTTACTTTATGATAACTATTTCTCTGGAGAATTTTTCATCCATATTCTGTATTTTAAAAAAAGATTATTTAAGTTGTTTTTCACCTTTCCGTGTTATCTCCCTTAGGAGCTTAATAATCAACCTTCTGAACTCTTTATCTGGCAATTCAGAGATTTCTTCTTGATTTGGATCCATTGCTGGGTAGCTGGTGTGATCTTTTGGGGATGTTATAGAACCCTGTTTTATCATATTACTAGAATTGTTTTTCTGGTTCCTTCTCATTTGGGTAGACTATTTCAATGGAAAGATCTGGAACTCAAGGCCTGCTGTTCAGCTGTTCAGATTCTCTTGTTTCAAAGGGTGATCCCTTGGTGTGGCACTCTCTCCCTTCCCCTAAGGATGAGACTTCCTTAGAACCAGACTGCAGTGATTGTTATTGCTCTTCTGGTTGTGGCCATCCAGTGGGACTACCAGGCTCTGGGTTGGTGCTGGAGAATGTCTGCAAAGAGTCCTGTGATGTGACCCATCTTCAGGTCTCCCAACAGCTGCTCTGGTGAAAGGGGAGTGAAGTACACTCTGTGAGAGTCTTTGGTTGTAGATATGTTTAGTGTGCTGGCTTTGTCAAATGCTGGTTATGCTGGCAGTGAAGTTATCATGTGGTGTATTAGTGCATTTTCATACTGCTGATAAAGATATACCTGAGACTGGGAAGAAAAAGAGGTTTAATGGATTCGCAGTTCCATGTGGCTGAGGAGGGGTCACAATCATGGTGGAAGGAAAGGAGGAGCAAGTCATGTCTTACATGGGTGGTGGCAGGCAAAGAGAGAGAACTTGCGCAGGGAAACTCCCCCTTATAAAACCATCAGATCTCATGAGAGTTATTCACTATCATGAGAACAGCACGGGAAAGACCTGCCACCATAATTCAATTACCTGCCACTGAGTCCCTCCCATGAGACATGGGAATTATGAGAGCTACAATTCAAGATGAGATTTGGGTGGGGACACAGCAAAACCATATCACGTGGACACACTCAGGACCTTTGGCCAGCCAGGATATTGCAAGCAGTGGAATTGCTGTTGTCTTCTCTTTCTTGGGATCAGGATTGTTCTGTCATGAGTTGCTGTGATGGCTTGTGTTGGTTGGCCTCCAAACAAGAGGTTGGGTTTTCAAGAGAGCACCATCTGTGGTAATAGTAGGGGGATCCAAGTATGTCCTGAGTTGGACAAGATAAGTATTTTAGTTTCTCAGGTGTTGGGTGGGGCCATAAAGCTCCCAAGAGTTTCTTTTTAGTCAGCTACCAGAGAACATAGAGAAATACCATCAGGTGGGTGGCAGAGTTAAGTGGGTCTGGGTTCAGACTCTCCTTGGGCAGAGCTTGCCATAGCCACTGTGAAGGATGGTGGGGTGATTCTCAGGCCAATGGTATTATGTTCCAGAGGGGATTTTGACTGCTTCTGCTGTGTCTTATAGTTCATCAGGGAAGTGGGGGATAGCTGGTAGCGAGAGGCCTCATCCAGCTCTCATGCAGTTGGCAAGGCCAGTCTTGCCCCCTCAGTGCTCCATTCAGAACTTGCCCCAAGCCATGAGCTTCCCCACTGAGAAAGCAAGCATGGCTTTCAGGCTTCAACCCTCCCCATCTGCCCACACTGTTGGCAGCAGCTCCTGTGCTCATATCTGCAGCAGTTCCCATTCATCCCCTGGATTCTGCTCAAGAAAATTTGTGCCCAGTTGAAATTACTACTAATTTCAGTTGGGAGCTTCTTTCACCCTGTGACCCCTCCCTAATTCTGCTGGATGCCTTCCCTGAGGGCCTGTGTGAGATATAGTCAGGGGTGGCTTCCCTGGGCTTGAGCTGGAGACTGGGAGTGTCTGCAGGGAAGGCACTTCCCACTGCTTCTTCTAGTTTTATGTGTCATGCAACTTCCTAAATCCATTTTAGCTCCAGGTAAGGTTAAATCCTTCTCTCATGATATGGATTTTCAGATTCCCTGGTGAAATGTGTGTTTGGAGGCAGGTTTTCCCCCCCTCACACTTTGTGAACTCACAGTTTTTTTTGCCTGTCTCATGGAATTTGCAGTGGCATGCTGCTTCTTTCAAAGAATCTGTGGATTCTTTTGGTTTTCCTGATATGTTTCTGCAGTGGTTCTTGGAGCAAAAGATCATGGTGTGAGTCTCCACACACTGTTCTGTCTGTCCAAGTGGGAGCTGCACATTCGCCCTGTCTCCTATCCTTCATCTTGTCTCTGAATCAAAATCAATATTTTGAATTCTTTATCTGAGATTTGAAGGATTTCTTTTTGGTTAGGATTTATTGCTGAAGAATTATTGTGTTCCTTTCAGGGTGTCATATTACCTTGCTTTTTAATGTTTCCTGTTTCTGTTCCTGGAACCAGGCCAGGTCCAGCTGCTTTTTCTCAAGGCCCAATAATGAGAAGCAGGCAAACTAGGAAAGAAGGGAATTTATTGCTGTAACTGGATACAGGGAGAAGGCCAGAGATAATTCCACCAGACCAACTAAACATTTTACAATTTTCTTAGTGCTTACGTAGGTTGGGTTATGTGCCTATGTGCAGTATAGCATTCACCTGTCTATTGGTAACTAATTTTGTTTCAACTAGAAGGTCGGAGGCAAAAAAAAAAAAAAAAAAAAGGCTTGTTAAGTCCGATTAAGCTTTGAGAGCCCCAGTACCTTCAAGGCCTGTCTACTGCGGTACCGGAGTGATTATTTCTATCTTATCTCCTTTATAGTTTGGTCCAGAGATTTTCTTTAGACTCTGCAATGAATCTATTCAAACAGCTGCCCCTGTTACCTCGGGTCATCTCAGATTTTGTCAACCCAAGTTGGGCCCTGGCACTAGGAATGTAAGACTGCCTCTACTATTTGGCTTGCTCCAGGTTAAGGAGAAGCCCAGGTAAGGTCCTACTGACCATATGTTTCATTCCTAGCTTTGATGTCTGGGCACTGATTTCCTTAGGTTTAACTATTTGCTCAATGTTAAGGCAGTGCTGTGGAAATCTGTCTGTGTAACTGGAGTGCTATGCAGGTCTGTCTATGTGATTGTCAGGGAGAATTGGCCTGCCACATTTCTTTACATTAATTTCTGCACATCTGGTGTAATAGTCATTTCTTCTGTGTTTGAATTTACTCTCATGAGGGGAGGGGGAGGCTTTTTTCTTGAAGATGTGACTATAATCTTGTTTTGGTAGTACCCTTAAGCTTTGCTTCTGGATGTGTGCAGTGGTGAAGACTCTGTATGAGTTATTTGGCTATAAATAGTGTTGGTAGTATCTGTGGTTTCCTTGGTGTGTTTGGATGTAGTTATTGGTGGAGACTATGGTGAAGTTGTGCTGGGGACTGAAATGCCAGATGGGCCTTTAGGTTTCAGTAGTAGCAGTGGTGGGCTAAGCATGTCTATTCTTGTGACCTAGGGCAGCGTACACTGGCACTTGTATTGATGGGCCTAGGCAGGCTGATTCTTGGGCATCTGGGGTGGCTTTTTCTAAGGTCAGTTGCAGTAGTGGTGTACTTGGCAGGTGAGTGGGCTCTCAACTCCTGGACAGCCAAAGTGGCATGGGTGATGGCAATAGCAGTAGTGGCGAGTTCTTCTTCTTGGTCCTGAGTGCTGTGTTTTTGTGTTGGCAGTGGTTGCAATGGGCTGTGTGGACCGGCCTTCAGGTCAGTAGGTGGAGCTTGAAGGTAGAAGCCAGCTGAGGTGGGAGTGGTAGGGTGTTTTTGCCTGACTTCTGTCCTGCATAGGGGGAAGTGTGTGGGTGTCCCAGGTGGTGGATTGGGTTGTGAAACCCCTCGGAGCTTAGATTCTGCACTCTGTCTCGGGGTGGGAGGTAGGATGAAGCTGGGCACAACTTGGCCAGGAAAGCTGATACTCAGACCCTCCAATGGCGAGTGCATGCACCAGCTGCTACAGGGGGATGGAGCAGTACTCAGGCCCCTGGCAAAATGCTTCAGTGAGGGGCAAGCATTGTTGCACTGAGGTCCTGCTACAGGGAGTGTGGGGGTGGTCCCAGTAGCCACAGATTTGGCAACTGGTTGAGGATTTGCATTCCTCTTATGCCCCCGTCGTGGTGGGGCTCCCTCCCATATCCTGGCTGTCATAGTAAACCCAGTGTTCAGTCAGGCCAGGCAGTTTGCACCTGGCCTGTAACTTAGCCCTGGGCTATAGGAACCCCTGCCCAGCTCAACCAAGTCACTGAGGCAAATCTCATCCTGCTCAGGTTTTGGGGAGGAGGTGTACCCTGTTCCAGCATTGAAGCTGAAGTCCACACTATGCTTACTTCTTAGTCCTGGTTGTGGGAACCTATTCCTCACTGAAGCCCTGGTTCTGCAAGTTGCAGCCTGAGTTTCCTTAATGCCTAAGACTGCCATCACTGGTTCCTAGGACCACACACAATTTTTTAAGAGCAAGGATCAAGAATGGCAGTTTCTTAGGTCTCAGGAAGGGTGTGAAACCCAGGGCATGCTACCTCCATGGGGAAGTTTCTTCTCACAGTCTCCCAGCTGCTCTGTAAGTTAGATTCAGGGATTGGAGAGTCAAGTTGCACTCCCATGTCCTGGATTGTATGATTCCCCAGTGGGAAAGTGGATCACAGAAAGACTCTCACTCACTCTCTCCCATTTGGGAGGGTCTGTTCTGGTTCCCAGCTGGTCCCAACTACACAAGCTTCCTGTTTTCTTTCTATTTCCTTGATTTTGGACTTTTCTTTTGCTTTTCTGTTGAACTCTCAAGTTCCCTCTTGGATAATGTATTCAAAGTGTGATTGTCTACACACTATTTGGTTCTTCTAAGTGGATGAGGTGTGATTAAAATGCTTCCAGGCAGCCATCTTGGAAAAAAAACTAGATATTATTCTATGTTAGAAATTGCAAATATCTTGTCTCAGTCTGTCATTTGTCACTTGTTAAGCTCATGTGAGACAAGGCTGCGCCAAAGCCAAGTCCTGACTGATTTGACTGCTAATAATGCAATTAGCCGCTTTTTTTTTTTTTCAAGGAGTCTTGCTCTGTGGCCAGGCTGGAGTGCAGTGGCACAATGTCAGCAATGAGCCACTTTTACTTTCAGTCAATTTATTATTTACACAGACAACAAGGGAAAGATTAGGCAAAGGTGCCAGCTCCTCATGGCTCTTGTCCCACACCCCAAAACAAAAGGGGCCAGACAACTGCAATATGAGTTGTGGGACATTCCACTGCTGAGGAATCTACTCTAGAGGCAGATAAGTGGTTTCATAACCTGCAGCCCTATTCTGAGGTCTGGGACAGAGCCTCTGGCCTCATCAGAACTCAGGAGGGCATGAGGAACTGTCTTTCAGGGGAGACAGAGAAGTTACTGGGCCATGGTTCTCACAAGCCTCCATCCTTTTATGTTCTAGGAGGGTTGCAGGCATTCTGCCATGCTTCAAATTAGCTGTAGTTCATGTGTCTGCCAGTGTGACCTATGTGGCATATGCAAGGTTGTCAAGACAATATCATGGAGCTGTTCCCCTATGTTGCTTTTGTCCACAGTATATTTTGTTAGAAAAATAATTTTTTTATTGGGAATAGAAACCATCCATACCCACATTCAGTCTTGACACTGAGAACTGAAATCACACCTTGCTGTCTACATTAACATGACTTTGCTATTCCTCTGTCTTTGTGAATACTACTTTACCAGGAGTTTTCTTGTCTGGGAAAATGGTTTGCTTGTTCATTATAGGAAATTCCTGAAAGATTCATCAACTCTTTCATGGAAAGCCCTAAGAGGTAGTTGGCAACATAAGATTCTTTGAATCCCCCACTTCAAAATCCTCATCCTATTGTTTCTACCAATCCAGGACTGTTTGATCGTGATCCTTACTTAATCATAGCCCAGCCCCTGCTTTGAAAGACCTACCTTAAATCAAACTTCTCAATAAGTCCTAATCTTGCCTTAAAACACTCCCAAAATTTTGTCAAGGTGGCTATTTACATTTAAATTAACAAAAATTAAATGATAAATAGAAATTCAGTCCTTCACTCTCATTTGTCTCAGGTCAGATGCTCAATTACCACGCATGGCTAGTGGCTACCCATGTTGGACAGGGAGAGAGAACATTCCACCATTGTAGGAAATGCTGTTTTATAGACTTTTGCCTCAACATAGTCAACTAAAAAGCATTCAGCTCCTTGTTATAAATTTAGCTTCTTATTAATACAGATTAAACATTTTATAGTACAATGTGCTTTTATACTTAAGTAGCTTGGATCATTGTTTCCATTTAATTAAAGCAGATTTTCCTCTTAAAGGGAAAAAAATCGCATAAATTTTTTTTTTATTTCAAAAGAAAGAGTTTTATTCTTTCTCATTCCTCAGCCTGTTTGTCCTTTCCTCTCTGAGTTTCTTTCTGAAGTATTTATAAAAAAATACTGAGATGGGCTTCATTTCCAGAAATTCTGATTCTATTGGTCTGTGTATGAGAACACACACATCAGTATTTTTTTTTTAAAACTAACCAAACAAGGCAAAAACCAATATTGCATTTAGCCCTAACATGTGGCTCCTGCTGAGAGCTGTTGGGTGAACAATGTCTTCCAGCTCTGGGTTTCTAGCATGCCTACTGAATTGACAAGGAAGCTAAAGCCAGAGAGGGTTCCTGACTCACCCAAAGTCACAGTCAGTTAGTCAGGTAGATACTAGATCCAGGGTCCCTCATTCAGAGTGCGTTCCCACTACTCATCAGGCCCCTGGGGTTGGATGAGCTCCATTGGAATTTGGGGAGGATGCCATTTCCCTCTCCTTAATACTCAGGTTGCAAGAAAACAAGGAAGGTGAACTAGGGAGAATGACAGCCTGGCTGAGAGCCTCCCCTATTCTCCATCACCACCTCCTTCTTCCCCTGGACATTTCTACCCAGACTAATGTGACTCAAGTCTGCTCCTGCCCCACCTTCCCCTTTCCCTCACTCCCACATCCTCTCAGCACACGAACTGGGGAACAAAGAGCTTGATGTCCAAACCCGGGGCTCAGAGGCTGGGAAATCATAGTTGATGACATTTGTCACATTTTTATTGTTGACTGTGGGCCAGGAGTGGAGACATCAGCAGTTGACTTGGGTGAAGGCTGGGTCATGGTTCTTGGGCTGGCATACAGTGGGCTCAGGGCCTTAGTGGTGGTAGGAAGAACTGTGGGAATCTGAGGCATGTTCTGGGTAGGATTAACATTGGAGGCAGGGGTACCTAAGAGACCTGTGAAAAGAACATTGGATGAATGGATGGATGGATAAGTGGGTGATTTAACGGATAAACTATTTGGAAGTGAGTGGATGGGTAGGTGGATAAATAGATGGATGAGTGGAGGAATGGACAGGATGTAGGAAGAATAAGTAGATGAAAAGATGGATGAGTGGGTGAATGGGTAGGTGTTAGGGTAAATGGAGCTAAGGAAGGAAATGGACATGGCCAAGAAGCAGGGTTTTCTTTTGCTATAACCTAAGAATACTGTGTGATCAGCCTAGGTTAGAGTCAGGAAGAAGGAAAGGAGGAAAGGAGGGAGGGAGGAAAGGCAGAAAGAAGGAAGAAAAAAGAAATATTCAGGCTATTCACTTTATTGGAACTGCACTTGCCTGCTATTCTTCACCAATCCATATGTCCCCAACTTCAAGAATAAATCCTTGATTATTTTACTTTATATCATTCATTCTACCTTGCATTCACCTATGCCTGTGGCATATTGCCTTATAAGTTATCTTTTATTAATGTATTCCATATGCACCTTGTTTTCCTCAAGCTTAGAATTCCCCTGGTGCTAGGAATTTAAACCTTCTCCCTCCTTTCTGTCTTTCATTATTCTTCCGTCCACCATATTTCTCTAATGCCACCTACCACCTTACGTCATAACCCTTCATCACATGCTGTTTCTCTGGCCCAACTGTGGGCTCCTCCAGCTCCGGATGGGATCTCAAGGCTTTTGAGTCCCCATCCAGGGCCTAGCTTAGCCCTGTGCCCTCCAGGGAATGGGCAGTGAGCCAAAGCTTGGGCAGTGAAGAAAGAGAAGCTTATTGGGGTCCTCCAGATGCCCATTTGACCAAGTGGCTGGGCACACTCAGCAGCAGGGAAAAAGCACCACTGTTTCTAACCATCACAGAAAAAGGCAGGAGAGCTTGGCAACTCTAATTTCAGGGGGAATGCCCAGGGGCCTTAGGATTAGTGGTGACCCCTAGCTTCTCATTTTGAAGCTTAATGACTCTCAACTGATAAGGGCAGGTCCAGGGAGAGGATCCAGGTCCCCTGAGCCCCTGGCTACTACACCTCCCAGCCTCACCCCCTAAGTCTCATGTCAGCCTCATTGTTTGGCTATCTCCTATGTCACATTTATCCCCCCACCCCATTACTCAGTGATCTTTCTTGACTACAGCCCTTTGAGAAGATGCTGGCAGTTAGAGTCAAGGGTAGGGATGTCTGGAATGGACCATTAAGCCCTTTGTGCTCAAGCATGGGGAAACTTTAAACTCATTCCAAATAAATGGAGGAGTCCTGTTAGTAGCAGCAAAAATGTTAAGGGCGATACGTACGATGTGGAAGGAAGAACCAAAAGCCAGCAGGCCTGCATTCTGGGGCTGGCTCTGCCCTTCAGCAGCAGGTGACCTTAGGCCAGGGGCTTTTCTTCTCCATGTCCCCAGTTTTCAGTGATGAGAAGGTGGAAGGAGAAGATTTCTAGGATCCTCTCCAGCTCTAACACCTTGTGATTCAGGAAGTCTGAGACCCACAAATACGAAGGGACAGAACTCACCTTGAGATACCACCAGGCAGATGATTCTGACAATAGAGATCTCAGGGGATTTAGAGATTCCACACCCATGGAATCCCAAGGCCTCTACTCTGAGCTCAGTCATGGTGACGGTGAAGACGCCATAGAAGCGATCATCTTGGATGAAGTATCGAGGGTCCCAGGCCGCTGTCCTGGGACTGTCCCCTACTATGGCACATGTATTGGCTGATATTTTCCCGCACCAGCTTTCCACCTGTAAATGTTGGGAGGGCTAGTACTGGTGTTTTACAGAGGTTGCCTCGCCCTCCAGGCTGGGAAGCAACTCTGTCCACTGTGCTCACAATGGCCTCCATGCCCATGCTCATACCCTCCCTAGACCATCCTCGACAAGTGGCCACTACATACTTAAAAATAAGCTGTGACACACCTCTCTTAGCTCTCCAGTAGCTTCCTCTTGTACTTAGAATCACCCAAACTTCATCTCATAGGCTTCAGGGCTGCTTGACTCCCAGCCTCATCAATCACTGTCCTGCACTCAATATGGAGTTACTAAATAAGCATTTTTTTCTTTGCTTTTTATTTTTTTTTGAGACAGGGTCTCACTCTGCTGCCCAGGTTGGAGTGCAATGGTGCAATCTTGGCTCACTGCAACCTCTGCCTCCCAGGTTCAAGCAATTCTCCTGCATCAGCCTCCCAAGTATCTGGGATTACAAGTACATGCCACCACACTCAGCTAATTTTTGTATTTTTAGTAGAGACAGGGTTTCAACCATGTTGGCCAGGCTGGTCTCAAACTTCGGACCTCAGGTGATCCACCTGCCTCAGCCTCCCAAAATGCTGGGATTACAGGCGTGAGCCATTGCACCTAGCCAAATAAGTCTTTCTTGTACAAGCCAAGCACCTTCTGACCTCAGGACCTTTGCACATGCAGCCCTTGCCACAAAGTGCCCTTCAAAGCACCCAGATTTCAACAGAGCTGGAGAATGCTCACCATTCAGGGGTCTGCTTGGTGTCATCTGCTCAGGGAGGTGTTTTCTGATCCTCAGTATTTCCACAGCTCCCGCATTACTGAGTTAACTTTCCTGTTTACAAGTGTTGTTTTTTCTTACAAAAATTTGTTATTTGCAATTATTATAGAGCAAGATTGTGTCTGTTTTTGCTCACTACTGTCTCCTTAGAGCCTAGAATAGTGCCTGCCACATAATACGGGCTCAGTGAATTATGTTGAAGCAATGAGTGAATAAAACACAGCACAGACAGTGCCAAGTTTGAACTTTATCTCAGCCACCTGCTAGCTCTGGGACCCCGGACAAGCTCAGAGTCACACTGGGTTTTCAGGTCTCATTATCTTCATCTGTAAAATGGTGACAATAGTGCCACGAATAGTGCCATAAAGGCACTTTGAAAACACTACAGTGCAACATGACCATTGATGGATTATTATCCTTATTATCTCTGATGTTAGTGGAGTGTGGGGCAGGGAGGACTCCCTCCACCCGTCCCAGTGCCCCTGCAGCCCGCTCACCTGGAGACACATCCAGCTGGAAGCCCATCAAGGGGTACAGGATCCCAGAGGTGTTGCGCATGCACCAGTATCGGCCTGAGTCCTGGAGCTTGAGGGCCACCATGGTGATGTTGACCACCTTGGCCTGGGCGTCGTCCTGCAGCAAGTAGCGGGGCCCTTTCACCCAGACTTGGGTGAAACCAGGCTCACACTTCTTCCTGATTTTGCACCAAACCTTGCCCTCCATGCGGTTTTTGTAGCCCTTACAGAAGCACTGCACAGACAGAGTCCCCCTTTCAAGGAGCCTCACTTTTGTGTATGCGCTCCCAGCAGAGGGGCCTGTGGAGACAAGACTTGTTGAATAAGGTCTGGCAAGAGGAGAGGAAGAAGACATCATGAAAGTTGAAGATCATGGTGAAGGGCGGGGTGGATATTGTCCTGCTGTCATGGAACCCACAGATTGAGGGGGAAATACAGCCCCACCCTCAGGGAGCTTGCCCCAGTCTGAAGGGAGGTAAATGGGCCCTGAAAACAGCTAGCTCCCAGTATTAGGGGGCAGACAGAGGTCCCCCTCTCAGGGAGCTTTCAGTCTGATGGAGGAGGCAGGTATATCCCACAGTGAGCCCCCAGTCTAATGGAGGAAATGCAGCACTTACACTTGGAGCTCCATCAGACACAGCCCCTTTCCTCATGGTATTTTCTAGTCTGATGGGAGAGTGACATTCTTGTGGGAAAAACCCAGTGAGAAAGATGCAGAGACACAAACACAGGTCATTAAGTTCTGAAATTTCAGTGCCCAACTAATTAGGTAGATAAGAAAATCCAGTGTTTGAAAAAATGATTAATAGTTATTTATTTCACAAATAGGTTCACTGTAGTCCTCTTTAAATAATAACCTACCTTAGTTCATTCTAGCTGGTGTTTAGTTTTAAAGTATTCTAGTTACATAAAACCCATAGATCAAGCCTGTCCAAATGTACATGTAAACAAACTCCCAATGGAGTATGAACCACAGGATTCTACAATTATTCACTTTCCACCTGCAATATCTTTCTCTCTATGCTGAGGAGTAAGATGTGGTCCAAGCCTTCATAATCCACAGTCTGGTAGAGAGAGAGCAGAACTGGGGTGTGCAAGGTGACTCAGGGGACAGAGAGAGGGAGAAAGCTGCCGTGGGCTCCCTCCACCCCTCTGCCTGCCCTAAGCTCAGCTGACTCTTCTGATAATTTCACCCCAGAGTCTCCCACAAAACCACACATAAAAAGACTCTCCCCCATAGTACAGAATAGAGAGCACACATTTTGGATCAAAATAAACACGGGTCAAAACCTTGTTTCTACCACTTAACGGTGTGATCGGGGCACCTAAAATCTCTGTCTTTGCATCAGTCAAGTGAGAATAGCACCACATCCCTCACAGGTTGCTGTGAGAATTCTGCCCCAGGTCAGTGCTTTTCACACAGTGCGTGCTCAATGCATGCTGTATTTTCCCACACGCTGGGGGCTCCCAGATCCTCCAGTGGAACCCAGAGCTGTGATAGTCAAGGGCCCAGAACCCAGGACATCTGTCCAGTTGCCAGCAGCCACTAGAGCTGAGGCTCTGCGTGAGGCAGCACCCTCTCTGAGCATCACTCTGTTCTTTGTAAACTAAGCAGAATGATCCAACTCCATTGCATGGTGGATGAGCCCAGAATTTCTTAGCACAGGAGAGACCCTTTTTTGCTGTGGCAGAGGGAGGAACCTCTCTGACCCTGGGAGGTGCAGAGTTGGGTGACTTTGGGATGGGTCTCCAGGGCACTGTGTTCATGTGTGCCTACACCTCCCACCCCTTTCACAGGCAGTAGGGAGTGAGTTTTGCCAACCCCCACCATGCCCAGTGGTCTCTGGTAAAGAGCTACGAAGTCAGCCCCAACCTCTTCCTCACTGAACCCACAAAAAACTAAACAAGACAATTGGGCCAGAAAAGCAAGAAGGGTGGTTTTTGATAAAGATCTAGAGCTCCTGCTTATGTACCCACTCCCTCCTCCACAAGGCAGCCCCTTCTCCCCTCCCTGAGATGCGGCCCTGTGGCCACAGCAGCAACAGCAGCAGGAACGCAGCAGCCATGGCTCCATCCAGCTGGGCAGTCACAGGCCCAGCAAGGGGCCAGGGCACCCGGGGGATCCAGGGTGAGGGCCCACCCCACACAGGACGTGCCACCTGGGCCTGCCAGGGAAGGACCTGGGGTTCTAAAAGTGAAGCTACCCAATTAGGGAAGTTAGGCAGTATGGGACCCACCATCCCCAACCGACTGCAGGGGTTCATCAAGCCTATCGCGAGAGCAGCACTGGCAGCTGTTTCTGCCCCTTTCCTCGGAAATTCAGGCAGGTGTGGCTGCTCTACCCAGTCTGGACCCCCAGCCCAGGGAGGGCTCACAGTCAGAGGGCTTCCCGTCATCCCCAACCCGCCCCAGAAACTGATCCCTAGGATCCAGGAAGGTGAGGCTTCTGGAACGTCAGGTATAGACTTTCCTGGAATCTTCTGGGCTCAGAGTCCCAGGGGTGCGGGCTCTCAGAATGAGGTGGGAATCGGTGGGAATCTTGAACTCCAGTTTCTTTCTTTCTTTCTTTTTATTATTGTACTTTAAGTTCTAGGGTACATGTGCACAACCTGCAGGTTTGTTATATATGTATACATGCGCCATGTTGGTGTGCTGCACCCGCTAACTCATCATTTACATTAGGTATATCTCCTAATGCCATCCCTCCCCACTCCCCCTCACCCCACAGCAGGCCCCAGTGTATGATGTTCCTCACCCTGTGTCCAAGTGTTCTCATTGTTCAATTCCCACCTGTGAGTGAGAACATGCGGTGTTTGGTTTTCTGTCCTTGCGATAGTTTGCTGAGAATGATGGTTTCCAGCTTCATCCATGTCCCTACAGAGGACATGAACTCATCCTTTTTAATGGCTGCATAGTATTCCATGGTGTATATGTGCCACATTTTCTTAATCCAGTCTATCATTGATGGACATTTGGGTTGGTTCAAAGTCTTTGCTATTGTGAATAGTGCCGCAATAAACATACGTGTGCATGTGTCTTCATAGCAGCATGATTTATAGTCCTTTGGGTATATGCCCAGTAATGGGATGGCTGGGTCAAATGGTATTTCTAGTTCTAGATCCTTGAGGAATCGCCACACTGTCTTCCACAATGGTTGAACTAGTTTATAGTCCCACCAACAGTGTAAAAGCATTCCTATTTCTCCACATCCTCTCCAGCACCTACTGTTTCCTGACTTTTTAATGATCGCCATTGTAACAGGTGTGAGATGGTATCTCATTGTGGTTTTGATTTGCATTTCTCTGATGGCCAGTGGTGATAAGCATTTTTTCGTGTCTGTTGGCTGCATAAATGTCTTCTTTTGAGAAATATCTGTTCATATCCTTTGCCCACTTTTTATGGAGTTGTTTGATTTTTTCTTGTAAATTTGTTTAAGTTCTTGTAGATTCTGTATATTAGCCCTTTGTCAGATGGAGAGATTGCAAAAATTTTCTCACATTCTGTAGGTTGCCTGTTCACTCTGATGGTAGTTTCTTTTACTGTGCAGAAGCTCTTTAGTTTAAGTAGATCCCATTTGTCAGTTCTGGCTTTTGTTGCCATTGCTTTTGGTGTTTTAGTCATGAAGTCCTTGCCCATGCCTATGTCCTAAATGGTATTGCCTAGGTTTTCTTCCAGGGTTTTTATGGTTTTAGGTCTAACATGTAAGTCTTTAATCCATCTTGAATTAATTTTTGTATAAGGTGTAAGAAAGGGATCCAGTTTCAGCTTTCTAGATATGGCTAGCCAGTTTTCCCAGCACCATTTATTAAATAGGGAATCCTTTCCCCATTTCTTGTTTTTGTCAGGTTTGTCAAGGATCAGATGGTTGTAGATGTGTGGTATTATTTCCGAGGGCTCTATTCTCTTCCATTGATCTGTATCTCTGTTTTGGTACCAGTACCATGCTGTTTTGGTTACCATAGCCTTGTGGTATAGTTTGAAGTTAGGTAGCGTGATGCCTCCAACTTTGTTCTTTTGGCTTAGGATTGTCTTGGCAATGCGGGCTCTTTTTTGGTCCCATATGAACTTTAAAGTAGTTTTTTCCAATTCTGTGAAGAAAGTCATTGGTAGCTTGATGGGGATGGTATTGAATTTATAAATTACCTTGGGCAGTATGACCATTTTCACAATATTGACCCTTCCTGTCCATGAGCATGGAATGTTCTTCCATTTGTTTGTGTCCTCTTTTATTTCGTTGAGCAGTGGTTTGTAGTTCTCCTTGAAGAGGTCCTTCACGTCCCTTGTAAGTTGGATTCCTAGGTATTTTATTCTCTTTGAAGCAATTGTGAATGGGAGTTTACTCATGATTTGGCTCTCTGTTTGTCTGTTATTGGTGTATAAGATTGCTTGTGATTTTTGCAGATTGATTTTGTATCCTGAGACTTTGCTGAAGTTGCTTATCAGCTTAAGGAGATTTTGGGCTGAGATGATGGGGTTTTCTAAATATACGCTCATGTCATCTGCAAACAGAGACAATTTGACTTCCTCTTTTCCTAACTGAATACCCTTTATTTCCTTCTCCTGCCTGATTGCCCTGGCCAGAACTTCCAACACTATGTTGAAAAGGAGTGGTGAGAGAGGGCATCCCTGTCTTGTGCCAGTTTTCAAAGGGAATGCTTCCAGTTTTTGCCCATTCAGTATGATATTGGCTGTGGGTTTGTCATAAATAGCTCTTATTATTTTGAGATGCGTCCCATCAATACCTAGTTTATTGAGAGTTTTTAGCATGAACGGCTGTTGAATTTTGTCGAAGGCCTTTTCTGCATCTATTGAGATAATCATGTGGTTTTTGTCGTTGGTTCTGTTTATATGATGGATTATGTTTATTGATTTGTGTATATTGAACAAGCCTGGCATCCCAGGGATGAAGCCAACTTGATCGTGGTGGATAAGCTTTTTGATGTGCTGCTGGATTTGGTTTGCCAGTATTTTATTGAGGATTTTTGCATTGATGTTCATCAGGGATATTGGTCTTAAATTTTCTTTTTTCGTTGTGTCTCTGCCAGGCTTTGGTATCAGGATGATGTTGGCCTCATAAAATGAATTAGGGAGGATTCCCTCTTTTTCCATTGATTGGAATAGTTTCAGAAGGAATGGTACCAGCTCCTCTTTGTACCTCTGGTAGAATTCGGCTGTGAATCCGTCTGGTCCTGGACTGCTTTTGGTTGATAGGCTATTAATTATTGCCTCAATTTCAGAATCTATTATTGGTCTATTCAGAGATTCAACTTCTTCCTGGTTTAGTCTTGGGGCGGTGTATGTGTCCAGGAATTTATCCATTTCTTCTAGATTTTCTAGTTTATTTGCGTAGAGGTGTTTATAGTATTCTCTGATGGTAGTTTGTATTTCTGTGGGATCGGTGGTGATATCCCTTTTATCATTTTTTATTGTGTCTATTTGATTCTTCTCTCTTTCCTTGTTTATTAGTCTTGCTAGCAGTCTATCAATTTTGTTGATCTTTTCAAAAAACCAGCTCCTGGATTCACTGATTTTTTGAAGGGTTTTTTGTGTCTCTATCTCCTTCAGTTCTGCCCTGATCTTAGTTATTTCTTGACTTCTGCTGGCTTTTGAAGGTGTTTGCTTTTGCTTCTCTAATTCTTTTAATTGTTATGTTAGGGTGTCAATTTTAGATCTTTCCTGCTTTCTCTTGTGGGCATTTAGTGCTATAAATTTCCCTCTACACACTGCTTTGAATGTGTCCCAGAGATTCTGGTATGTTGTGTCTTTGTTCTCATTGGTTTCAAAGAACATCTTTATTTCTGCCTTCATTTCATTATGTACCCAGTAGTCATTCAGGAGCAGGTTGTTCAGTTTCCATGTAATTGAGCAGTTTTGAGTGAGTTTCTTAATCCTGAGTTCTAGTTTGATTGCACTGTGGTCTGAGAGACAGTTTGTTATAATTTCTGTTCTTTTACATTTGCTGAGGAGTGCTTTACTTCCAACTATGTGGTCAATTTTGGAATAAGTGCAATGTGGTGCTGAGAAGAATGTATATTCTGTTGATTTGGGGTGGAGTTGAACTCTAGTTTCTTACATACACACATTCACAAAGAAATTCTTATAAACTCTAATTCATTCATTTATTGCAGATGGATTCTTTCTGTTCCTGCCTCTCTTTCTCTCCCAGGCTTCTATCTGCTCAGAACAGTCACTTGTGTTCCCTCTTGTAAATAACCTCTTACAGGCTTACTTGAAATCTGTTTGGTTTCCCATAAAGTTTGGGTTGTGGGAGGGGTTCCTGTACTCTCACACATGGGTGTGAGTGCACATACACTCACACTCACACACATAGTCTTGCTTTCTCTCTCATACACACACACACACACACACACACACACACGCCCATGCACACAGTCTCACACACCCTCCAGCCGCCTCTCCTTTTCCCTATCCATGTGTCTCCTCTGTCCCTCTCCCTGCCTCTCCTCCTGTTGTCTCTACTCATCACCAGCTCCCTCTAGACTCCTAGCTCCTCGTGCAGGCTTCCTAAAGCCACCACAGTGCTTTCCCTCACCCACCTCATCTCAAGAGCCCCTTCCTCCCCTGCCTCCAGCCTCCGTCAGCATTCAGGCAAGCCCCTTCAACTTCCCCCTGCTCAACCCTGTCTCGCCTGTGCTGCTTCCATCTCCAGTGGAAATGACCCAGCACTTGGCCCAAGACCACATCCTTCACTTACCCCAAGGCCTAGAATCAGAAGCATTGATTTCTGATGTCCAGTATCTGTGTCATCTCCTCCTTCAGTGTGTGGGGACCCAGCTGGACGCCCGTGGTTATGTATGCTCCCCCTACTCACCAGTGCCATGTTTCTACTCCTTAGATGGGACTGTCAAAAAGTAAACTGAGGTACAATAAAATTTTAAACAGATTATTTGAGCAAACAACAATTCATGAATCAGGCAGCTCCAAACAGAAGAGGTTGAGGAGCTCCACTGGGGGAATGCAAGGGGAAGACTCCTACAGGACAAGTAAACTGAAGAAAATATTTAATTAGTTACAGTTATAAAGTTCCCTTATTTGGCCTATCCTGTTGGAAAGACCCTAGTTACCTACATAAGTTTGTTGGCTTCTGATTGGTTGAGCTTAAGTTCTGTTCTTCCTTAATACACACATTTACAAGAAATAGCTCAAGTGAAGTTTCACTGATGTTTGCAAATCAAGCAAAGTTGAGGTTACTTATGAGGCCTAACTGGTTTTGTCTGCTCAGGGACTCTTCAGGCCTGGTCTCCATTTTCATTAATTTTAACAGGTCTCAGAGCAAAAAGTCCTCAGGCTTGCATGGCCAGAATCTTAAACTGACCTTGAACCCCCAAGCTCCAAGCAAAGAAGTCTATCTCGGCTGACCCTAAGCTTTTATAGTCTCTCAACTCATTCACTCACTCATTCATTCATTCATTTGTTCATTCCCACAACCTCATTGCTATGCATGGGGCTAGGTAGGCACTGGGGGCATAGGAATGAGACACGATTGTCACTTGAGACCTCTCAGCTCACAGATGTGTTTTGTTTTCCTTATTCACCCTTCCTTTTTCAATGTTTCCCACCCAGTCCTTAGAACTTCCTGAGCTCCCTGAGTTCAGGGGCCATCTCCCCTCCCCAGCACACACAGTATGTTCGTTCATCCCTTCCCCCATTAGAACAGTAAGTTGCTTCGGGGGCTTCGTGTGCTTGCAATCCATGATTCTATGAAACCGATACAGTGTGCCCAGCACTGTGCCAGGGATCATTAAAACTGTGACCCTTGGGATCACTGTGCTGATGAGGGTAGAAGGAATCAAACACTCACTCACTGATCGAGGAAGTATGTACTGGATTCAAACTTTTTTAAGAGAAATTTGGAAGCATTGGTCAAAGTCATTAAAAATATGTATACATTAGACTTTTACATCCATCATTTGATTTAATACAGCAGTGTATTTTGTCTTTACATTTATTTTTCCCATTAGAAAATTAAGGTCTAATTTACATACAGTACTATTCACCCTTTTTAATAAACAGTTCTGAGAGTTCCGGAGACTTGTATCCAATGCCATAATCAAGAGAGAAGGGTGCCATCATCCCCAAAATCTTTCTTGGATCAGTAACTTTATGTCTTTGACCAAATTTGAGGAGCTTAGACATTTCTTTGAATAATTTTTTAGTCCCACACTTTTTCTCCTTTGCTTCTGGGACACTGGTGATGCAAAAGTTAGCTCTTCTAGTAATGTCCCACAGATAGCTGAGGTTTTGTTCATTTATTTTCAGTCTGTTTTCTGTCTGTTCAGTCTGGGTAAATTTATTGTTCTGTCTTCTAGTTCACTAATTATATCCTCTCATTTCTACTATCCTATGGTGTCCATCTAGTGAGGTTTTAATTTTGGTTATTGTAGTTTTTTGTTTCCAAATATCCTTTTGTTATTCTGCTACTGATTTCTAGTTTAATTCCAAAAAACTCTTTTGAGTTTGTTCTTTTCTTGTTCGTTTTCTTGATGACTTACTTTGGACACAGATTAGTTTTAAAATTTTAATTTTGGAAAATCTCTCAGCCTTTTCCCTCTATGATTTCTGTCTCACTTATATTGGTTACTTATGCCTGTCCTTACTAGAATTGAATCCTTATAGAGTTATTTCTTTTAGTTCTTTAAAATTTTCTCATTTAACACTTAATTCTTTGATCTATTTAAAATTTATTTTAGATTATAGTATGAAAAGAGGGTAACATTTAATTTTTTCCAAATAGTTAAACATATGCTTTTTTCTTTTTTTGTTTGTTTGTTTTTTTTTTTTTTGAGACGGAGTCTCGCTCTGTCACCCAGGCTGGAGTGCAGTGGCGCGATCTTGGCTCACTGCAACCTCCACCTCCCGGGTTCACTCCATTCTCCTGCCTCAGCCTCCCAAGTAGCTGGGACTAGAGGCACCCACCACCACGCCTGGCTAATTTTTTTTGCATTTTTAGTAGAGACGGGGTTTCACCATGTTAGCCAGGATGGTCTCGATCTCCTGACCTTGTGATCTGCCTGCCTCAGCCTCCCAAAGTGCTGGGATTACAAGCGTGAGCCACCGCACCCGGCCACATATGCTGTTTTCATTGTTAAATAAACTCACTGATGTGAATGGCTATCTTTGTGATATAGTATCTCTATATTTGGATGGTTTATGGCAAACTCATCAACTCTATTTACCTCTGGGGCTTCCTTAGGCAGTGAAATCTGCAGTAATTAACTGATCCTCAAAAAAAAGGGGTGGGAAGGGAATAAAAGATGAGAATACAAGAAAAATTACCAAATGCTATAAAAAGATAACAAATAGAACAAATTTCTTATAAAGAAATAAATTGAATAATCTATTACAGAGAAAGCAGAACCAGTGGGAAAACAATGATTTCAATAAGCATAGCAGATATTCTCAGAGCAATAAGGAACAATATTAGAAGCATAAAACAGAAGCAAGCAATAATGAAGAAGAAAAAATTAGAAATATTGATTAAGAAAATGATCATTGCTGAAAGAAAACTCTGAATGCAATGACTAGCAGAAGAATGAGTAGGTAAGGGAAAGAGTCAAGGAGCACTTCCTAAAGGCATTAGGAAGGAATAAAGTGATAGAAAGTGTAAGGGAAACATTAAGAGGTATGGAGGATAGAAACAAATGTCAATATCTCCTCAAAGAAGTCCTCAAAGGAGAAAAAGGAGTAAATGGAGTAGAAGAACTTCTTGAAAAAATAATACCAAGGATTTTTCCGAATTAAACAAATATGTAAGACATCAGACTGAATGTGTTCAGAGAGTTCCAAATAGAATGTATAATCAAGCTTTGGCTTCCTGCTCCCTCCCTCTTTACTCATTTTGTCGCCGCCGGGCTTCCCAACCACCTCTTGACTCTTCTCCCACTTTTCCGCTCGCCTGCGCCCCCGCGGGAGCCCGGGACCTCTTCGTGGAGGTCTGCCGCTGCAGCACCGCGGGCTGTTGGGGCAGCCAGGCGCCACTGCTGGCCTCTAGGGTCATACCACCCTGAAAGTGCCCGAGGCACGCCCCAGGCAGGGTCGGCCTGGTTAGTACTTGGATGGGATTCCGCCTGGGAATACCGGGTGATATAGGCTTTTGGCTTCCTGCTCCCTCCCTCTTTCCCCCTTTTGTCGCCGGGCTTCCCAACCACCCCCTGACTCTTTTCCCCCTCTTTCGCCCAAAAAGAAAAAAAAAAAAAAAAAAGGAAAAAATGGATAATTACCCCACATTACACCCATTATAATACAAATTTCAAAAAGAAAATTATAAAATGTTCCAGAGATAAAATTGGTCAGTAGAGATGAATAACTATCAGATTATTATCAGACATTTCCATAGCAACACTATGAAGGTAAGAAAACAATAAGAAATGTTCAAAATTTTAAAGAAAGCTACATTTTTTAGATGTTAACTTATGACACAGAATTTACCACCTGCTTGAAAATTGTGGTTAAGGGAATTATGACAATTTTGAGGCCAAGGATGTTAAGATAAAATATTTAAAAGTTATAGCTAAATGCTAAGCTCTTAGCATCTGATTAAGGAAGACTTATTTTTATTTAGTCCATTTTTATCCCACTATCAATGTTCTTTAAGTGAAGCTCAATATTTCCATACGACAAGTCAACTTTTCCCAACCTACTGCAGTTGTAAAAGTTCAATAAGAAAGAACTGGGTTCAGCCACATACGACTGAAAACCAAATAGCAGTGGCTTCAAGACACAAGTGTTTAATTTTAGGTACCATTTTAATTATGAAAATTTCCAAGCATACACAAAAGTAGAGATAATCATATATCTAGCCCCATGTAGCATCACTCAGCTACGTTTATTCTTGCCTTCCATTTTTTTTTTAATTGGCAATACCATTCCATAGGTTGTGCTGTGTACTTCACATAGACTCAGAGAAAACACATAATCGCTAGTGTCTAGATTCTTGGTTCAGGCAACACAAGCTGGCAGTATTAATTAGATGTCTGAGATCCCACAACCCAGCTGATGCCACCTGTGTATAAGTCCTAAAGGAAGTCTCACATGATTCCACAAGAGAACGTGAAGGAGGGTATTCATCACAGCATCATTTATGATATAGAAAAGTGAAGGCAAAAAAGCACATGCACCCTGGGTTCGGAATGATGCACTGTGGGATATGTACGCAATGGAATAAGCACTGAAAAGAAGTGGGCTGTGTATATGTGCCCAGCAAGGAGTAAGACAAGCATATGAAAAAGGTCTATCACAATTTCTTTTATGTAAGTGAAAACATAGTCACAGAAAAAAAAATACTGGATGTTTTACAAGAATACATTCAAATTTAAAGTTACATACCAAATGCATTAGAGTAGTTGCCTCGGAGAGGAAGGCAAGTGGACATAGGGAATGAGGATTAAAAAAATAAATAAACAAAGCAAAAGCGATGCCTCTCACAGATAGGTGATGATCATGTGGCAGGAGCTGAGATATACACGAAGAGACTTTTGTTTGATGTCCCATCCCCAAAAGAGCAAAAGAACATGGAGCTCTCTTTATGGTGGTCTTTTACAGGGCTGGCATTCAGCTGCTATGCACTGGTACCTCAAATCTGTTGCTCATGGTGGACCCCCATTCTGAGTGGTGAATCCCAGTCTCACTAGATGTTAGTTGGAAAATGACTGTACCTATTCTTGCTTCATAAATATGTGCTCCTCTTCTGTTCCCTAAAACATTTATCTTTCACCCACCATCATTTATTGTTAGTTCAACTTGATTTTCTCTTTTAGGCTGTGAATCTTCTCACATGTTAAGTAAACAGAATTTGGGCCCCAGATTATCAGATTCCATTTACGGATGAATGTTCTGGGTCCTGTTTTGGGCCACTGAGTCGCCTGCTCATGTCATTTTAACGCATCTAATTTTTTCTTTTACTTCTAGATCTTCCTCAGCTTCCAGTCTGCTGATTACAGCCTTTCTTAGTTTCAATTTTATCATTTATTTTTAAGTCATTTCTCTCTCATTTAGGATATCTGGGGTGGGACGGGAGGAAGGTGAGGGGATACAACTGCTGTCTTGCTCAGCTGCCCCTGACACATTTCAGTTCAGAGGTTGAATTTAATTAAGCACAAGAGGAAATTCATAGGACTCTAGGGCAGACCACAGGCAACAAACAGGGGAAATGTGAGGGATCCTGGAGACCTGCTGAGGTGGGGCTCAGAGAACGACAGAGTGCTGGAGAGGAGCCTGGGCACAGCTGAAGATGCTGAGCTGGGCATTGACCCGGATGCAGAAACCCCCACCCCAGGTCTTCCCAATGGCGAAAGTCAGGGCAGGGGCAGTAGATCTAAGGGGGCTCAGTGCAGGGGTGAGGGGTCACCACCGGGGAGTTCAGGGGCTGAAAGTTCTCTCCAATAGGCTTAGCGCTAGCCTTTCCTCACAAGGAGGTGGGGAGCAATACTTAGGCCAGCTCCCAATAGCTGGGCAGGGGAAGAACTGGGATTCATCCAGGATCCATGTTGTGGCTCATGCACCCAAGGGTCCTGGGACAAGGCTGTGCTGGGACAATCAGAAACCTCGTCACTGCTGTCCTGAGATGGGGCAAGAGGGGGAAAGTCATGAATGGAAGTGATGCTTTTCTGATCCTTTGTCTCACCCTGTCCCTGTTACCTGTTACTCCTCTTCCCGCCCCTCCCCCGCCTTCTCCCTGTCACCTGCTTCCTTCCCTGCCCCTTCCTGTCTCCTAAACCTTCTACCCAGGCACTCTCAGCTTTGTCCTCCTGGTCTTTTTCCTCTCAGGACAGAGACAGAGGCAGAGCCCTGGGATGGGACTCCCAGAAAGCCTCTGTCTCTTTCTAAGGTCTGTGTCTGCAGGAAGGCAGAGATTGCAAGGAAACACACTTTTAAATTGTTCCCAGCTGTCATTTTTCCTGCCTCTGTGACCTGGCTGCTTCTTCCTAGCCATCTTTCTAGGAACAGAATCTGGCCCCAGCTCCATTGCCCCCAGGTGAAATCCAGGCCCCCTCACCTGTGGCACCTGCAGATCAGGAGCACTAACAGGACTCACAACATCAGGCCCTTGGCCAGGAGGAGTCCACATAGCACCAAGACCAGGAATCTGGGGCCACCTGAGCCAAGGCAGGCAGGGGCTCTTGATTTCCTGCAGGGAAGAAGGAGAAAGGAGGATGGACTTGGGCCAGGATGTCACCACCTCCTGCGGTGTCCCTAAGCCAGGCAGGCCCCTTGTAGCTGGAGCTGTTTGCGTAAGGGCCCACCCTGAACGATGACAGAGGGGTGTGGGGCAGGAGCCACAGAGGTCTCTGGGACTGAGAGGGGACCTAGTCAGAAGGAACCTCAAAGTCTTGAACGGAGGAAAAAGCTGGCCAGGGGAAGAACAAGGGATTGGAGTTCAGGGAAGGGGAGGGATAGAGCTGGGGGAGCAGGAATTCTCCCTAACCAGGTCAGGTCGGATGGGACCATCCGACCTTAGGAATCAGAGCCCAGTGCATCTTCAAGACCAGCCAAGATATCACATCTGAGGAAATGAGGCCTAGAGACTGCACAGGACCTGACCAGACCCTTAGGAGTGGTGACAGCACAGACCTAGACCTCCTGTCTGTTGGTCCCAGGGGTCCTCCCTCATCCCCTCTGTGTAGCCCCCACTCCTGGCCTGCCTAGCTCTGATCTAGGACTACCCTGTCCCAGCAAATCTGCTTTTCTCTTGTGGCCTTGGTAACTTTCTGCCTCAGTATTACATAATATATGATAAAGTCAGTGAGCTCTTTTTATTTTCACTTTTTCATGGTTGACTTAGCTACTCATGTATCTTCCTTTTTCATATAATTTTAGAGTAAATTTTTCAAGTTCTTTACAAAAGTAAAGAAGTTGTGTTTGGGATTACATTTAAAGACTTTTTAATTTGGGAGAAATTGACATATTTACAATGTTATTGCCTCTTCCAAAGTCATGGATTGTTTCTATTTATTCAGATCACCTGTCATTTTTTAGCATTTTATACTTTTCTCCAAACAGGTCTTGGTTAAATTAATTCTTTCTAGAAACTTTATAGACTTTGTGACTGTAATGAAAACGATCTTATTTTTCTAAATGATTATTCCTCATAGAAATCTATTTGTAATGTATGTCAGTTGATTTTGTATCTGGCAGCCTTGCTAAACTCTCTTGTGAGATCTAATAGTTTGTTGTTTCTCATTCTTTTTCTGGGTAGATGATCCCATCAATTGCAAGTCATGACAGTTTTTCCTCTTCTTGTCTAATCTTCTTTCATGTAACCTGTTTTCCTTTCCTTCAAGCATTGATCAGAATCTCTAATATTTTAGAAGACATTTATGGTAGCTATGAAAATCCTTAATTTGAGTTTATACCTCCAATAAGTAATCTTTATGGTAATCATTGGTGTACAATCTTTACCAAGTTATCTGTTCTTACTTCCATTTTATTAAGAGCTTTTTCAGATAACATAAATGTGCTCAAGGTCCCCAAATGCTTTTTGTGCAGCAGTTGACTTTTTTCCTGTAGTTTATGAATTTGGTTTACTTATATTAATAGATTTTCTAAAGTTGAAAAATCCTTTTTGTTTTGTGATAAGACTCTCCTCGATTATAATCAGTCTTCTTTTCAATGCACTCTTGAATTCAGTTAGCTAATGGTAATTAGGGAATGGACCCCATGTGCATCAGAGAAATGAACCTATAATTTAATTTTTTTGTATCTCCTTTAATTAGTTCTGAGATTTTGATGACACTAACCTGTTCAAATGACCTGGGCTGTTTTTGCTTCTTTTCTATTTTCTGCAACATCTAGTATGAAATATAAATCATGAAATGTAAATGTTTCTTTAAAAATTGGGTTACCTGAAAACCACATGAGTCTTGAATTTTCTGTGAGGATGGGTCTTATCAACTGTTTCAGTTTTCCTATTTATTAATCTATTGAAATCTGTTTCTTCTTGTGTTAATCTTAGCAGTTCATATTGTTAGGAAATTGTGTGCTTCTAGGATTTAAAACAACAAGATTTTATTCAGGATTTATTTATTTTAAAATCTCTGTAGAATCAGTGTGTGGTTATTTTCTTCTTTTTCTTTGATTTGTTTATTTATTATCTTCTTTTGTCTTGACAAGAACATGTCTATCTTAGCAAACTTTTAAAGAATGAATTATGAATTTCTTTGATCTCCTTTTTCAATCATTCAATTATATGATTCTTTGGGTTTGCTCTGATGCTCGTGTTCCATCTTCTTGAGATGCTTCCTTAGCTCATTAATTTGAAATCTTTCATGTTTTCCAACAAATATATTCAAAGGTACTAATTACTCCCTAATATTTTATGCCTCATACTTTTTGATATATAGTGGTCATATTATCAAAATATATTTTATTGCATACTTAAACATTCATATATGAATGTATTAGTAAATAGTTTGAAAAGTGCTATTTTATTTCTCTTATGCATTCCTAATGTCATTGCGTTAGGTTTGGAGAATATATTCTGTGTCGTACTGATTCTTTAGAATTTCTTCACGCTTCTTATATGTCCTTATACAAGGTGTCCTTTTGTAAATACATTTCATGTATTTGAAAGAATCTATACTATCTGTTTTTATTATGTAGAGGGTTATAAACATATATATGTGTACTTATACACTATTTATATTTATGAATACTGTATTTTATAAAACATACATAATATACATGTTTTATATTTATATAGTTTAGAACTATATTTATATAGTTTAGAACATTTTTCAATCTGTAACTACATATTTTATATATTTGAAAATATTATATATTTAAAAGCATAGTTTATATGTATCCTATATTATTATAAATACCTAATAAAATATGTAACATTGATAAATATGTGATGGTATTATACTGGAATTTATTAGTTATTTGGCTTAAAACTTAAACCCCTCTATTTAGTTTTGTCTCATTGGTCTTTGATCCTCTGAGAGGTATGTGAACCTCCAACTACAATGGCTAATAATTTATTTCTCCTTGCATTTCTGATAGTGTTGCTTGATATATTTCATGGCCAAAATTTAAGCACATATACGTTTATGATGGGTCTATTTTCATATTCAAGTGCATCTTTCATCAGTATATATTACATATCTTTGTCTTTTTTATAAACAAATGTTATAGACATAATATTTTACCTTAAATTCTATTTTGTTCCATATTAAGAGTGCCAGAAGAGTTTATTTTGTTTCCTAATAGTCAAATATATTTTTCTAACTTTTAACCTTTTAAAATCTTTTGTATGTTTATCTCTTATAGATAGTATAACATTGCACTTTTTAAAACTCAGAGTGTCCCTGTCCTTATTTTGTGAGTTTAATCCACTTAAATTTATTGGAATTGCATTTATTTTAGGACTTGATTCTACCTTTTTATTTCATTTTTTCCATTTATTGTGCTTTATTTTTTAAAAATTCGATTCCGACTTTCCTTTGGCTAGAGTTTTATTTTGCTGGATGAAAGGGTATACATTCTCTTGACTTAACCTGAAGACTCTTATCTACATTGATTTAGTACAATTGCTACATTGAGCTTATCAATATCTACATATTGCCTCTCATGAGACAAGTACCCAACCATTCTTTCATGGGCTTCTGGTCTCTCCTTCTCACCCCATGTTGTTATTGTCTAGAACAGGGGTCCCCAACCCCTGAGTCACAGACCAGTACCAGTTCCTGGCCTGTTAGGAATCTGGCTGCACAGCGGGAGGGGAGTGGCTGGTGAGCAAGTAAGGCTTCTTAGTATTTACAGCCACTCCCCATCGCACCCATCACTGCCTGAGCTTCGCTTCCTGTTAGATCAGTGGTGGCTTTAGATTCTCGTAGTAGCATGAACCCTATTATGAATGGGGCATGCGAGGGTTCTAGATTGCACGTTCCTTAGGAAAATCAAATGCCTGATCATCTGCCACTGTCTCCCATCACCCCCAGATAAGACTGTCTAGTTGCAGGAAAACAAGCTCAGAGCTCCCATAGACTCTACATTATGGTGAGTTGTATAATTATTTCATTATATATTAAAATGTAATAATAATATAAATAAATAAATAAAATGCACAGTAAATGTTATGCGCTTGAGTCATCCTGAAACCATCCCCTACCTCCAAGTCCATGGAAAAATTGTCTTCTGCGAAGCCAGTCTCTGGTGCCATAAAGGTTGGGGACTGCTAGTCTAGAATGTTATTTTTCAATGACCATGAATGTATTTTCTCTTGTTCTTCATTTTGCTCTTAGCTGCCATTCCTATAAATCAAAAAAGATAAAAACAAACTTTCCCAAGATGCTGGGCACACTTACTCCCTCACTTCTAGCAGCGTCTCCAGGGTTTACTTTTCATCCTAGCTGAGTCCTTCCTCCAGGAGTGTTTTCAGTGGGGATGTTTGCATGTGGCAAACCTTCTGAGGCCTTGAGAATCCAGAGGTTTTATGATTTCACATTGGAGTGACAATTTGGCTGAATACAAAACACTGGATACAAAGTTTTTCTTTAGTACTTTAGAAATATTACTGAATTGTCTTCTTTTCTCTAGTGTTCTTCTTAAGAAGTCTAATTCTTATCACTTTGTAGGTGATCTGAAAGCGTGCAGACATTTCCCTCTGCTTTTTAAGTTCTTCCCTTTTACATAATGGGTCTAGAGGTATTTTTGTGTGTGTGTTGGCTGTTTTCCCCTATTTGGCAATGTATGAATCTTTTCAATTTGAGGTCTTTTCTTCTATAATTTTGAAAAAATTTCCTGGATTCTTTCTCCAAATATTTCTTTCTTTCATCCTTTATCTCCCACAGGAGTTCTTGATACTCATACATTAGTACACCTACTCTTCTCCTTCGTGTCTCCTAACTTCTCTTTGATTTTTAAATCTCCAGTTCTTTCCAGGACCTTCCATGAGAATTCCTCACTCTTCTTACAGCTCACTGGCCAGCCACAGCCATCCTTCATCACATATATTGTGGTCTATAATATTTTTCACAACTATGATCAGCATTTGGCTCTTTTTTCCAATGGATCGTCCTCATGATCCACATAGTTGACGTCTCCCCTCACCCCTTTAGCCAGACTGATCATAGGTACCTAGAGTTCCTGGGGAATGGGCAGTTCCCATAGTTCTGCTTCACAGGTTTCTATTGTTGGGTGTGTTTCCATTCTTTTAAGGTAGTGCTTCTACTAAGAGCCTAGGTATTTTGGCTTGTGAATTCAGATTCCACTGGGCATATTAGATACGGATCTGGTAATGGGGAAGAACCGAAGACTAAATCCTCTAGCCATTGAGGGTTAAAAATGAGAGGAAAAAGCCCTAAAGCAACAGTCCCCAACCTTTTTGGCGCCTGAGAACTGTTTTGTGGAAGACAAATTTTCCATGGACCTGAGAGTCGGGGATGGTTTCAGGATGATTAAAGCACATTATATTTATTGTGCACTTTATTTCTATTATTATCATGTTGTAATATATAATGAAATAATTATACAACTCAACATAATGTAGAATCTGTGGGAGCCCTGAACTTGATTTCCTACAACTGGGTGGTCCCATCTGGGAGTGATGGGAGACAGTGACAGATCATTAGCCATTCAATTATCATAAGGAGCGTGCAACCTAGAACCCTCGCATGCACAGTTCACAACAGGGCTCATGCTACTATGAGAATCCAATGCTGCCACTGATTTGACAGGAGGCAGAGCTCAGGCAGTAATGCAAGCTATGGAAAGAGGCTGTAATTCAAATGAACTTCAGTGGCTCACCACTCACTCCCTACTTTATGGCCCAATTTCTAACAGGCTTGGGGATCACTGCCCTAGAGCACAAGACCCCAGGGACCCCCATTAGCTGCCATACTTTTTCTCTGGTTAGGGTTTCACCTTCAAACTCCCTGAGAGATAGTCTGTTTGTAATCTACCCGTGCTGGAGTTTGCAGGAGAAGAGGGCTACGGAGCAAATGCTCTGGCAGTTAGTTGTCTATTTTCATCAATCGCTCATGTCTTTTGCTGTGCTCCATGGTCCCCTAGAGCACCTGTGACCTAGTCTATTGCAGCCTATTCCTCCAGTGAAGGGGAGGCCGTCATGGCCTCAAAACCCATGACTGCAAGAATAGAAGCAGAATTTAACAGTATGCCTCTCATCTTTCTCTGGCTGACATCTCCAGCCACCATCTGCCCCAGGCTGCAGTGACTCTATTCATACTCACCCCTCAACACACCAACACGGCCTCCAATTTCCACATTTTCTGGGTTCCATTTTGTTTTATTGCAGAAATCCATGTTGAACTGTCTTTTCCATGGTTCCTCCACAATTAACAACCTGCATCCTCTTCCCCTTTCCTCACTACCAAATTTTGAGTCATGGCCTGGGGGCTCCACGGCTGTAACCTATGCCCCAACCCACCAGAGAAGGATCCCTGGGTGCCCTGGACTTGATTCCAAGGTTCAGGAGCTAATCAGGCCCTCCCTTCCCAAGACCTCCCTCCCAGTGTTAAAACCTCTGACCTACCTGGTCTCAGAGCCATTGATGGAGGGATGGCCAGAGGTCCCCTCTGGAGAAGTGATCAGAACTAAAGAGGACACAAAGAAGACAGTGGCTGCCCAGGGCACCAGAATAGAGAATGGGATTGGGTCCCAAAAGTGTGAGAGGAAGGGGAGAGGGGCCAGAGGCAGCCCCTAAGGGTCCCTCAGGCTAAGGGTAACTGAGGCCTGAGATCTCCATAACCAGCTGAAGTCAAGTCTGGCACTGTCCTCTCCATGCTGGCGGGAGGACAGGGGCAGGAGGGCTGGGACACACGTGTGCAAGGTGTTCCATATGGACTTCCCTCTGGGGACACCCTCCCATCATCGTGAGAACATGGCGATCTTCTGATCACATCAGATAGTGCATGTTTCTCTCCCTAAGAGACAGTGGGCCCTGAAGGTAGCTTCCCACAAGCCCAGGCCCCAAGAGATCAGTCCTCAGAGGCAGGCCTCCCTGGTTTCCCCTTCCCTGAATCTGAGGCTCCCAAGCTGCCTGGTGACCCTTCTAATCTTCCCCCACCGAGGCCTCCAACCTACCTGTGCTTGTTGGGAGCCAGGGAAGAGTCCACATAGGAGACGTGGTTGGGGCTAAAGAGAAAAGACAGCAGACAATGACTCTCCAGGGGCCCAGAAGAGAGTAGGGTCTACCCCATACATAAGAGGAGGTAGGGGCCCAGAGCCAGACCCTCAGGATGTCTTAAGCCAGGAGTGGTCTGTGCCTAAGATCTGCATGACAGAGTTGTTGGTGTGTGTGTGTTAGTGTGTGTGTGAAAAGAAGAGTTGTGGGTGTGCCTGTGTAAGACAAAGAGAGACGCAGAGTGACAGACAGACTGTGTCTCTGTCCAGGGACCTCTGAGGGTACCTTCCCAACAATTGAGGCCAGGATGTACCGGGTGGAGGAGAGGTGAGAGTCCATGTTTGGGGACAGGATCTTTGCTCCCCTTGGACCACAGCAGAATACCTGGCAGGATGGGGGATGATAGAGGCATGGGAGGGGGTGCATGACATTTCCTTCAGGTCCCTGGGGGGTGGCACAGAGGTATTTCCTCAAGAAAAGAGCTCACCTGGAGACACCACCAGGCTGATATTTCTAAGAACAGTGATGATGTTTTCGGAAGCGTTGTAGATTCCACACCAGTAGAATCCCGAGTCATTCTGTGTCAGCTGAATCATGGTGATGTTGAAGAAGCCAGCATTGGGCTTGTCCCAGATTGTGTAATGAGACTTCTGAACTGCTGTCCAGGGCTTGGAGCTGGTGACAAGTAAGGTACACCGACTTGGAGATGTCTGCTGACACCAGGATTTGGGCTGATAGGGCCCTCTCTTGGGTGAGTACTGGCATTGCAGGAGGAGGGTCTGTCCTGGGTGTTTGTGAAGTTCTTCAGGCACAGCACCCTTTACCCAGGAACCGGCAGAAAGAAACCCAGGTCAGAGCTCTGAAGGGACCCAACCTCCCCCATCACAGGCTGGGGAAGGGGAGGGGGAACTAGTTCTGATGCCCACACATGGAAGAGGGCCCCTAAATTCTGTCCTATGGTCACACAGCCATGCTGCTCCCTGCCCCACTCATTCTTCATCCCACTCCTTACACCCCCTGCACTCTTTCCCTCCATGTCACCTGAGGCCAGGAGCAGCAGCAGCACAGGTGGAAGCAGCAGGTGTGGACCCCACCCCAGGCCATTCCAGCCCAGATCTGTTTCTGACAGCGGAGGAGAGGAGAAAAAAGGGAGCCCTCTCAGGAGGAGTCAGACGCTGGGTCTGATTCTGCCCCAGGTTCCCAGTGTCTCTCAGCTGGTAAAATTGAGGAAGTCAATGTCTTGCTGGGGAAATGGTCGGCCTGGGAGGGCGGGCTCTGCAGACCAGGGGAGGAGGGGCAGCCAGGCCTTGAAAGGGGCCACCAGCTACAGGGTCTGTCTCTGGGCCTGGGCACCTCAGCCCTGCTGTGTTGCTCTGCCGCCTTTCACTGAACTTCTCCCCATGTCTGCTGCTTTATGCCTTCCAGCCAGTCATACTGCTCCTCTATTGCTAGGGGCAGCTCTCAGCATGGCCAAGAATAAAGCTGGTGAATAAAGCTGGGGTCATCCCTCTTTCCTTCTCTCTGTGCACTTCCTATAGGTGGTCAGGGCCCTTGGAGGCACGACCAGACCCCTGAATCCTTCTGGTCTAGCCATGGTGGGTTGATGATGAGTTTTGACCCTGAGACATTTTGTAGAGGGCAGATTTTAATCCCAGGAATTACAAGATGTTCCCTGGAAATGGTGGGGCCAGGAAAGCAGGGAGGAAAGAGAGTGCTGGTCAGGGAAAGTTGGAGGGGAAGGCAGGTAGGAGTGGATCAGTTATGGTAGCTTGGGATCATCTCAATCAGTGCTTGTTGGATGAATACATCAGTGGATGAAAGAACAACGCGTGTGTAAAATGTACAGAAAAAGAAAATGGCCGAAGTGAGAACTATCTAGCAACAAAACCAAGTGGTACTGGATTACTACCCAATGTATATATTAAATCTCTAGGAGTCCATGCTGATGTAAGTAAATGACTGAATAAAGAACTGGGGGGGGGAATAGACAAATATCCCATGCATAAGGATTCTGCTGTGTTCAGAATGTTGTTCCCCCATCTCATATATTCAAACTTAATTTCCATGTGATAGCGTTAAGAGGTGGGATCTTGTGGGAAAATCTTAAGTCATGAGGGCGTCATCCTCAAGAATGCAATTAATGCCCTTATACCAGAGATTGCAGGAAGCAGATTTGCGCTGTCTGCCATATGAGGACAGTGTTCATGCCTTCAGTCAACTGAGGTTACTGCAAGAAAGCACCACCTTGGAAGCAGAGAGCAGCCCTCAGCAGATACCACATCCACTGACACCTTGATCTTTGACTTCCCAGACTCCAGAACTTTGAGAAAGAGATTTCTATTATTTAGAAAGTCTCCAGTCTAAGGCATCTTCTCATAGCAGCCTGAAGGGACTGAGAGAGATTGCAAACAATTCTTATAGGTATTCTGCCCTCAAGGCAGAAGCATAAATTCCCACGGCTTAAGCATGGGCTGTGCAGGTGACTTTCCTCCAGAGGATAGCATGGGAAGGAAGAGAAGAGTAACTGTACAGTGGAGAAACCTGACACTTACTGTGGCAGCCAGGCAACCAAAGTGCAGACCCACAGGGATAACTCAGGTTGTTAGAATGTGTCATTGACTTGATGTGATGACAGGGCAATTAGCTGTGCAGTCTCCTTCCCCAAAGCCGCTGGCCCCAGGAGAAAAACATCAAACAAATTCCACATGAGGGACATTCTACAAAATACCTGAGCAGCGTTCCTCAAAACTGTCAAGGCCATCAAAACTAAGAAATAATTCTCAGAAACTGCTATGAATAAGAGGAGCCTAAGCAGACATGAAGACTAAAAGCAATGTGGCTTCCTAGGTGGGATCCTGGAGCACAGAAAGTACATGAGGTAAAAGCCAGGGTAATCTGAATGAAGTAAGGACTTCAATTAATAAAATCTACCACAGAAACAGAGTAGAATGGCATTACCAGAGGCTGGGAATTGGACAAACTGGGTAGGTATTGTTGAAGAAACACAATATGTTAGACAGAAAAAATAAGTTCAAGAGATCTATTGCACAGTATGGTGAGTGCAGTTCATAACTATGAATTGTACAATTGAAAATGACAGAAAATAGATTTTAAATGTTCTCACCACAAAACAAGTAAGTATATGTGGTATTGCTTGATTTAGTAATTTCACAGTTAATACACACATCAAACTATCCTACCACGCATTATAAATATATGAGTTCTACTCATCAATTTTGTAAAATTATAGTAATGTATCAATATCAACTCATTAATTGTGAGAAATGTAGCATACTATTGGACTATATTAATAATAGAAGACATTGAACATAGCACATCAGGGAAGTATGCAATACCTACACAACTCTTCTGTGAATCTGAAAGCATTCTAAGTGTAAAAGATTAGTTTTAATATGTATAGAAACGATTTACACAAAGCATATGAATAATCACTTGATACATAACAAACAGCGTGTACATAACAAACAGCAAAGTTTTAAGAAATCTTAGTACGGCTAGGTGTAAAGCACCTACTAACACTTGATGGTAATAAGAGTCATTTTCTTAAACACACTGAAGTTTCTAAGAAAAGTATGATAAATTCTGGAAGAGGAAAATAGGAATTTATTCTCTGCATCTGTATCATTTGATGCCTTCAGTGTGATATGTCACACATAGTGTCCGATGTACTGATTGCTGTAAATGAAAATTTGTTACTATAACGTTTATACTACAGAATAGGGTTTATTTGGTGTAACAAGGCAAATACTATATTTTTACAAATAGCGTTTATTTGACATAACAAAGCAAATACTATATGTTTATTTTTCACTTAGTCATATTTGACTTTCATTGACAGCAAAAGAAACAACAAAACTTATAAATTTTAACTATTGTGATCTCAGTTTTGGCTGAGAGTATTCAGGTAGACACTGTGAACTCACTATATATTCATTGCCACCTCTTTCTTTCTTCCCTTCCTTCCTTCCTTCCTTCCTTCTTTCCTTCTCTCTCTTTTTCTTTCTCCTTCCTTCCTTCCTTCTTTTTTCTTTTCTTTTCTTTCTTTCTTTCTTTCTTTTTTCTTCTTCTGTCTCTCTTTTTCTTTTCTTGAGATGGAGTTTTACACTTTCGCCCAGGTTGCAGTGCAGTGGTGTGATCATGGCTCATTGCAGCCTTGACCTCCCAGGGCTCAAGTGATCCTCCCACCTCAGCCTCCTGAGTAGCTGGGAGTGTGGGCACACACCAATGCACCTTGTTATTATTATTATTATTGCTTTTCATAGAGACAACGTTTCACCATGTTGGCCAGGCTTGTCTTGAACTCCTGGACTCAAGAGATCCACCCAGCTTAGCCTCCCAGAGTGCTAGAATTACAGGTGTGAGCCACTATGAGTGGCTGCCACCTCTTTTTCATGGGTCTTTCTATAGTAAAAGGTCTACAAGATCATTTCTGATTCCTTTGCAGCTAGGGTTCCAGATATATTTTAGGTCCCACCCATTCAATGTATTTGTATGAGACTTAAATGAGGAAGTGAGCTAGAATGGGAAGAGAGGCATCCATTGTGCCGGTAGACTATGGGTGAGATGGAGGGGTTCTTTAGCCAGGGCTGTGATGGCAGCTTCCAGATTTGGAAAGTTGCCTGATTTGGAAAGGGTGTTGACTGTGGCAAAGGCAGTGGTCCCTTAGTAGCCCATCCTGTGGCTTTAAGAGTGATGCCCAGAAATTACATAGGATCTGATTCTGTAAAGCATTTAATGTTTGATTTTAAAAATCTCTTTCTCCTTAAAATCCGTAGCTTGGATTTTGTAGTTTGCAGCTAAATCTTGACTAATGCAAGTCCCAAGAAAATATATGCTATCTGTCAGAGTGAGGTGGGAGGCCAGTGTGAAGCACATGCCAAAAGGTATTGAAACCTTCTTTGAGGAATGAATCCCTCACACACATCAAGGGTAGAAAGTTGTGAGGAGTGTGAAGATTGGGAGAGGACTTTTGGAGACAGCTGGTAGTTGTGCTGTGACCCTGGGGGAGGAGAGGGTTAGATTCCTGCATCTTATCTCAAACCTAGGGAGAGGCTTGAGATAGGGTCACAACTTGGAAAGATGGTTGTGGCCCCTGCAGTCTGGGAGATGTAGCAGCTGAGTTGGATTCAGTCTGAGAGCTGTATTGGGTAGAGACAGCAGGCGGCAAGCTGTCCTGATGGTGGAATGGAGGAGAGGTGACCTTGTGGGGGCCCCCAGGCTCCATGACTTTGTTGGGGTGAAGGAAGTGGATGGCTTCCGTGGGCCAGATGTTGGGCTGCACAGATGTGAGGCACCCAGCATGGGTGGTTGTAGATCCCACCCAAAAGGCCTGCTGGAGGTGGAGGGACGCATGGCAGGAAGCTGGAAGTGGACTGCGAAAGGCTTGGAGGCTGAAGGAGATGTCAGGAGCACCCACCAGGAAGGAGATCCAAGGCTACATGAGGAAGCTGCAGGTGACAGGCAGGGTGTCATCGGAAGAGCCCACAACGGTGCCCTCTGAGAAACCTCAGCTTGAACTCTTTGGGTCATCACCAGACTTTCCTGACCCTTCCTCTTCTCCTCTCCATGCTCCAGGCCTGGAGGCTTCCCAAACTGCAGCTGGAGGGCAGAGAAGACCAAGTAAAGAAAGGAAAGCCAACGTGGGCCCTCTGCCCTCTGAGGGTTAAAATTCCGAGGCTTTGGGGAAGAAGCTTTATTTTACATGGAGCCCTTTTTCCTCCACACTAATCACTGAACTGAAGCCAGTTTTGGAATAACCTTTTCCCTATTTATAAACAGAGGGGATGAACGAGGGAGCACAGGGGATTTGGAGGGCAGTGGGGCAACTGTGTGATCCCACAATGATGAGTTGATGTCATCACACGTCTGTCAAAGCACAGACAGCGCGTGCTCAGCAGCAAAAGTGAGCCCTCAGGACGGTTGTGTGCTTGATGACAGGACAGGGTGCCTCAATGTAGGGTAGCCGGCTGTAACAGCCGGACCCCTGGGCAGGATGTGGATAGTGGGGGGCTGTGCATGTGAGGAGCAGGAGGTATACGGGAACTCTATGTACTTTCTCTCATTGTTTTGAGAACCTAAACTGCTCTAAAAACAAGTTGATTACTTAAACTCCCCAGAAGAGGTATGTGTCTCGGTGCGGGGTCTGCCCAAGGGCCAGAGACATCCCAGCAGAGGGAGTGAGGAAGGCAGTGGGAAATGGATGTCAGGCCCTCTCGAGTTACACCTTGTGAGTCCCAATTGCTCTATTTAATGCCCAGACCGATGGCCGTCACTGTGATTTCTGAGGACCACCCTCATGTCTCCCTCTTGGGGTTGGGGGACTAAGCAGTGAGCTCAGGGAGGTAGTCGAGGAGGCCTTTCTTGACCACTGAACAGATCCAGGGAATGTGATGTTGCTGGGCAGGAAGGGTGCACCTGTGGGATCCTGGAAGGGAGAGTCTGCTGGTCTCCAGGGTTGGCCTTGTGGAGATTCTTCAGGAGGCCACCTCACCTGAGGAGTGAGAGAAAGGACGGTGCTTGAAAAGGGTCCATCTGAGCCCGCCAGGCCTAAGCCTGCCCTCCCTGCCGTGAAGGAAAGCCTGGGGTCCAATCAGCACAGCCTCTCCTGCCCTCCTGCTCTGGTCGTCCATCTGGGAACCAAGCCCAGCCGGTTCACATCCTTCCCCTGTCCCAGGGCCTGGCGCTGCCCCTGTCCAAAGACCTCCTGAGAACAGAAGTGAGGAGGAGTCAGGGGACAAGAGCCCTGGGGAGCCCCTGGGAGGCAGTCCTCCCACAGCAGCATCTGCAGTAGCTGTCTCATTGCCTCATTCACTTCCACCTCAAGCCTGGCCCAGCCCCCACTCACCCAAGGCCCAGACTTTCAAAGAATGACAAACAGGACCGAGAACACCAGGCCTCTGTTCAGGATGAATCGGCACATCAGAACAGTGGCTGGCACTGCCAGGTCTGCCAAGTCAAAGGTAAGTGTGGGCTCCCCAGGTCTGACCCTCCTGAACCCACAAGTGTGTGTGTCTGCTGAAGGTTGTGCTTGGAAGCCCAGCCTGCTCCCTCCTCCTGGCCAGCAGAACAGACAAGTGGGGCTTGGGCCTGTGGAAGATGGGCCTCAACCTTTCCTGGGAGCCCCAAACCCTTCTCACTCCAAAGGAATCCACCAGGTCTCCCTCCTGCTTCTAGTATCTACCCACCTCATTCCTCCTGCTCGTGGCTGCTGGGGGAATCTGCACTGAGCTCCTCATGCTTCCACAAAGGGGCCTCCAGGAAGCCCTTAACACTTCCCTTTGACTGCAGTGCACAGTGACAGGGCTGCACAGCATTCAAGGCTCTCTGCTAAAGAAATTTATTGTCCTGCTCTAACCAATCCTTCTCCTTTCTCCACTCAGCTAAGCCATCTACGTTTGTAGATGACGCTTTGTACGTGTGTCTCCACCACCTGCTCCCAGTACTCCCCAGCATGGAATGCTAACCCCTTCTATGCTTTATAAATCTTCTGCTACCTTCAAAGTTTCTCCTCCTCCTGCAAGTGTTCACTGACACCCACCTCCAGCTCCCACCCTGTGACAGCCAGAGTGTCTCTTTGCTCATCAGGTTCTTAGAGCTGTTGGTCCCATTCTTTAACTGCAAGAAAGAGGCTCCTGATTGCTCAGATTTCATTCACCACCAGACCACATTTGCTAGGTTGATGCCTTGTCCAAGGGGTATAAGAAGCTTATATAGTCATAGTGCTCCAAGCCCCAGCTCCTTTTCTCTGGGGTTGAGAATGGGACTTTTGCTGGCTTGAAGTGGGTACATCTAAGGCTTGTGTTAGGGCACGGGGATAGAAATTGAAGGGAAGGTCATTCTACCTGCTCAGGTTCAGGACCCCCTGGGCCTTTTTGGAGCAGGAGATAGTGCCTGATGTGGTCCAGCCTGGTTCTCTGGAATCCACAAGAGAGGCATGAGCCTAGGGCCTCAGCTAATCCCAAAGTAATACTCTGCTTTCTTCTGTCCTCTGTGCAGTGATCCTCATTCAGACACAAGTTATGTTGAATCCAGAGTGTCTTTTAGGGTTGACTCTGTTCAGAAAGTGCCATGTTCTGGAATAGATAAAAGCTCTTCAGGGCCTTACCTAAGCCTCCATCCCTACTAGACACCCAGGTATTGCTTGAGAATGATGGGACAGCACACTCTGAGCTTTCCATGCCATCTGTTCCACCTGGTGACTTAATCTGAGCTGGAGACAGACCTCCAAGGTGTCTGGAACAACTATTCTTCTTCTGTGACATATATAACAGAAAGACAAAGGCTCATTAGAGACTATTATTGGCAACTATGCACTAATAAATTAAAAAACCCAGAAGAAACATAAATTTCTGGACACACACATCCTATCAGAATTGAACCAAGAAGTAGGAAACAGGAATAGACAAATAATGAGTAACAAAATTGAATCAGTAATAAAAAATCTCTGAACAAAGGAAAGCCCAGATGACTCCATTGCTAAATTCTGTTGAAGTTTAAAGAAAACCTAATACCAATTCTCCTCAAACTAACTCAAAATATTGAGGGAGAAATAATTCTTCCAAACTTGTTCTATGAGGCCTGCATAACCCTGATACCAAAACCAGGTAAGGATACACCTATAAAGGAAAACTACAGGCCAATATTCCTGATGAGCTCATATGCAAAAATCCTCAGCAAAATACTAGCAATCCAAATACAACAGGAAATCAAAAAGATTATACACCATGATCAAGCGGGATTCATTCCAGGGATGCAAGGATGGTTCAATATATGCAAACCAATAAATGTGATACATCAGATCAACAAAATGAAGGACAGAAACCATATGAACATCTCAACAGATGCAGGGAAAGCATTTGATTAATACAACATGCCATCATAATGAAAAGTCTCAATAAATCAGGTATAGAAGGAAAGTGCCTCAACACAATAAGACCCTATAAGATAACCTACAGTTAACAACATATTGAACAGGAAAAAGCTAAAAGCCTTTCCTCTAGGATTTGGAACAAGACAAGGATGCCCATTCTCACCATTCTAATTCAACTTAGTACTAGAAGTCTTAGGCAGAGCAATTAGGCAACAGAAAGCAAGGGCATCCAAATTGGAAAGAAGGAAATCAAATTGTCCCTGTTTGCACGTGACATGATTTTATATTCAGAAAAACCTTAAGACTCTTCCAAAAAACTCTTAGAGCTGATAAGTAAATTCACTAAAGTTGCGGGATATAAAATCAACATACAAAAGTCAGTAGTGTTCCTACACATGAACAATAAAGTAGCTAAAATAAAATTTAAAAAGCAATACCATTTAAAATAGTGACAAAAAATACCAAGAATAATTTAACCAAGTAGGAGAAAAAACTCTACAAGGAAAACTATAAAATACTGAGGAAAAGAATTGAAAAAGATACAAAATAATGGAAAACATCCCATGTTTGGGAACTGGATGAATTAATATTGTTAAAATGATCATGCTACATGGAAATAGAAAAATAACCTAAAAATTCATGTGGAACCATAAAAGAACCCAAATTAGCAAAAGCTATTTCGAGCAAAAACAACAAAGCTGAATTTTCAGATTTCAAAATATACTACAAAACTATAGTGACCAAAAAAGCATGGCACTGACATAAACACAGACATATAGACTAATGGAACAGAATAGAGAACAAATAAATTAATTCATGTATATACAGCCAACTGATTTTTAAGAACAGCATCATGAACTTGTTTTAGGAGAAGGGCAATCTCTTCAATTAATAGTCCTGGCAAAACTGGATATTAATATGCAGAAGAATAAATCTAGATTTCCATCTCTCACCCTATCCAAAAATCAATTCAAATGGATTAAAGACCAAAGTGTAAGTTCTGAAACTATACAACTGCTAGAAAAAAAGAAGAAACTCTTCAAGATAATGATTTGTAAAAAAAGATTGTATGATAAGACTTCAAAAGCACAGCATGAAAAGCAAAAATAAACAAAGGGGATCATAACAAAATACAAAACTTCTGCACAGCAAAGGAAACAAGCAACGAAGTGGAAAGACAACCTACAGAATGAAAGAAAATATTTGCAAACTACTCATCTGACAGGGGAATAATATCCAGAATATACATGGAGCTCAAAAATCTCAACAGCAAAACCCCAAAAAATCCAGTTTAAAAATGTGGAAATGATCTGCACAGACATTTCATATATATATATATACACATATATACGCATATATATGTACATTTCGTATATACGCATATATGTACATTTCGTATATACGCATATATATGTACATTTCGTATATACGCATATATATGTACATTTCGTATATACGCATATATATGTACATTTCGTATATACGCATATATATGTATATATATATACCAAAATGTCAATTTTTATTATTATTGGTGTCCTGTCTGAAAGGCAGATTTAGCTGCATAAACTACCCAAGTCTCCACCCTCCTGACATAGGTATATCATAGCTTTTGGTTAAGTCCATATGCATCATTCACAATCTTTTACTAGTATTTTTGGGGGGTTATCCCTTAATATTCTTCTTATTATTATTGTACTTTAAGTTCTGGGATACATGTGCAGAACTTGTAGATTTGTTACATAGGTATACGCGTGCCATGGTGGTTTGCTGCATTCATCAACCCGTCATCTACATTAGGTATTTCTCCTAAAGCTATCCCTCCCCTAGCCCCGCAACCCCTGACAGGCCCCAGTGTGTGATGTTCCCCTCCCCGTGTCCATGTGTTCTCATTGTACAACTCCCACTTATGAATGAGAACATGTGGTGTTTGGTTTTCTGTTCCTGTGTTAGTTTGCTGAGAATGATGGCTTCCAGCTTCATCCAAGTCCCTGCAAAGAACATGAACTCATCCTTTTTTTGGTGCATAGTATTCCATGGTGTGTATGTGCCACATTTTCTTTATCCAGTCTATCATTGATAGACATTTGGGTTGGTTCCAAGTCTTTGCTACTGCGAACAGTGCTGCAATAAACATACGTGTGCATGTGTCTTTATAGTAGAATGATTTATAATCCTACATTTATGCAGCCAACAAACATAAGAAAAAAAGCTCATCATCATTGATCATTAGAGAAATGCAAATCAAAACCACAATGAGATATCATCTCATGCCGGTTAGAATGGCAATCATTAAAAAGTCAGGAAACAACAGATGCTGGAGAGGATGTGGAGAAATAGGAACACTTTTACACTGTTGGTGGGAGTGTAAATGAGTCCAACCATTGTGGAAGACAGTGTGGCAATTCCTCAAGGATCTAGAACCAGAAATACCATTTGACCCAGCAATCCCTTTTACTAGTGTTTTTACAAGTGTTTTTCACAGCTGAACTATGAAGATTGGTGGATTACATTTTATTTTTTGTCATTATTTGGTTTCCTTAAAAAAAAACCTTTTAGTTTCAGGTGTTCATGTGCAGGGTTTTTAGTTAGGTAAATTGTGTGTCATGCATCTCTCCAGAGCTCTGACCTGGGTTTCTTTCTGCAGGTTCCTGGGTAAAGGGCGCTGTGCCTGAAGAACTTCACAAACACTAAGGACAGACCCTCTTCCTGCAATGCCAGTACTCACCCAAGAGAGGGTCCTATCAGCCCAAATCCTGGTGTCAGCAGACATCGCCAAGTCGGTGTACCTTACTTGTCACCAGCTCCAAGCCCCAGACAGCAGTTCAGAAGTCTCATTACACAATCTGGGACAAGCCAAATGCTAGCATCTTCAAAATCACCATGATTCAGCTGAAGGAGGACTCGGGATCCTACTGGTGTGAAATCTACAACACTTCCAAAAACATCATCACTGTTCTCAGAGATGTCAGCCTGGTGGTGTTTGCAGGTGAGCTCTTTTCTTGAGGAAATACCACTGTGCCACCCCCCAGGGACCTGAAGGAAAGTCACTTACCCACTCCCATGCCTCTATCATCCCCCATCCTGCCAGGTCTTCTGCTCTGGTCCGAAGGGAGCAAAGATCCTGTACCCAGACATGGACTCTCACCTCTCCTTCACCCGGCACATCCTGGCCTCAACTGTTGGGAAGATACCCCCAGAGGTCCCTGGACAGAGACACAGTCTCTCTGTCACTCTGCGTCTCTCTTTGTCTTACACAGGCACACCCACAACTCTTCTTTTCACACACACACTAACACACACACGCCAACAACTCTGTCATGCAGATCTTAGGCTCAGGCCACTCCTGGCTTAAGGCATCCTGAGGGTCTGGCTCTGGGCCCCTACCTCCTCTCATATATAGGGTAGACCCTGCTCACTTCTGGGCCCCTGGAGAGTCAGTGTTTGCTGTCTTTTTCCTTTAGCCCCAACCACGTCTCCTACGTGGACCCTCACCTGGCTCCCAACAAACACAGGTAGGTTGGAGGCCTCGGTGGGGGGAGATTAGAGGAGTCACCAGGCAGCTTGGGAGCCTCAGATTCAGGGAAGGGGAAACCAGGGAGGCCTGCCTCTGAGGACTGATCTCTTGGGGCCTGGGCTTGTGGGAAGCTACCTTCAGGGTCCGCTGTCTCCTAGGGAGAGAAACATGCACTATCTGATGTGATCAGAAGATTGCCATGTTCTCACGAATATGGGCAGCTGTCCCCAGAGGGGAGTCCATATGGAACACCTTGCACATGTGTGTCCCAGCCCTCCTGTCCCTGGCCTCCCGCCAGCATGGAGAGGACAGTGCCAGACTTAACTTTAGCTGGGTATGGAGATCTCAGGCCTCAGTTCAGGGATTTTAACACTGGGAGGGAGGTCTTGGGAAGGGACGGCCTGATTAGCTCCTGAACCCTGAAATCAGGTCCAGGGCACCCAAGGATCCTTCTCTGGTGGGTTGGGGCATAGGTTACAGCCGTGGAGCCCCCAGGCCATGACTCAAAGTTTGTTAGAGAGGAAAGGGGAAGAGGATGCAGGTTGTTAATTGTGGAGGAACCATGGAAAAGACAGTTCAACATGGATTTCTGCAATGAAACAAAATGGAACCCAGAAAATGTGGAAACCTTAGACCGTGTTGGTGTGTTGAAGGGTGAGTGTGAATAGAGTGACTGCACCCTGGGGCAGATGGTGGCTGGAGATGTCAGCCAGAGAAAGGTGAGAGGAATACTCTTAAATTCTGCTCCTATCCTTGTAGTCATGAGTTTTGAGGCCATGACGGCCTCCCCTTAACTGGAGGAATAGGCTGCAATAGACTAGGTCACAGGTGCCCTGGGGGACCATGGAGCACAGCAAAAGCCATGAGCTATTGATGGAAATAGACAACTAACTGCCAGAGCATTTGCTCCGTAGCCCTCTCCCCCTGCAAACTCCAGCGCGGGTGGATTACAAACAGACTATCTCTCAGGGAGTTTGAAGGTAAAACCCTAACCAGAGAACAAGCACGCAGTTAATGGGGGTCCCTGGGGTCTTGTGCTCTAGGGCAGTGGTCCCCAAGCCTGTTAGAGACTGAGCCGCAGAGCAGGAGGTGAGTGGTGAGCCAGTGAAGTTCATCTGAATTACAGCCTCTTTTCATAGCTTGCTTTACCGCCTGAGCTCCGCCTCCTGTCAAATCAGTGGCAGCATTAGATTCTCATAGTAGCATGACCCCTGTTGTGAACTGTGCATGCAAGGGTTGTAGGTTGCACGCTCCTTATGAAAATTGAATGGCTAATGATCTGTCACTATCTCCCATCACTCCCAGATGGGGCCATCCAGTTGCAGGAAAACAAGCTCAGGGATTCCACAGATTCTGCATTATGGTGAGTTGTATAATTATTTCATTATACATTACAATGCAATAATAATAGAAAGAAAGTGCACTACAAATATAATGTGCTTCAATCATCCTGAAACCACCCCTCACATTCTGGTCAGTGGAAAAATTGTCTTCCACAAAACAGGTCCCAGGTGCCAAAAAGGTTGGGGACTGCTGCTCTAGGGCTTTTCCCCTCCACTTTTAACCCTCAACAGGCAGAGGATTTAGCCTCTGTTCTTCCCCATTACCAGATTCATATCTAATATGCCTAGGCGAATCTGAATTCACAAGCCAAAATACCTAGGCTTCTTGGTAGAAGCACTGCCTTAGAAGAATGACAACACAGCCAACAATAGAAACTTGTGAAGCAGAACTATGGGAACTTCCCATTCCCCAGGAACTGTAAGTACCTGTGATCAGTCTGGCTAAAGGGTTGAGGGGAGACATGAACTATGTGGATTGTTAAATATAGTGAACCCCAAGTTTCTCTTCTAGGAATCAGTATGTCAGTATATTCAGCTCTCTTATTCTTTGATTCTCCATTTTAAAGTTTAACTTCCTGGTTCTCTTTGGCCCCTTGCTTCTAGTTTCAGTAAACAACTTTCCTGCCAGTCCTAATCAATAGTTCACATCTGTTCCGCTGGTCACCTGCTCCATCCTGACTCATCCTGGTCACTTGCTTTGACTTGAGTCACCTCTGGTCACCTGCTCCATCCTGACTCATCCTGTTCACCTGCTCTGACCTAAGTCACCTTTAGTTACCTGTTCCTAACCGTCCTTCCTGCTAAACTACTCACCCCACCACTCTGGCTCATACCCCTGCCCTCTCCATAGCCAATCGGTATTAGCTTAGGCTGTGCGGTCCAACCCTAGCCACTAGGGGAATGACACAGCAGTAGGGGCTACCACCATCAGGAATAAGAACTGCTGCCCCTCCCCTGTCCAGATGTGCTCTCGCTGTTGTTTCATCTGTGAGGAGTACCCTTTCTGCAGCCGTTGTTTCATCTGTGAGAAGCACCCTTTCTGCAGAAAGTAAAAATTGCCTGGCTGAGAAAATTAAATTTATGTTCGAAGCTTTTCTTGCAGCACTGGGGAACAAGCATTTTGCATTTCTAACATGGATCATAAGGAAGATCCATCGAAAAAAAGAGCCAAATCGCAATCATAGTTGTGAAAAATATTATAGACCCATAATGTATGTGATGAAGGATGGCTGTGGCTGGACAGTGAGCAGGAAGAGGAGTGAGGAATTCTCATGGAAGGTCCTGGAAAGAACTGGAGATTTAAAAATCAAAGACAAGTTAGGAGACATGAAGGAGAAAACTAGATGTACTAATATATCGGTATCAAGAACCCCTGTGGGAGATAAAGGATGAAAGAAAGAAACATTTGAAGAAAGAATCTAAGGAAACTTTTCAAAACTATAGAAGAAGAAAAGACCTCACATTGAAAAGATTCATAAATTGCCAAAGAGGGGAAAACAGCACACACACAAAAAACACCAGTAGACCCATTAAGTAAAAGGGAAGCACATCAAAAACAGAGGGAAAAGTCTGAAGGCTTTCAGATCACCTACAAGGCAACAAGATTAGAATTCCCTCTGAGTTCTTAAGAGGAACACTAGAGGTAAGAAGACAATTGAGTAATATTTCTAAAGTACTAAAGAAAAACTTTGTATATAGTGTTTTGTATTCAGCCAAATTGTCACTCCAATGTGAAATCATAAAACCTCTGGATTCTCAAGGCCTCAGAAGGTTTGCCACATGCAAACATCCCCACTGAAAACACTCCCAGAGAAAGGAAGCCAGGATGAAAAATAAACCCTGGGGATGCTGCAAGAGGTGAGGGAGTAAGTGTGCCCAGCATCTTGGGAATGTTTATTTTTATATTTTTTGATTCATATAAAATGCAGGTAGGAGCTAAATGAAGAATAAGAGAAAATACTTTCATGATCATTGAAAAATAACATTCTAGACCAGTGATCCCCAACCTTTATGGCACCAGGGACTGGTTTTGTGGAAATCAAGTTATCTGTGACTAAGACAGGGGGATGATTTCAGGATGATTCAAGTGCATTATTGTTATTGTGCACTTTACTTCTATTATTACTACATTGTAATATATAATAAAGTAATTATACAACTCATCATAATGTAGAATCTGTGGGAGACCTGAGCTTGTTTTCCTACAACTAGACAGTCCCATCTGGGGGTGATGGGAGACAGTGACAGATCATCAGGTGTTTGATTTTCATAAGGAGCATGCAAACTAGATCCCTGGTATGCGCAGTTCACAATAGGGTTTGTGTTACTATGAGAATCTAATGTCGCCACTGCTCTGACAGAAGGTGGAGATGAGGAGGTGATGCAAGTGATGGGGAGAAGCTGTAAATACAGATGAAGTTTCTTTCACTTGCCCACCACTCAGCTCCTGCTGTGTGGCCCTATTCCTAACAGGCTAGGAACTGGTACGGTCTGTAGCTCAGGGGTTGGGGACCCTTGTTCTAGACTATATCAACACGGGGTGAAAAGGAGACACTAGAGGCTCATGAAAGGATGGTTGGGTACTTGTTTCATGAGACAAGCTCAATGTAGCAATTGTACTAAATCAATGTAGATATGAGTCTTCAGGTTACATCAAGAGAAAGTATATCCTTTCATCTAGCAAAATGAAACTCTAGCCAAAGGAAAGTTAGATATGAATTAAAAAAATAAAGCACAGTAAATGGAAAAATAAAATAAAATGGTAGAGCTAAGTCCTAACATAAATGCAATTCCAATAAATTTAAGTGGATTAAATTCACAAAATAAGGACAGACACACTCTGAGTTTTAAAAATTCCAATGTTATATTACCTATAAGAGATAGATACACTTACAAAAACATCTTAAAAAGTTCAAAAAGTTAGAAAACTATATTTGACTATTAGGAAACAAAATGAACTGTTCTGGCACTCTTAATATTGAACAAAATAGAATTTAAGGTAAAATATCATGTCCATAAATTTGTCTATAAAATAGACAAAGATACATTGTCTATACTGATGAAAGATGAGCTTGAATGTGAAAATAGAGCCATCATAAGCATGTCTGCCTAAATTTTGGCCATGAAATATATGAAACAACACTATCAGAAATGCAAGGAGAAGTAAATATTAGCTATTGTAGTTGGAGGCTCACATACCTCTCAGAGGAACAAAGACCAGTCAGACCAAAACCAAATAAAGGGATCTAAGTTCTAAGCCAAATAACTAACAAATTCCAGGTACTATGCCATCATATAATATTTATAAATGTGTTATATATATTATGAGATATGTATAAGAATATAGAATGAATATGTAATAAATTATACTTTTAAATTAATATTTTCAAATATATAAATATGTAGTTTCAGACTGAAACTGTTCTAAACTATATAAATGTATTATGTATGTTTTATAAAATACAGTACTCATAATATGTATTATATGAACCGTGTATAAGTAGACCTACCTATGTTTATAACCCTCTACATAATTAAAAACAGATAGTATACATTCTTTCAAATAAAAGGAATGTATTTAAAAAAGGACACCTTGTATGAGGACATATAAGAAGCATGAAGAAATTCCAAAGAATCAGTATGACACAGAATATATTCTCCAAACCCAATGCAATGACATTAAGAATGCATAAGAGAAGTAAAGATAAAATAGCACTTTTCAAACTAATTATTAATACATTCATATGTGAATCATTAAGTATGTAATAAAATATATTTTGATAATATGACCACTACATATCAAAAAGTATGGGGCATAGTTAATATTGGAGAGTAATTAGTAGCTTTGAATATATTTGTTGGAAAACATGAAAGCTTTCAAATTAATGAGCTAAGGAAGCATCTTAAGAAGATGGAACGTGAGCATCAGGGCAAGCCCAAAGAATCATAAAGGAGGGAAAGAATCATGGTAAGCGCTGAAATAAATTGAATGATTGAAAATGAAGATCAAGGTAAGTCATAATTCATTCTTTGAAAGTTTAAAAAGATAGCCATATTCTTGTCAAGACAAATGAAGATAAAAGAAGATGATAACCACAAATTGAAGAAAAAGAAGAAAATAACCATGCACTCTTTCTATAGAGATTTTAAAATAAATCCTGAACAAAATCTTGTTGTTTTAAACCTTAGAAGTGCACAAATTCCTTAAAAAAATATGAACTGAGAAGATTAACACAAGGAGAAACAGATTTCAATAGATAAATAAATAGAAAAACTGAAATGGTAGATAAGCCCCACCCTCACAGAAAATTCAAGACTCACGTGGTTTTGCCAGTAACTCAATCTTTTAAGAAACATTTGATTTATATTTCATACAAGATGTTGCAGACAATAGAAAAGAAGCAAGAACAGCCCAGGTTATTTGAAGGGGCTAGTGTCATCAAAATCACAAAACCAGTTACAGGGGTTATAAGAAAACTAAATTATAGGTTTATTTCTCTGATGCCCGTGGAGTCAATTCCCAAATTACCATTAGCTAACTGAATTCAAGAGTGCATCAAAAAGAAGACTGTATTATGATTGAGTAGAATTTTATCACAAAACATAAAGGATTGTTCAACTTCAGAAAAAATCTATTAATATAAGTGAACCGAATTCATAAACTAGGGAAAAAAGTCAACTGCTGCACAAAAAGCATTTGGGGACCTTGAGCACATTTATATTATATGAAAAAGCTCTTAAAAATGGAAATAAGAACAGATAACTTGGTAAAGATTGTACACCAATATTACAGTAAACATTATTTAGTGGAGAAAGCATAAACTCAAATTCAGGATTTTTGCAGCTACCATTAATGTCTTCTATAATATTAGAGGTTCTGACCAATGCTTGAAGGAAAGGAAAACAAGTTACAAGAAAGAAGATTAGACAAGAAGAGAAAAAACTGTCATGACTTGCAGATGATGGGATCATCTATCCAGAAAAAGAATGAGAAACAACAAACTATTAAATCTCATAAGAGAATTTAGCAAGGCTGCCAGATACAAAATCAACCTACATACGCCACAAGTAGATCTCTATGAAAAATAAACATTTAGAAAAATAAGATAGTTTTCATTATAGTGACAAAATCATTAAGTTTCTAGAAAGAATTAATTTAAGCAAGACCTATTTGGAGAAAACTACAAAATGCTAAAAAATGACAGGTGATCTGAATAAAGAGAAATAATCCATGATTTTGGAAGAGGCAATAACATTGTAAAGATGTCAATTTCCCCCAAATTAAAAAGTCTTTAAATGTAATCCCAAACACAACTTCAGTTTACTTTTGTAAAGAACTTGAAAAGTTTACTCTAAAATTATATGAAAAAAAGATGATGCATGACTAGCTAAATCAACCATGAAAAAGTGAAAATAAAAAGAAGTCACTGGCTTTACCAAATATTAAGTAATACTGAAGCAGGAAGCTACTGAGGCCACAAGGGAAAAGCAGATTTGCTGGGAAAGGGTAGTAGTCCCAGAATCAGAGATAGGCAGGCCAGGAGTAGGCGCCACACAGAGGGGACCTGGGAGGACCGCTGGCACCAGCAGACAGGAGGTCTAGGTCTGTGCTCTGTCACTGCTTCTAAGGGTCTAGTCAGGTCCTGTGCAGTGTCTGGGCCTCATTCCTTCAGGTGTGATATCTTGGCCGGTCTTAAAGATGCCCTTTGCTCTGATTCCTAAGAGGCTCCTGATAGTCCTGTCCTACCTGACCTAGTTAGGGAGAGTTCCTACTGCCCCGGCTCTATCCCTCCCCTTCCCTGAACTCCAATCCCTTGTTCTTCCCCTGGCCAGCTTTTTCCTCCATTCAAGACTTTGAAGTTCCTTCTGACTAGGTCTCCTCTCAGTCCCAGAGACCTCTGTGGCTCCTGCCCCATACCCCTGTGTCATAGTCAGTTCAGGGCGGGCCTCTATACAAACATCTCCAGCCACAAGGGGCCTGGCTAAGGGACACAGCAGCAGCAGGTGACATCCTGGCCCAAGTCCATCCTCCTTTCTCCTTCCTCACTGCAGGAAATCAAGTGCCCCCATCTGCCTTGGCTCAGCTGGCCCCAAACTCCTGGTCTCTGTGTTGTGTGGACTCCTCCTGGCCAAGGGCCTGATGCTGTGAGTCCTGTTTGTGTTCCTGACCTGCAGGTGCCACAGGTGAGTGGGGCCTGGGTTTGGCCTGGGGGGCAATGGAGCTGGGGCCAGACTCTGTTCCTAGAAAGATGGCTAGGAAAAAGAAGCCAGATCACAGAGGCAGGAAAAATGACAGCTGAGTCCAATTTAAACATGTGTTTCCTTGCAATCTCTGCCTTCCTGCAGACACAAACCTTAGAAAAAGACAGAGGCTTTCTGGGAGTCCCATTCCAGGACTCTGCCTCTGTCTTTGTCCTGAGAGGAACAAGGCCAGGAGGACAAAGCTGAGAGTGCCTGGGTAGAAGGTTTAGGAGACAGGAAGGGGCAGGGAAGGAAGCAGGTGACAGGGAGAAGGGAGGGAAAGAGGAGGAACAGGTAACAGGCACAGGGTGAGACAAAGAGGCAGAAAAGAGGGTCAGGGAAAGTATCACTTCCATTCATGACGTTCCTTCTCTTGCCACATTTCAGGACAGCAGTGATGGAGGTTTCTGATTGTATCAGCCCAGCCTTGCCCCAGGACCCTTGGGTGCATGAGTCACAGCATGGATCCAGGATGAATCCCAGTTCTTCCCCTGCCCAGCTATTGGGAGCTGCCCTAAGCGTTGCCCCCCATTTGTCTGTGAGGAAAGGCCAGCACTAAGCCTATTGGAGAGAACTTTCAGCCCCTGATCTCCCTGGTGGTGACCCCTCACCCCTGCACTGACCCCTCTTAGATCTACTTCCCCTGCCCTGACTTTCGCCATTGGAAAGACCTGGGGTGGGGGTTTCTGCATCCGGGTCAACGCTCAGCTCAGCATCTTCAGCTGTGCCCGGGCTCCTCTCCAGCACTCCGTGGTTCTCTCAGCCCCACCTCAGCAGGTCTCCAGGATGCCTCACATTTTCCCTGTTTGTTAGTGGTCTACCCGAGAGTCCTATCAATTTCCTCTTGTGCTTGATTAAATTCAACCTCTGAACTGAAATGTGTCAGAGGCAACTAAGCAAGAAAGCAGATGTATCCCCTCACCCTCCTCCCCTCCCACCCTAAATGAGAAAGAAATGACTTAAAAATAAATAATAAAATTGAAACTAAGAAAGGCTGTAATCAGCAGACTGGAAACTGAGGAAGTCCTAGAAGTAAAAGAAAAAATCAGATGCCTTAAATGACAAGAGCAGTGGATTCAGCAGCCTAAAACAGGACCCAGAACATTCAATGGAATCTCATCATCAGGGGTCAAAATTCTGTTTGTTTAACGTGTGAGGAGATTCATAGCCTAAAAGAGAAAATCAAGTTGAACTAACAATATTTGATGGTGGGTGAAAGATAAATGTTTTGGGGAACAGAAGAGGAGCACACATCTGTGAAGCAAGAAAAGGCACAGTCATTTTCCAACCAGGTAACATCTAGCGAGACTGGGATTGACTACTCAAAATGGGGGTCCACCATGAACAACCAATTTGGGGTACCACTGCATAGCAGCTGAATGCCAGCCCTGAAAAAGGCCACCATAAAGAAAGTACCATTTTCTGGCCGGCTGCAGTGGTTCATGCCTGTAATCCCAGCACTTTGGGAGGCCACGGTGGGTGGATCACCTGAGGTCGGGATTTCGAGACCAGCCAGACCAACATGGAGAAACCCCATCTGTACTAAAAATACAAAATTAGCTGGGCGTGCTGGCACATGCCTGTAATCCCAGCTACTTGGGAGGCTGAGGCAGGAGAATCGCTTGAACCTGGGAGGCAGAGGTTGTGGTGAGCTGAGATCACGCCATTGCACTCCAGCATGGGCAAAAAGAGCAAAACTCCGTCTCCAAAAAAAAAAAAAAAAAAAAGAGAGAGAGAGAGAGTACCATTTTCTTTTGCTCTTTCTGGGGAGGGGCATTGATATGGTTTGGTTGTGTCCCCACCCAAGTCTCATCTTGAATTGTAGCTCTCATAATCCCCATGTGTTGGGAGGGACCTGGTGGGAAGTAATTGAATCATGGAGGCAAGTTTTCCCTTCCTTTTCTCCTGATAATGATTAAGTCTCATAAGATCTGATGGTTTTATAAAGGCCAGTTCCCCTGTACATGCTCTCTGCCACCATGTAAGATGTGCCTTTGCTCCTTCTTCACCTTCTGCCATGATTGTGAGGCCTACCTAGCTATGTGGAACTGTGAGTCCATCAAACCTCTTTTTCTTTATAAATTACCCAGCATCAGGTATTTCTTCATAGCAGTATGAAAAGGGACTAATATAGGCATCGAACAGAAGTCTCTTCATGTATATCTCAGCTCCTTCCACATGACCATCACCTATCTGTGAGAGGCACAACTTTTGCTTTCTTTATTTTTTTAATCCTCATTCCCTATTTCCACTTGCCTTCCCCTCCAAGGCAACCACTCTAATGCATGTGATATGTAACCTTAAATTTGAATATATTCTTGTAAAGCCTGCAGCTTTTTTTTCTGTGACTGTATTTTAACTTACATATAAGAAATTGTGATAGACATTTTTCATATATTCGTTTTGCTCCTTCCCGGGTACATATACAGAGCCCACTTCTTTTCAGTGCTTATTCCATTGTGTACATATCCCACAGTGTATCATTCTGAACCCAGGGTGCATGTGCTGTTTTGCCTCCACTTCTTCATATTGCAAACAATGCTGTGAGGAATATTGTCCATCATGTTCTCTGGTAGAATCAGGTGAGATTTCCTTTAGGACTTATACCCAGGTGGCATCAGCTGAGTTTTACGATCTCAGATGTCTAAGTAATGCTGTCAGCTTGTGTTGCCCGAAACACGAATCTAGACACTAGAGATTATTTTCTGTGAGTCTATGTGAAGTACACAGCACAACCTATGGAATAGTATTGCCAATAAAAAAAAATGGAAGGCAAGAGTAAATGTAGCTGAGTGATGCTACATGGGGGCTAGAAGTATGATTATCTTTTTAAAAAAATTTTTTTCGAGTCTGAGTTTTGCTCTTGTTACCCAGGCTGGAGAGCAGTGGTGCGATCGTGGCTCATTGCAACCTCCGCCTCCCAGGTTCAAGTGATTCTCCTGCTTCAGCCTCTGGAGTACCTGGGATTACAGGCACCCACGACCACGCCCAGCTAACCTTTTGTATTTTTAGTAGAGATGGGGTTTCATCATGTTGGTCAGGCTGGTCTCAAACTCCTGACCTCAGGTGATCCACCTGCCTCAGCCTCCCAAAGTGCAGGGATTACAGGCATGAGCCACCGTGCCCAGCCGATTATCTCTTTTTTGTGAGATACTTTTGTGCATGCTTGGGAATTTTCATAATTAAAATGATACCTAAAAATAAACAGTTGTGTGTCGAAGCCACTGCTGTTTGGTTTTCAGTCATATGTGGCTGAACCCAATCTTTTCTCGATTTACTGAACTTATGCAACTGCAGCAGATTGGGACGTGTTCACTTACAGTATGGAAATACTGAGCTTCACTTAAAGAACATGGGTAGTGGGATAAAAGTGGACTAAACAAAAATAGGTCTTCCTCAATCAGATGCTAAGAGCTAGCATTTAGTTATAACTTTTAAATATTTTATCTTAACATCCTTGGCCTCAAAATTGTCGTAATTCCCTTAACCACAATTTTCAAGTGGGTGGCAAATTTTATGTCATAAGTTAACATGTAAAAGACATATACTTCTTCAAAATTTTGAACATATTTCATTGTTTTCTTACCTTCCCAGTGTTGCTATGGAAATGTCTGATAACAGTCTGATGGTTATTCATCTTTACTGACCTATTTTATCTCTGGAACATTTTTATAATTTTCTCTTTGAATTTTTATTATAGTATGCTTAATATGGGCTATTTAAGTATCCATTCTATTTGGAACTCTCTGAATACATTCAATTTGATGTCTTAGATATTTGTCTAATTCTGAAAAATCCTCGGTACCATTTTTTCAAGTATTAATAGTTCTTCTGCTCCATTTACTCTTTTTTCTTCTTCTGGGAACAGAATGACAATAGAATATGTGGGAACTAAAAACGACAATAACCAAAATTAAAAGCTGACTACGTGGACTCCGTAGGAGAGTGGAGATGACAGAGGATGTAATTAGTTAACTGGAAGGCAGACTGAGAAAATTTACTCAGTCTGATCAGAGAGAAAACAGACTGAAAATAAATGACCAGAACGTCAGCTATCTGCGGGACATTAACATAAGAGCTAACCTTTGCATCATCAGAGTCCCAGAAGGAAAGGAGAAAAAATGTGAGACTGAAAATGTATTCAAAGAAACGTCTAAAGTAATCAAATCTGCCCAAAGACCTAAAGTTACAAATACAAGAATCTGATTTTATCCCAAATATAATAAGCCCAAAGAAATACACACCAAGACACAGCATAGATAGCCTTCTGAGAAGTAAAGACAAAGAAAATATCGTAAAAATGGCCAGAGAGAAATAATTATCTATAAAGGAATACCAATTCTAATTGTAGTGAATTTCTTATCTGAAACAATTGAAGCCAGAAAAATGTGGCACAACATTGTTCAAATGCTGTAAAAGACAAACAACACAATTGAATAAATATTTTTCCAAGGGTATACAAATGAGCAAATTGTGCATGCTCAAGATGAAGATGCTCAATATCATTAGTCATTAGGTAACTACAATTCAAAACTTAAGTACATTCACTGGATGGCTGTAAACAGAAAGCCAATACAAGTATTGGAGAGATTGTAGAGAAATGAGAACTCATACATTGCTGGAGAGGGTGTAAAATTTGCAGCCACTTTGGAAAACTATTGGTAGTTCCTGAAAATGTTAAACATAGAGTTGCCATATGACCCAGTAGTTCTACTATTGGTTATGTACTCAAGAGAAATGAAAACGTATGTCCACACAAAAACTTGTACATGAATAGTCATAGTAACACTGCTTATAATAGTTGAACAGTGGAAACAAATAAAATATTTGTCAACTGATAAATGGTAAACATATATATCCATTCAGTGGAATATTATTCAGCCTTTAAAAGGAATGATGTATTAATACAACGTATAGCACAAGTACAGCTACAACATGGACAAACCTGGAAAACATGCCAAATGAAAGAATCCAGTCACAAGGAACACATATTGTTCAATTATGTTTTTATGACATATCCAGAATTGATAAAGGCATTTTTGATTGAAGATATTTTTGTCTAGAAAGACAAAAATATTAGTGGTTGCCTGGGACTGTAGGAATGGGGACTGTGGTAAGCTGATAAATGGTCTCTTAAAAGATATCTGTGTCCTAATCCCTGGAACCTGTGATTGTTACCCTTATATGGCAAAAAACAAAAAAAAAATGATCTTTGCTGATATGAGTGAGTTAAACATCTTGAGATGGTGAGATTATCCTGGATTACGTAGATGGGAACTAAATGCAATCACATGTATCCTTATGTAAGAGAGTCAGAGTGGGATTTGAACACAAAGAGGAGAAAGTGATGGGAAGATGGAGCAGAGGGAGACTGAAGATGCTGGCCTTGAAGATTGGAGTAAAACAGCCCCAAACCAAAGAATGCTGGCAGCTACCTGAAGCTGGAAAGGCAAGGAACAAATTTTTCCCTAGTGTCTCTGGAGAGACTGCAGCCCTGTCGACATCTTCATCTCAATACAGTGTGAACTGACTTCAGACTTCTGCCTTCAGAATGGCGAGACAATAACTTAATACTGTTTTAAGCCACCAAGTCTGCAGTAAACGGATCCAGGGAGTGCCTGCTAACGGGCATGGGGTTTCTTTGGGTGGGGAAATCCTGCAAAATTGGTGTTAGTTGTACAACTCAGTGAATATATTGAAAACCACTGAATTGTATGCTTTAGATGGGTCAGTTTTATATTATGTGAATTATAGCTCACAGAATTGTTGAAAAAAGTCATTGTGACCTTGGGTTAAGCAAAGATTTATTAGATATGACATAAAAATTGATTCATAAAAATTATATATTGGACTTCACCAGAATAAATCAACATAAAGTGCTTCACTTTTCCATTCTGGAAAGAGAGAAATGACAGGAAAAAACCCCACCAGATCAGTGTTTGTCTGGGACTGAAGGGATGACTAACAAGGAGCAGAGGAAAGCTTTTCGGGATGATGGCACTCTTCTCTGTCTCCATTACGGCATTGGATACAAGTCTCTAGAACTCCCAGAACTCGTCACTGAAAAGGGTGAATAGTACTGTATGTAAATTAGGCCTTAATTTTTAAATGGGAAAAATAAATATAAAGACAAAATACACTGCTGTATTAAATCAAATGATAGATGTAAAAGTCTAATGTATACGTATTTTTAATGATTTTGACCAATGCTTCCAAATTTCTCTTAAGAAAGATTGAATCCAGTGCATACTTCCTCGATCAGCGAATGAATGTTTGATTCTTTCTACCCTCATCAGCACAGTGATCCCAAGGGTCACACTTTAGACGATGATTGGCTCAGTGCTGGGCGCACTGTATCAGTTTCATAGAATCATGGATTCCAAGCGCATAAAGTCCCCACAAGAGATAAATCCCCCACTCCTGAAGCAACTTACTGTTCTGATGGGGGAAGGGATGGAGGAACTTACTGTGTGTGCTGGGGAGGGGAGATGGCCCCTGAACTCAGGGAGCTCAGGAAGTTCTGAGGACTGGGTGAGAAACATTGAAAAAGGAAGGGTGAATAAGGAAAACAAAACACGTCTGTGAGCTGAGAGGTCTCAAGTGACAATCGTGTCTCATTCCTACGCCCCCAGTGCCTACCTAGCCCCATGCATAGCAATGAGGTTGTGGGAATGAACAAATGAATGAATGAATTAATGAGTGAGTGAATGAGTTGAGAGACTACAAAAGCTTAGGGTCAGCCGAGATAGACTTCTTTGCTTGGAGCTTGGGGCTTCAAGGTCAATTTAAGATTGTGGCCATGCAAGCTTGAGGACTTTTTGCTCTGAGTCCTGTTAAAATTAATGAAAATGGAGACCAGGCCTGAAGAGTCCCTGAGCAAAAATTAAAAAAACAGTTAGGCCTCATAAGTGACCTCAACTTTGCTTGATTTGCAAATATCAGTGAAACTTAACACGAGCTATTTCTTGTAAATGTGTATATTAAGGAAAAATAGAACTTAAGCTCAACCAATCAAAAGAAACTTATATAATTAACTAGGGTCTTTCCAACAGGATAGGCCAAATAAGGGAACTATATAACTATAACTAATTAAATATTTTCTTCAGTTTACTTGTCCTGTAGGAGTCTTCCCCTTGCATTCCCCCAGTGGAGCTCCTCAACCTCTTCTGTTTGGAGCTGCCTGATTCATGAATTGTTGTTTGCTGAAATAATCTGTTTAAAATTTTATTGTGCCTCAGTTTACCTTTTGACAGTCCCATCTAAGGAGTAGAAACATGGCACTAGTGAGTAGGGGGAGCATACATAATCACGGGAGTCCAGCTGGGTCCCCACACACTGAAGGAGCAGATGACACAGGTACCGGACATCAAAAATTGATGCTTCTGATTCTAGGCCTTGGGGTAAGTGAAGGGTGTGGTCTTGGGCCTAGTGCTGGGTCATTTCCACTGGAGCTGGTGGCTGTACAGGCGAGATAGCATTGAGCAGGAGGAAGTGGAGGGCACTTGCCTGCGTGCTGACGTAGGCTGGAGGCAGGGGAGGAAGGGGGTCTTGAGATGAGGTGGGTGAGGGGAAGTACTGCGGAGGCTGTAGGAAGCCTGCACGAGGGACTAGGAGTCTAGAGGGAGCTGATGGTGAGTAGAGTCGACAGGAGGAGAGGCAGGGAGAGGGACAGAGAGAGGAGACGTATGGATAGGGAAAAGGAGAGGCTGCTGGGGTGTGTGTGAGACTGTGTGCATGGGCGTGTGTGTGTGTGTGTGAAAGTGAATAAAAGACAAAGTGAGACTGTGAGTGTGAGTGCATGTGCATGCACACCTGTGTGTGAGAGTACAGGAACCCCTCCCTCAACCCAAAATTTATGCCCTGAGTCTTAACAATTTGCATTTTTCCCGCTTGACAAAAGTAAGATTTCAAGTGAGCCTGTAAGAGGTTATTTGCAACAGTGAACACAAGTGACTGTTCTGAGCAGCCAGGAGCCTGGGAGAGAGAGAGAGGAAGGAACAGAAAGAATCTGCAATGAATGAATGAATGAGAGTTTATAAGAACTTCCCTGTGAATGTATATATGTAAGAAACTAGGGTCTGAGATGCTCCATCTCAGCCTAAGAGCCCGCACCCCTGGGTCTCTGAGCCCAGAAGATTCCAGGAAGGTCTATACCTGACGTTCCAGAAGCCTCACCCCAGCCCCCTTGCTGGATCCTAGGGACCAGTTTCTGGGGGAGGTTGGGGAGGGCGGGGAGCCCTCTGACTGTGAGTCCTCCCGGCTTGGGGCCCCAGACTGGGTGGAGCAGCCACACCTGCCTGAAGTTCCGAGGAAAAGGGCGGAAACAGCTGCCAGCACCGCCCTCATAATAGGCTCAATGAATCCCTGCGGTTGGCTGGGGGCAGTGGGTCCCACACTGCCTCACTTCCCTAAATGGGCAGCTTCACTTTTAGAACCCCGGGTCCTTCCCTGGCAGGCCCAGGTGGCACATCCTGTGTCGGGTGGGCCCTCACCTTGGATCTCCAGGCCTGACACTGCCCAGCTGGATGGAACCATGGCCCCAGCCTTCCTGCTGCTGCTGCTGCTGTGGCCACAGGGTTGCGTCTCAGGTGAGGGGAGAAGGGGCTGACTTGTGGAGGAGGGAGTGGGTACAGAGGCAGGAGCTCAGGGCCTTTTTCTTACCCTCCTTACCAGCAGTTTTCTTGTTTAGTGTTTTGTGGGTTGGGGAAGGAGGAGATTAGGGCTGACTTAGCTCTTTACCCTAATATCAGGCCCCAGGCGAAGCTAACCCAGGCCTCCCAAGCCAAGATAAAGCTCTGGACCCTCTCTGCATTGGCTCCTTTATCTGCTAGGCTTCCTCAGGCTTTAAAGCAGAGCCCTCAATTTCCTCACACAAATAGCTTTCTCTGCTTGGCCTCTGTCAGGAAGCCCTGCTTAGTTATGACAGCAATCATTGCATCATGTGTGTTTTGAACTGAATTTGAACATTTTTCTTGAAATGCTGATGCCACATCCTGTCCCTGCCTCTGTCCTGAAGGGACCAGTGTGTGAATGCCTTTCCCACCTCACAGATACCAATGCTCCTTGAGGAACCTCACCCATTCCTGCCCCTCTCGCTGCCATGGCAACCAAGTTACCACTTCCTGTTCAGTTCTGGGCATGGTGGGGGTTGGCAAAACTCACCACTGCCTGTGAGAGGGGTGGGAGGTGTAGGCACACATGAAGACATTGCCCTGGAGACCCATCCCAAGGTCACCCAACTCTGCACCTCCCAGAGGGTAGAGAAACAGCTTCCCACTGCCAGGGCAGAAAGGGGTCTCTCTTGTGCTAAGAAATCCTGGGCTCATCCACCAAATAATGAAGTTGGATCATTCTGTTTAGTTTGCAAGGGACAGAGGGATGCTTAGAGAGGGTGCTGCTTCACACAGAGCCTCAGCTCTAGTGGCTGCTGGCTGGGACTTGGGACGGATATCCTGGATTCTGGTGGGACAGATGTCCTGGATTCTGGGCCCTTGACTGTCACAGCTCTGGGTTCCATTGGGGGAACTGGGAGGCCCCAGCATGTGGGAAAAGGAAGCATGAGTTGAGCATGCACTGTGTGCAAAGCACTGACCTGGGGCAGAATTCTCACAGCAACCTGTGAGGGGTGTGGTGCTATTCTCACTTGACTGATAAAGAAACAGAGATATTTCTGTATCAGTCAAGTGTCTGTTTTGATATTTCTGTATCAAACAGGTGACCTAATCACACCACTAAGTGGTAGAAACAGGGTTTCAACCCTTGTTTATTTTGACTCCAAAATGTGTGCTCTCTGTTCTCTACTATGGGGGAGAGTCTTTTTATATGTGGTTTTTTTGGAAGACTCTGGGGTGAAATTATCAGAAGAGTCAGCTGAGCTTAAGGCAGGCAGAGGGGTGGAGGGAGCCCAAGGCAGCTTTCTCCCTCTCTCTGTCCCCTGAGTCACCCTGCACACCCCAGTTCTGCTCTGTCTCTACCAGACTGTGGATTATGAAGGCTTGGACCACATCTTACTCCTCAGCATAGAGAGAAAGATATTGCAGGTGGAAAGTGAATAATTGTAGAATCCTGTGGTTCACACTCCATTGGGAGTTTGTTTACATGTATATTTAGACAGGCTTGATCTATGGGTTTTATGTAACTAGAATATTTTAAAACTAAACACCAGATGGAATGAACTAAGGAGAGTTATTATTTAAAGAGGACTAAGTGAACCTATTTGTGAAATAAATAACTGTTAATCATATTTTCAAATACTAGATTTTCTTATCTACCTAGTTAGTTGGGCACTGAAATTTCACAACTTAATGACCTGTGTTTGTGTCTCTGCATCTGTCTCACTGAGGGCATGACCTGGGTTTTTCCCACAAGAATTCCCTGGGATGCCGGGCACAGTGGCTCACGCCTGCAATCCCAGCACTTTGGGAGGCCGAGGCAGGTGGATCACGAAGTCAAGAGATTGAGACCATCCTGGCTAACATGGTGAAATCCCGTCTCTACTAAAAATACAAAAAATTAGCCGGACGTGGTGGCAGGCACCTGTAGTCCCAGCTACTCAGGAGGCTGAGGCAGGAGAATAGTTTGAACCCAGGAGGCGGAGGTTACAGTGAGCTGAGATCGTGCCACTGCACTCCAGCCTGGGCAACAGAGCGAGACTCCGTCTCAAAAACAAAACAAAACAAAACAAAACAAAACAAAAATGAATTCCCTGGGAATCCCTGAAGACAGAGCTTGTCACTTTCCCATCAGACTAGAAAATACCATGAGGAAAGGGGCTGTGTCTGATGGAGCTCCGAGTGTAAATGCTGCGTTTCCTCCATTAGACTGGGGACTCACTGAGGGATATACCTGCCTCCTCCATCAGACTGAAAGCTCCCTGAGAGCGGGGGTTGTGTCTCCACTGTAATACTGGAAGCTAGCTGTTTTCAGGGCCCATTCACCTCCCTTCAGATTGGGGCAAGCTCCCTGAAGGCGGGGCTGTATTTCCCCCTCAATCTGTGGGTTCTGTGACAGCAGGACAATATCCACTCTACCCTTCACCATGATCTTCAACTTTCATGATGTCTTCTTCCTCTCCTCTTGCCAGACCTTATTCAATAAGTATTGTCTCCACAGGCCCCTCTGCTGACAGTGTATACACAAAAGTGAGGCTCCTTGAAGGGGAGACTCTGTCTGTGCAGTGCTCCTATAAGGGCTACAAAAACCGCGTGGAGGGCAAGGTTTGGTGCAAAATCAGGAAGAAGAAGTGTGAGCCTGGCTTTGCCCGAGTCTGGGTGAAAGGGCCCCGCTACTTGCTGCAGGACGATGCCCAGGCCAAGGTGGTCAACATCACCATGGTGGCCCTCAAGCTCCAGGACTCAGGCCGATACTGGTGCATGCGCAACACCTCTGGGATCCTGTACCCCTTGATGGGCTTCCAGCTGGATGTGTCTCCAGGTGAGCAGGCTGCAGTGGCTCTGGGACGGGTGGAGGGAGTCCCTCCTGCCCCACACTCCACTAACATCAGAGATAATAAGGATAATAATCCATCAGTGGTCATGTTGCACTGTAGTGTTTTCAGAGTGCCTTTATGGCACTATTCGTGGCACTATTGTCACCATTTTACAGATGAAGATAATGAGACCTGAAAACCCAGTGTGACTCTGAGCTTGTCCGGGGTCCCAGAGCTAGCAGGTGGCTGAGATAAGGTTCAAACTTGGCACTGTCTGTGCTGTGTTTTATTCACTCATTGCTTCAACATAATTCATTGAGCCCCTATTATGGGGCAGGCACTATTCTAGGCTCTAAGGAGACAGTGAGCAAAAACACTCACAATCCTGCACTATGGGAGATGACAGGCACACTTATTATCCAGACAAATAATTGCAGAAAACAAGAGGTGTTCATAAGAAACTAGGAACTGTTTCAAATAATTGCAAATAACTAGAGGTGTTCATGAACTAGTAAGCGACTCGGTGGTGGGGGAGCTACTGAAGTACTGGGGGTCAGAGAACACCTCCCTTAGCAGACAACACCAAGCAGAGCCCTGAATGGTGAGCATTTTCCAGCCCTGTTGAAATCTGGGTGCTTTGAAGAGCACTTTGTCGCAAGAGCTGAATATGCAAAGGTCCTGAGGTCAGAAGGAGCTTGGCTTGTATAAGGCTTATTTAGTCACTCTATATGGAGTGTGAGGCAATGAATGAGGAGGTTGGAGAGTCAAGCAGCCCTGAAGACCATAAGTTGGAATTTAGGTATAAGAGGAAGCTACTAGAGAGCTCAGAGAGCTGTCATGACTTGTTTTTAAGAATGTAGTGGCCACTTGTTGAGGATGGATTGTGAATGGTATGAACACGGGTAGAGAGGCCATTGTGGGCATCTGGCTGGAAACAACAGTGGCCTGGAGTACAATGTAGGCACTAGTGGCAGAGAGATGTGAATGGGCTCAAATCTATGTTTTTCAGACTTTCTGTTCAGCTCATATGTTTTGAAGGTAGGACAGGATTTGCTCAGTTGAGGGGTGAGCCAAAAGGAGGAATCATGGATGATCCAAGGTTTTCTATTTGATCAGCAGGTGGATGATGGTACCATTGATAGCGTAGGGTAAATCTGAAAGAGGAGCTAATTTGGAGGAGAAAAATCAAGAGCTCTCTTTTGTCATGTTAAGTTTAAGATACCTCCTAGAACCCCAAGTGGGGAAATGCAGCCAGCAGTGATATACCTGCCTGGAGCTAGGGTGAGAGGTCAGAGCTGGGGTATGTATTTGAAAGTATCTCTATAAAGATAGTGTTTAAAGTCCAGGGAATTAGAGAAATCTACAGACACAGAAAGTAGATTAGTGGTTGCTTAGGGCTGGGGGAAGGAAAAGGGGATACAGAATCATAGATAAACAGTAAGGGGTTTCTTTTGGAGATGATGAAGGTGTTCTGAAACTCACTGTGATGATGGTTGCATAACTTTGTAAGCATAATAAAGAACCACTGAGCTTTATACTATAAATGGGATGTGAGTTATATCTCAATAAAGTTCTTAAAAATATCAAGATCTAAAAGCTCTCCCTTGAGTGTAGGCAAAAAAGAGTGGAGCACCAAGCCGTGGGGTCCTTCCACATTTATTAGATAGAAAAGGGAAAGGACTCAGCTAAAGACCCCGGAAAAGGCAGCCAGTTATTATGCAATTTACTATCCATCCTTCCCCGTTCACCTAACCCAATTGCATCTCCATCTTCCACAGGGTCTGAACTAGGGAAAATGCTGTCGCTAAAATGTGGAGCCAAATCTCATTGCTCCCCTCTCCAGTTCTGAGTGAGACCCAGGGAAGTCGAAACTGGTTCACTGAAGTCTTAATATTTAGGGATAGAAACATTAAACATTATATGCTTTTATTTTTTCTCATCATTTCCTCTAATCATGTTATGTCACATCTCACTTTCCACCTCTTAAGGACAATTTGTGAAGATTTCAACTTTGCAGACCTTTTCTGTTATTAGGAAATAAAAAAAATCCTTATTCCAACTACAAACTCTGGTCATCTAGCAGTATAGGATATTCCACTGCCCCCTGAAGACCAGGTTTTATGGTCCAAGGCATCTAAAGTGGAGAAGGAAAGTTACTGGCTGCCCAGCTCCCCATCCTGCATCTTGGGCTGTGAAGAAGGCGGGGTTCCTCTTGGTTACCTCTTCTTGGCCCTCTTAGTGTGTTGATGCAGGAATGAGGGAGGGGGAGATGGTTATGTGGCTTAACTGAGTGTTGTAGGAATGCTTTCCCTGTTGGATGTCATTGCTTGTCTGCCAGCCCTTTGAGATCCTCTCTGAGTGTCCATATACTCTCCCAAGGCACTGATGTGTGAATTCTCTGAAGAGTTCTTTGGGGGTGTCCCCACTGCTGAGTATGATGTTGTGGGAGCTCTGACTCCAGGTGAGCGTCTTCCTCTATTCCCATCCTCACCAATGCTGCTTGTTCTGGGTCCCCTTCTCCAGAAAAATGGCTCAAGCTCAGCCACCTTCCATGATGACAATTTGGCCCTTAGGAAATTGCCCTTTCCATGCACAGTAGTGGGATGTAGCAGCCTCTGTCTCCAATTTTCACATTCCATGCTGAGATAAAACCATCACTCACTGCTAGGTTGATGCCTCACAGCTCCTCCACCTCCCTCCTCATCCACTGTCCAAAACCCAGGCTTCTTCTAGAAAATGGGATGGAAAAGGGCTGGGTTGATGGGTGAGTGTAGCAGGACCAGTTTGATATCTCTTAGTGAGCCCCCAAGGAAAGTGTCTGACCCCAACTGACTGCAGCTTTCTTTGGAATTTGAGGACCTTGATGCCTCCTTGTCCTCATCTCTGGACCCTACTTGTCAATTATGGAATAGCTGGAAAAGTTCTTGTTTGACATTATTTTATGGAAATCTTTTTGGCCCATAGGAACGAAGAGGGCCTGGAAAGTGAAAAGAGAGAGATGGGGATGGAGAGGGAACAGGTGGCCTGACACGGGAGGGAAAAAGAAATTGTGGTAGTCTCTCCCTTCTTCAGTACACCTACTTCCTTCCTCCTGATATCACTTTCTGAACAAATACACATCTGATCACTCAGCAGCCAGAATCCTAGGCCCAAGGTCAAGGAGAAGAGAAGAGGACAGGCCCCCATCCAGGCTTCCAGGCAACTGTGTGGGTTGCCAGGATCTGCTCCCAGCACTGAGGCACCCAAGTCAATCTAACGTTCCTCCCTTTCTGTCTTTCAGCTCCCCAAACTGAGAGGAACATTCCTTTCACACATCTGGACAACATCCTCAAGAGTGGAACTGTCACAACTGGCCAAGCCCCTACCTCAGGCCCTGATGCCCCTTTTACCACTGGTGTGATGGTGTTCACCCCAGGACTCATCACCTTGCCTAGGCTCTTAGCCTCCACCAGACCTGCCTCCAAGACAGGCTACAGCTTCACTGCTACCAGCACCACCAGCCAGGGACCCAGGAGGACCATGGGGTCCCAGACAGTGACCGCGTCTCCCAGCAATGCCAGGGACTCCTCTGCTGGCCCAGAATCCATCTCCACTAAGTCTGGGGACCTCAGCACCAGATCGCCCACCACAGGGCTCTGCCTCACCAGCAGATCTCTCCTCAACAGACTACCCTCCATGCCCTCCATCAGGTACCTGTGGGGCCTGGGGTTGAGTGGCACCAGCACTTAGTGCCCAAACAGACCTGGAGGTGCAAGTCTTATATCTGACCTTCCCCTTTTGCTCCCCAGGAACCCAATGTGGCCTGCTTCTGAATGTGAGGTGGGGGACTGGAAGTGACATAAAGGATGGCAATGGAGAGGAGGGGCAGGAGAGAGGAGGGGCAGGGGAAAGGAGGGTCGGGGGTGGGGAGGAGGGGCAGGGGAAAGGAGGGTCAGTGGGGAGGAGGGGCAGGGGAAAGAAGGGTGGGGACAGGAGGGACAGGGGAAAGGAGGGTCGGGGGAGGAGGATCAGGGAGGAGGAAGGTCAGGTGAAAGGAGGATCAGGAAGGATGAGGGTCAGTGGGGAGCGGAGTTGGTGGGAGGAAGGTGGGGGAAGTGTCAGCAGAGAGGAGGGTCGGGATAAAGGTAGGGGGAGATGAGGGTTGCAGGGATGAGGGCAGGGGACTATGAGAGTCGGGGGCATTAGGGTCAGGGGGATGAGGATGGGGGTAAATGAAGGTTGTGGGGGAGGAGAGTCAGAGAAGAAGGTCAGTGGGAGGAGTATCAGGGGAGAGGGGGGCTGCAGAGATGAGGGTAGGGGGCAATGAGAGTTGGTAGAATTAGGGCCAGGGGGGATGAGAGTCAGAGATGAGCATGTCAGGGGATGGGTGTCCTGAAGTGTCTGTGGATGGAGAGGAGAGGGTGAGGATAGGGCAAGGATGCGCCTCATGGAGTAGGAAGTGGAAAATGGGGGATGCTTTAATTTGGATTCCTCTAGAGAAACTGACTCTGAGTCAGGGATTTGCGTCTTATATGAACACTGGAAAAAAGGTGGGGGAGTGGGACAGGGCAGGGAAGGCCTCTAATAAAGAGTACTTAACCAAGCAGCTGCTGTGCACAACAAGAGCCTAATCCCAACGGGGAGAGTCAGATCTAGCATAAAACACACATCTGAAGGGCAAAGGAGCCCGCATAGTTACACACCAACTCCAATTGGTTATCAGTAGAGGGCTGCCTGCTGTGTGTGGCATAGAGGGCTCTAGTGACAAGAGAAAGGCCTCAGCCTCCCACCCACAGAAAAGGAGGTGCTGATGATGTGTGCAGGTGGAAATGACACAGGCAAGAGGACACAGGCAGGGGCCCGACAGCATCTGCTACAGAGGATAGAGTGGGGGAACAGGCATCCTCAGACCCCTTGAGGAGAGCAAGCATCTTGATCTCTTTAGCCACAAATGGGAGTCTCCTAGAATCCTCATCCTCACTGATGAACAGATTTGGGGGCATAATGGAGGAGAGGTACCAAAGTAGAGAGATGTTCCCCTCTACCTGGGGACGTCCTCCTCTTAACTCCGGATGTCACACTTGCTTCTGTGGCCGGGTCTGTAAGGAAGAGGGTGGCCGTCTACCCCGGGAAGGGCACGCTCTCAGGGTTTCTGCTGCTGGTCCGATCCCAACGTGGGTTAGGATGGGGGACCTTGGTGCTCACCCGCTTCCACCCTGTCCCTTCTTCTCAGGCACCAGGATGTTTACTCCACTGTGCTTGGGGTGGTGCTGACCCTCCTGGTGCTGATGCTGATCATGGTCTATGGGTTTTGGAAGAAGAGACACATGGCAAGTGAGTAGAGCCCACCTCCCAGCCTCCTGAGGGCAGAGCTCTGGGTAACTGCACTAAGGGTTATGACCTCGAGTCCCCACGTGGTATGGCCCTTGGCCTGTGTCCAGTCAAAAGGACTATGACGCTTCCACCTGGGGAGGAGGGCGGCCAGGCGGAGACCACCCAGCACAACCCTAAGGGGATGACCTGGAAGGAACCAGAGGCAGAGCCAGAAAGGGGCTGGGGCTGGTGGAGGAGCATCGGGGCACCGTGGGCAGGGCAGGACACTTCCTCAGCTCTCCCTGTTTCTTGCAGGCTACAGCATGTGCAGCGATCCTTCTACACGTGACCCACCTGGAAGACCAGAGCCCTATGTGGAAGTCTACTTGATCTGAGGCCACTTAAGCATGGGGTGGGGAGCTTCTCCCAGAGTGGCCCCAGGGGGTTAGAGGAGGGGTGAAGATTGGGGCCAGTATCGATCTTATGAAGCTGGAGGACTTGTGCAGTGCTGGACTCACCCAGGACTTCCCAAACCCAGAGGCTGCCATCCTAAGCAGCCCCACAGCCCAGTGTTCTCCTTGGGGGCAGGAACCTGGGGAGGGGCCCAGAGCAAAGGGCATCAGGGAGAAAGTCCCGAGGAAATGTGACCAGTGGTTTCTGCTCGGAGCTGCAGACCCCAGGGCTCTTGGTGGAGGCAGGGGAACCCTGAGAGTGCTGTTTACAGAGAACCTCAGCTCCCGTCTGCCTCAGAAACCCTATTGGGCTGAGCTGCCCTCCCCACCAGGGCCACTGTGTCCTCTGCTTCCCTCCGTTCTGCTTCAGCTTCCCCTAAGGTTAGGGAAGAAAGAATCGGGCTCACGAATGCCAGAGGCAGTGATGTCCCATCCTGGAGGAGAGGAAACAGTGACTAAAAGCTGGGGACCCACAGAGGGGTTGGCAGCTTCTCTTGTCGGGACAGGTGTCCTTTGCTGGGCCTCTGGATGGCCCTGCCCTGACTGGGGCTGCTCCTCCCTCCTGTCCTGGGACCGCGCAGAGCCCACGCTCTCACTGCTGCCTCCTGCTGGCCGCTGCCTCCTTAGAAAGCTGTGACCAGGCAGCTAAGAGCCTCTGGGCTGCAGGGTCAGCCTCTCCCAAGACTGAAGTGCAGAGGCTGGACTTGGGGCTCTCTCCCCCAGCTTCTACACCTGGGCTCCAAGTCTGAGTTCCCACAGGGGACCCAGCAGCCTCCAGGAAGTCCATACCCTGGGGTGGCTGAGACCTTGGCTCTGTATGGAGGCTGCTCACCCCACAGACACTGGTGGGGAGACCATGGCTCAGAGGAAGGGTGGAGCAACCCTCCTCCTACCCCTCAGGATAGAGAGAGAAGACACACTTGGGACACAGTGAAGACAGTAACTTGGAACTGACCACGGCCTGGAGGACTGGCCCAGGCAGGGGGACAGGGAAAATGGAGCCCAAGTAGCCTCTGGCCAGGGACCCAATGTCCCGAGGAATCTGCCTCCCACCCACTGACTCAGGGCTCAGACTCAGCCTCTATTGTCCAGAGCACTGGCTTGGCGTCCAGCAATGAAGGCTGGAGAATGCAGCCTGGATTCCCCTACACACACACACACACACACACACACACACACACACACACACACACACACACAGGTGTCTACTGACCTGGAGTGACTGGAATAGCACCTGGGGATAAATGTGACAACTGTGCATTGAACCCTGGGTCAGGGACGTTCCAATGGCCAAGAGAGTGACACAGCCAGGACCCTGGTGGACAGCCAGAGGGGCCACTTCAGGATGGATGTGGGGAGAGTGGAAGAGGCAGGGAGTAATCCTGGGGGACAGCAGGGAGGAGGCACTTCTTCCCTATGTCCAGGAGAGGGCAATAGAGGGAAGACTGAGGCTGAAGAATTGACGGCTCTGGACCCAGGACAGACAGACAGACAGACAGACAGACAGACAGACAGACACGCACACACACCCATCTCTGTCTAGCAAGCAGCCTCCTAAGATAGCTGTTCTCCCTATCATGACGGTGTAGCCACCATCCTGTTGTATACTAGGAGAGAACTTAACCCACCTGGGGGAAAATAGCTCCCCAAGAGCTGGCACCAGTACCACTGATGGCCCTGCTTCCTCTGAGTGAGATGCCCAGGAGGAGGAGCCCTAGGGAAGAAGTCAGGGACAGGGACCAGGATACCACTCTGTCACTGTGTGACCCTCAGCAAGTCACTAACCCTTGGCCTCATTTTTCCTGTCTTGTGAAAGAGGACAATAATTCCTACTTCTCAAGATTGTTTTCAAGATAAAATAACATTAGCATTGTACAATGATGCAAATGCCTCATTACCATTATTCCTTAAGTTGTTTTCCAGCTCTAATGTTGTTTCCAACATTACATTTAAGACCTTAGGATTCTGTTTCTTGCTTTTGTCATATCTCTTCCCAAGTGTCATCACTATATGGATGTTGAGGGCCCCCGATGACAGTCCCTTTGGTAAGGTCCTCTTTTGAGGAGGGGAGGGTACAGGGTGGACTCATCTCAGTGTGAACTTGGCAAGTCACTGTCCCTCTCTGATCTTGTTTCCTCATCTGGAGAAGGAGTGAGAGAGGAGAAAGGAAGAAACCAGTCAGGCAGGCAGTTAGGGTGGGTTCTCGGTAGAATTCTTTTAAACAAAAGAACAGCCTGAAAAATCAAGCTGCAGGCACAGATATGGGAACTTGCACAGGGGGGCTTGCCTAAGACATGCCCACAGCCTCATAGATAAGACAGACTACACAGGTGACTTGCCCAAACATGCCTGCAATGGAAAATTTCATCCCCTGACATGTGCAGTAAGGGGAACAAAGCAATATGGAGTAAGTAACTCAAGCCAAGGGCCCACATGTACATTAGAAGGACAGCAGGGAGCTACCAGAAATTCATGCCTTATGCAGATGAGCTGCCCAGTCCTCATCGGTTTCTTATAAAAGCCTTTACATTCAACTGTAAAAATGGCAACCCTCTTTCAGGCCTCCTCTCCACAGCAGAGAGCTTTCTTCTCTCACTCATTAAACTTTCACTCCAACCTCATCCTTGGTGTCCACGCTCCTTAATTTTCATTGTTGTGAGACAAAGAACTCCAGTGATACCTCAAACAATGAGAGACTGCTACATTGTGGTGCACTGGTGAGACTGTAACAGGAGGGTGGAGAGGAGCTCTGAAGCCTCTTCTGACTTCCTTGGGTATGTGTGTCAGAGGTGTTTAAACCAGATGGACTCCATCTTGTATAGAGGCTGAGTAAAATAAGGCTGAGACCTACCGGGTTGCCTTCCCAGATGTTAGGCATTCTAAGTCACAGGGTGAGATAGGTTGACACAAGATACAGGTCATAAAGACCTTGCTGATAAAACAGGTTTGCAGTAAAGAAATCAGCTAAAACCCACCAAAACCAAGATGGCAATGAGAGTGACCTCTGGCTGTCCTCACTGCACATTATATGCAAATTATAATGCATTAGCATGATAAGAGACACTCCCACCAGCACCATGTCAGCTTACAAATGCCATGGCAACATCAGGAAGTTACCTTATATGGTCTGAAAAGAGGAGGAACCCTCAGCTCCAGGAATTGCCCACCCCTTTCCTGGAAAACTCATGAATAATCCACCCCTTGTTTAGCATATAATCAAGAAGTAACAATAAATATAAGCAGCTAAGCAGCCCATGTTGCTGCTCTGCCTATAGAGTAGCCATTCTTTATTCCTTTACTTTTTAAATAAACTTGCTTTCATTTTACCATATGCATTTACCCTGAATTCTTTCTTGCATGAGATCCAAGAACCCTCTCTTGGGGTCTGGATCGGGATCCCTTTCCAGTAACATGTGCAGAACAGTTGCATGGACACAGCTCAGCATTAATGAGGTGGGGCACACCGGAAAAGAACAAGAACCAGCCCTGGCCTCAATCTGCTCACAGCCTCTGAGGGAAGGGAGACATGGCACTGCTGGGTACACCCCAGACCTTAGCACAGGGTAAGACACCACAGTGCAAGAGATAGGAGGTTCTCAAGTCCTTCCAAGATGGGGAACTGGGAATCCTGCAGGCTCTGGCTAGCCAGGCAGGCTTCAGGGAGGAGGTGGGGCTCTATCTGAGGCGCAAACCACAGGGTGGAGTCAGGAGGTGAGATCTAGGTGCAGAGACTGCACAGGCCATGGCAGCTGGGAGCCATGGGGAGGCTTGACGAGAAGGGCTGTGGAGGGTGGAAGGGGACATGGCCACTCACCAGCTGGTTGCTGAACCCAAGCAGAGGCCTTTAGCTGTGTCCTGAAGTAGAGCACGGTAGCTGTGAGGGTGACCAACTGTCCCTGTATGCCCCTGAGGGGTTCCTGGAACCAAGTGAACCAGCACAATTTGCTCACCCTAGGAGCCTGCTCCCATATGAACTCCCATGGTAAGGACACGGGGGCTGAGGAGCTATAGACCAAGCCCCATATCCCCAGCCCCAACTGGACACTTTCCTAAACACACCAGCCTTTCACTTCCTCCCTCCTCTCTCAACCTTCTTCTCGAAGCTCCAGGGACCCAGATCCACAGCAGATCCACGGCAGGAAGGTGCAGGGCAGGTGGGGCATCGGACAGGCTGCTCACTTTAGCAGGTGAGACAATAAAGCTTCCTGAGCAACAGGCTGTGGACATAGAACACACACCTGGGAAGGGCTGGCCATCATGGCCAATGGAAGAACAAATAAAGTAAATCCAGTACCTCCTGGATATACACACACCTGCATGGAGCCCAGCAAGCAGGCATTAGGTTTACAGTTCTCTTCAATGGCTGCAACATGCTTTCACTCTGGATCAAATTGAGAGAGTGGATGCCGTGCTGCCAGCTCCTCATGTGGGACTGATGGACATTAGGAGTGGTGAGGGCAGGTCTCCTCTGCCAGCTTCTCTGGGGTCTTCCTCAGCTGCAGAAAGCCACCTTGCCAAGGCCAGACTCCCCTCCCAGGACACCCCACCTCCCCTGACTGACAAGTCCTGAAGGGCCATCCTGTCTTAGGAACTCCTCCCAGGATAGCCTGAGTCTCCTTATGGCCTCTATTGCAGCCTGACTTCTCCTTCTGCCTGTGAAAGGAAAATAAATCTCAGAACCCCAAAATCACTAAGCCAGGGGAAAAATCAAGCTGGGAACTACAGCAGGCAAACTGGCCTCGCATTTTATTCCTAAATAAGATAGCTACAAAGATTAAAAAACTATGTACCTCCCTCACAATTTGCCCACAAGACAATTCTTTGTGGGCCTTGAGATCTTTACCCTAAAACAGTTCTGTTGATTTTCACCCTGGCAATGTAAACTGCTAGCTGGTCTTCACAGGTGCAGGAAAGAAAGTTATCCCTCTGCTTGCCTAGGACAAATGCGTATCTGATTGCTTCTCTGCCCTATTGTTTATGTAAAAATGCAGATTCACTGAGCCAGACTAAATTGTGTGTTCAGTGAAAGACTGATAGAGGACTTAAAAGAATGCAACCTTTTGTCTCTTATCTATCTACGACTTGGAAGCCGCCTTTCCCACTGCCCCGTCCACACAAACCCTGGACCAAATGCACATTGGTCCAGACCGAGTCGATATACATCTTACATATAATTATTGATGCCTCACGTCTCCCTAACATGTATAAAAACAAGCTGTGCCCCAACCACCTTGGGCACATGTCTTCAGGGCTCCTGAGACTATTATAGGCATGTCCTTAACCTTGGCAAAGTAGACTTTCTGAATTGATTGAGGCCTCTCTCTGATATTTTGGATTCACATGCCCCATCCTGCTTCCTGCTCTTCTCTTCCCCAGATGTTGGTCCCAGAGCGCTTTAAACCTCCAGTGCTAATCTGCAGCTGACTCTGTGCCCAGGAACCCAACCTGCAGCACCACGGTTTATAGTTTTTCTTTTCTTTGTTGTTTATTAACTGTCAATCGCCTGTGACAATTGATTTTCTATAGTTCATCTAAGGACAATTATTTTTAAATGTGTTTGATTAGTGTCATCTTTCATCAAAGGCTCTGGAGTGATTATGGCAGCTCAGAGCTGGGGAAGGAGATGATCTGGGGACTGAGATACCCTTTCCCCTCCTCCTCCCTTCCCCATCTTCCCCTCCCCAGGCTTTACTCTCTCCCACCTTTGCCATAGACACCCCCTGCACCTCCATTCCTGGAAGTGAATCTCCATCTCTTTTCTCCTCTTCCCCTCCTGTTGACATGGAACTCCCCGGTTCCAGGCAGGCCTGGTCATGAAGTCTCTGACCCCTGGGAGCCAATGGGTCTTCAGGTTCTAGTCAGACCTCCAAAAGGCTCCCTAACACTGTCACTCACCTTCAGCCTGTGTGTTAGCTGGGTGAGGAAGAGAAACTTCAGGCTGGGGAGGAAGTGGTAGAATAGAGGGGAGAGAGGAGAAAGAGGTTTTTATTTCGCCATAGTTTCCTCCTGGACTTTCTCAGCTTTTCCCACCCCAGCGCCAGTGGGAGGGAGGTGGCCTGACAAGTGGGAAGAGGCTGGGGCCAGAGGAAACCAGCAGGAGCTACAGAGTATAGGCTGAGGCCTTTCCAGGCCCGGATGTAGAGCCTGCAGCTGGAGGGGCTCGTGTAGGCCAAGGCGTCCCCCTTCCTTCCAGGCCTCCTGCTTCCTCAAGGGAGACTTTGACTTCCTCAGCAATTCATCCCCAGGGCCGGATCCTGCCAGCGCTGGTTCCCGCTCCCCAGGGTTTCCCCGCTGCCTCACTTTCCTCCCACCATCCCGGCTCAAGAAGAGGACCCATGACCTTGGAGGCCACACACCTGCTGTTGAGAGTTCTGCTGGTGCTCCTGGCCTCAGGTGAGGGGAAGGGGAGCAGGGCCAAGGGAGGGGGACAGGAACCTTTTTCTTACAGGGTTGTTGTGAAGATTCAAGGAAAATACGGACTTGAAGGGCCCAGTTCAATTCATAGCACATGACCAGGGCTGTTTCTTTCACCTCTGTCCTCCTTCCAGCCCTTGTCCGTGAGCAGGAGAGCTATTCCAGAGTACTGTGGGTCTAGGGAAAGGGCACACTGTGTAGTTACCACAACCTGTGGCCTGCTTTGTTTTCTACCTCTGCCTGATGGTTTCCAGGCCCCAGCCACGGGCACTGACAGTGTCTTCCTGCCTCTGTCCTCCCCTCCCTTCTCTCCATCCACCATCACTCCAGATGATGAATGCTGGGCTCTTGCAAACCATACTTTCTTGCATCAAGAGATTAAACCAGAAACCAAGGGGTGCTGATCACCTGAGCTGAGAGATGTTCCTGAACTGCTTGTCCTCCCCCTTTGACATCTGACAACCCAGACACCTTCCCTAAAAGCCTGCTATGGTATAAAACAGTCTACCTCTGTGTTCTTCCTTTGACTTAAAATGGGACCTATTAAAATGTATTTTTTATCTGGGAGAGCTATTTGTCAATGACATCAGTATACTCTGAGAGCTCACTGCATTTCCTAGAGAAGGGTTGAGCTTAAGGACCTGAGACAGAAATGTGAAGCAAAGGGTGCCAGGAGAGCTGGGTGGAGACCCTGCAATAGGGGCCCAGATAGAAAGCCAAGGGATAACAATTGCAAAAGGGAAAGAGCAAGGACTTGAGATAGCAGTTTTGCACAGAAAGAAACCGACCCTGAGGTGGAATGGCTTACCCTAGACAACATGGTTTGTGGGGAAGAGCCCCTGATCACATGGCTGCCTACTGGTCAGCTGAGCCGAAGGAGACCTCAGAGGACAGGCTAGAAGCTGGGGAGGGCCTGTGGTGACAACAGGCATGGCAGGAGGGATGAATTTCAGGGCAGGAGGTTGGTCTGGGCTCTGACTTTCCTCATCAGGCGGGTCCTTATTCCAAAGCCCCCCAGTCAAGTCCATCATCCTGGGTGTGGCAGTGACCGTTGTGCTGCTGCTGCTGCTGCTTGCCCTCCTCATCAACCGGTACCTCCAGAAAGCCCGAGGAAGAGCTAGGAAAGTGAGTCCTGGTCACTGGCTCTGAGCAGACAGCCAAGTGCTTAGCGATTTCTAGGGCAGCCTGAGAGCCGTGAGGACAAGGATTGTTTTTTTATTTTTTTTATTTTTTATTATTGTACTTTAAGTTCTAGGACACATGTGCACAACGTGCAGGTTTGTTACATATGTATACATGTGCCATGTTGCTGTGCTGCACCCATTAACTCGTCATTTACATTAGGTATATGTCCTAATGCTATCCCTCCCCCTTCTCCCTACCCCACGGCAGGCCCCCGTGTGTGATGTTCCCCACCCTGTGTCCAAGTGTTCTCATTGTTCAATTCCCACCTATAAGTGAGAACATGCGGTATTTGGTTTTCTGTCCTTGTGATAGTTTGCTCAGAATGATGGTTTCCAGCTTCATCCATGTCCCTACAAGGACATGAACTCATCGAGGACAAGGATTCTTATGCTCATTTTACCAACTAGGAAACTGAGGCCTGAGAAGTAAAGTGGCCAAGATCCCCTGGGAGCCCCAAATGGCTTCCCTTCCTTCTGCCAGAGCAACAGCCTGGGCAGCCCTGAGGGCGGTGGACTCATCATCTTCTAAGGCTCCAGGTCAGCTCACCCAAAGCCAATTCAACTCAGTGCCAATTTGTCTACAACTAGGTGTGCTAGTATCCATTTTGGATCATGTATTTTTTGCCAACTTTTAGGTTAAGACTTTTAAAACAAATCTATGTAAAGATGTTCCTGGTTCATGGTATTGTTTTTTAATTGTTTTTATCATTTAAAAATGTCGTCTTCCTAAAAGCACTTCCAGGACTTTTTAATCTTCAAAGTTTTAAGTTTTTAGCATTAATCACATATGAAATCTGTAGCATCTTGTCTAAGATTTATCAGATTAGTCCCCTTTAATGAATGTTACCTCCTTTCTTGCTGTTTTATGTTGGTTGGTTGGTTTGACACATAGGTACTGTGTGCTCAATAGCCCTATACTGAAGATGTTTCTGTTGACAAAAAGACTGAAACGTGGGAGTGGGCCAGAGGTATATTGGACTTCATTGGTTTTAATTATTCAAGCTATGAAAATCCAAAGAAAGCAGTGGGTTGTAAAATTTTATATACCTATTTTTAATCAGTGTAAAATCAATTTAATAGGTCACAACAGGATTTTTATAAAAACATAATAGAAGAGCATAATGTCATAATGCTTTACCCTTTTTTTGTTAAACTTTTATTTTAGGAGTGTGTGTGAATATGTGTCTGGGTGTGAGAGTGTATGAGTGTGTTTGTGTAAGTGGTAGATAAATTGTGAATCACACTGGAGCTCCTGGTTCAAAAAATTGGAAAGACAGTACTACATATAAATTCATCAGCAAATAGATTATACTTAGGTCTAATTTTAAATTTGGAATTTTCAGCAACCTGGAATTGATAATTAACTTTACGGATTTTATGCACATTAATCATAGACAGCCAGTTTGTTTTGCTCCTTCGTATACCTGGACACCACTCTTGCTGGGCACTGGGGACCTCCCCAGGCAGAATGTGGCCACTGATCCAGCCCTGGCCTCTTTCCCATCAGTGTCCCTTCTGCCCAGCCAGGACCCCAATATCTCCCTCATGTTTCCATGGGAGTTGGGTTGGGAGAGATTCCTTGCTTAACCTTGACTGTCTTCTTTGCAGGTGAGGGTGAATCTTACCATGTTTATGATGACGTCCAAAAGGAGAAGACCACTGTGAGTAAGAATGACCCTTCCCTAGGACAGCAGTACCACAGCTTTCCTGTGCAACTTTATTCTTGTCTTTTTTAATTTCCTGGTTTATACTTACTCTTAGTTCCTATTTACTCTAAATCTTGCCTCGCACTGGTGACTACTCATTCCCCTGCTGCCTCATGCATGGCTTAGCTACGTGTTTCCTTTCTCTCTGTTTCCCAATTCAAATCTCCTAGAGAAAAAGAGAAGTTGGCTAACCCAGCTTTGCCCTTCACCCCTGTGGAAGGCAGCTTTTCATGTCTCATAGGTCATGAACCAGCTTGTGGATTGGCTACCATTTGTCCAGTCAGCTGTGGGGAAGGGTGTCACATGGCAGACAACATGGCTCCCCTAGGATGCTCTCCTAGCAGGTGCGAGAGACTAGGCAGTTTCCCTTGGGTAAGTCTGTCTTGTCTAAAGATCTGAGACTCTTGGAATCACAGAACTGCAGAATTCAAATGATCTAAAGTCATCTTGATCAACCCTCTGTGTAACATTGGAATCAACTCTACAAATAACATCCCTACCAAGTGCTCTTTTAGCTCGGTGCTACTCAAACTTGAGTGTGCATAAAACCACTTGAAGAGCTTGTTAAAACAGTTTCCTGGGCCTCACCTAAGACACTTTGCCTTAACACATCTGGCATGGAGCCTGATGATGCATTTTTAACAAGCTCTGAGGTGATCTGGTGCTACTGGCCTGGGAACTGAAGGCAGAATTTACTGGACAGTGAGCACTTATCAAGTACTCACATTGATATAGAGCTGCTTTACCAGTGATGAATGCCCTCCATGTGGCAAAGACAGCTACCAACCAGCAGGGGTCACCTCCTCCTTAAAGGGATATGAGGAAGGAGGAGCAAAGAAAAGTCAAGTACTTATCAACTAGAGGGCAGAAGGTTTGAGTCTGAGGGCTGTGATAAGATCATGGAGGAGATTTCTGGACACTTGCACCCCTGTTCCCCAGGATCTGCTAGGACAGAGTCCAGGTAGATAGGGTCTGGGGACCCAGTGCCTTTGAGTAACCCAATTCTCGCCTCCCTCTGTGGCCATCACTTCCTTTCTGACAAAGGGCTATGAAATCCTGACAGATTGTGCATGCATTTTATTGGTGCCTATGTCCTTGAGAGACCCCTCCCTTAACTGTCCTCTCAGGGCCTCTAAGCCAGGCTGAGGAGTTCTGCCCTCCCCCTAACCCCCAAGCCAGATCCCTCTTCTCTTCCCTGTCCTCCTGATTGAAAATCCCCTCCCACTCATGAGATTCTTATGACCCTGCCAGAAGGAATGCCAGGATGTGGGTAGTGCCTACTGCTCAGGAGTCTCCCTGGCCCTAGCTCTCGCCCTGTCTTTGCCAGGCAGGGTGTGGTGAGGACCTTCCTTCCCTATGGCCATCCACACAGCTCCATCAGAACTGATTTGGGCACCTCTGCCTTGCACAGAATCATTATCCAGTCTGCTAGCTGCATCTCAGTCAAACAGAGTGGGCTGGGGGCTGCCTCCTGCTTGGCCCACATATTTTCCAAAGGGCCCTTCTGGAGACAGGGGTCCCTCTTTTATTGTGTGTCCCCAAGAAGTGACTTTGAACTCTGGGAACTTCAGGCCAAGTGACCAGAAGTGGTATCCTGCTACATCATGGGGAAGATTGCTTGGAGTTGCAGATTCCCAATGGTGACCTTAAAGGTCCCTGATTCTAGCTTCCAGTGGGACGCCAAAACCCTCTCTACAAACTTCAGTAAGGAGTCATGAAGTCTCTGCCTCCATCTGTCAAAGGGCAGGAAGCTCACCAACTCCTCCTTAGGCAGCTGGCTTGTGAAAGCTTTTGTTAAATAGGACTTGGCTTGTCCTCAGTCAGAGTGAGACATCAGCCTTGTCCACAGGACGAGACTGAAGTCAGGCTACATCATGGCCAGAAAGAGAGGAGGATGGAGAGAAGAAGGGTGGGAGGTTTGAGGCCTGGAGGGCCAGGTTGTGAGGATGAGGTCTTCCTCTGGGAGAAAGGTAGGTAAGCTCCTATTACTTATGACTGTGACATCTGTGCTGCCATCATCCACCTTCTAGGGTCCCAGTGTCAAGGATGTGGTTCTGTCCTCAGCCTTTGGCTCCATGGGGACACAAACCTGTAGGGCCAGACACTCAGGCTAAGGGAGATGGGGAACAAGGAGGGAATGGGGTGTTCTGGGTGTCACCCTGGCTCCTGAGTTTCTAATCCTGCCCTGCCTGGCTTAGTCTCCTCCTGCAAGCTGGATCTGACTGCTGAAGGCTAGGCAATTGCTGCACCATGCTTTTCCACCTGAGCTAGCCCTGTTTTGAGAAGGTCACTGGTGTTGAACTGTGGCCTCATTTGACCTCTGGTCCTTCACAGTTATAGGCTCTTGACAGTGCCTCCGTGTTTGTTGTATATTTTAGACTACATACCACTGGGAGAGCCCATCTCCAACAAATGATCCCTGACTTGGATTTCCTGTTTGCATTGGTCTGGCTGCAGCACCAGGAGCCACCCTCATGAACTGTCAAAACCCGGGGGATTTACCTAGACCTAGAGCTCCAACGTTACTTCTTATTTTTTGAAACAGAGTCATTCTGTCACCCAGGCTGGAGTGCAGTGGCATGATCTTGGCTCCCTGTAACCTCCGCCTCCCAGGTTCAAGCCATTCTCCTGCCTCAGCCTCCTGAGTAGCTGGTACTACAAGTGCGTGCCAATCCTGGCTAATTTTTGTATTTTTAGTAGAGATGGGGTTTCACCATTTTGGCCAGGCTGGTCTCGAACTCCTGGCTTCATGTGATCCTCCCGCCTCAGCCTCTCAAAGTGCTGGGATTACAGGGGTGAGCCACCACCCCGGCCAACTCTAACAGTTTTGACTGATCTGTATAAATTACACAAGCATTTAGGGGTGGCTACTGACTGTCAGGTACTGTGCTCAGGGTTGAGGATACAGAGATTAATTCTAGCAAGCCGACATTTATGGAGTGCTTATTATGTGCCAGATTCCTTTTCATGGATTAATGGCTCGAACATCCCTGTAAGGTATTTTACATATTTAGATATTGTGGCATAGAGAGGTTAAGTAATTTCCTGAATTCACACAGCTAGTAAATGATGAATTCTAGACTCCGAAGTTTTAACCACTATGCTTCTGGGTCCCTGTTCCCTTAAAGATTGTGTGTGTGTGTGTGTGTGTGTGTGTGTGTGTGTGTGTGTGTGTGTGTGTTTGTGTTTGGGGAGATGCATGGAAAAACAATGACGATATAAAGCAGTCACGGCTACAGCTAGAGGAATGCTGAAGGTGCCAGAGGAGGATGGAGAGGATGGGGGAAGCATGACCTTTCCTGACACAAGCCTCCAGGAGGCAAGAGGGGAGAGCAGGGGTGCAGCTGACTCAGCTGGGGAGTTCAAGGGGCAAGATTCCTAATTAACCAGCGGCCCCAGACAGGAGGATGTGGGTTCCTCCTCCCCACCCTGCCCCAGGGAAAGGGCTACCCCTGCTACCACCAAAGGCCTGAAGGCACCTTTCCAAAGCTATGACCTCGGGAATGTACACCTTTTCCTTATCTCAGTACCGGGGCATCCATGGCAACCTCAGGCCCCACAGGAGGGGTATGTGAGGAGGACCAGGACAGATTGGAGAGGGAGAGCTGGCCCTTGATCTCTGGAGTCCCAGGAGGCTTCAGGCCCACTGTGCATGTCTGAGTGTGTAAGCAGCCTTCTCCCTGCGGGTCGTTCTTCAGGCCACACAGTGGGCCCTCCCTTCACTTCATCTCCCTATGCTCTTGATGCATATGACACAGTATGCAAAAATTTTATTCATCAACCTGCATATTTGATCTTTGGGTGGTTGTTTCAAACTACTATTTTGAGATAACTCATTATCCAGCAACAAACAATCAAAACAAATAGCCAAGACAAACGTGAAGAACAAGGCTATGGGGAAAGGAGATGGCCTTACCCTATCAGAAACCAAGACTTACTACGAAGTCATAGTAATTATCATGCAATCCTGGAGTGGAAAACTGGCAAAGGCAACAGAATCAAGAAGCAAGGAACAGATCCATGTATATATGGCAACTTGATATTTGACAGAGCAGGCATTATGAATCAGGTGGAAAGAAGAGAATATTTAATGCTGCTGATACAACAATCTAGCCATGTGGGGAAAAACATAAAATTAGATTCCTACCTTATGTCTTATACAAAAATAAATTCCAGGTGGGTTATCAACCGAAATGTGAGTAGCCCAACAATAAAATGTTTAGACAAAAATATGAGTTGTTTATGACTTCAGGGGCCAGAATGATTTCTTAAGCAAGATCAGGAGTGATGGCGCACACCTGTAATCCCAACACTTTGGGAAGCTGAAGCCGGTGGATCACTTTAGCCCAGGAGTTTGAGACCAGCCTAGACAATGTGGCAAAACCTCATCTCTACTAAAAATACAAAAATTAGCTGGGCGTGGTGGTGTGTGCCTGTAATTCCAGCTACTTGTGAGGCTGAAGAATGAGAATCACTTGAACCTGGGAGGCGGAGGTTGCAATGAGCCAAGATCACGCCACTGCGCTCCAGCCTGGGTGAAAAAGCACAAACCATAAAGGGTAAAATAATATGACATATTTGGCTATATTAAAATTGAAAACTTTGGTCCAAAGAAGATACGAGAAACAAAGTGAAAGGATGGGCCACCGACAGGGAGAGGCATTTGCAATGCATAGAACTGATTAAAGATTAGTGGCCAAAATTTATGAAGAACTCATTCAAATCATAAAAAGGACAAACCACTTTCAATTGACCTATAGGGAGAAACAAAACACAGAAAATTTAAAAACCAAAGGCACATAGATAATGTTTAACTTCACTAGAAATCAGAAGAATTCAAATCTCAGCTAGATGCAATTATATACGGATTGGTAGGGGGCTTCAAATATGCCTGTAATTATTTATTTAATATATATTATAACATATATTTACACACACACACACACACACACACATATAGTCAGAGAGAGAAATGACCTCACATTTTCTAATTCTAAGGAGTCTATTATAATAATCATAGAAAAAACATATATAGTTCCATGGAGGCATTTAGGTAGCCCAATGGCATTTGTTCTGTAAAATGCATATAAAATCACTTGGGGTATGTGTTGATTGATATCAGGTTTCTATTACATCAGTGGTTGATGCAACATGGAGGCAATAACGCATGGGAACGGGGAAAAATTTAAACATGGCACTATATACAAATTTTAGTGTTATGTAAGTTTACTATAAAATTCCACCTAATACAATGAAAGAGATAACATAAGCTTTTCATCTCCTAGATTTGAAGCAATTTTGTTTTTTTCCCTTCATTTTCAAATACAGCAAAATATTAAGGATTGACAAAACTGAGTGATAGGTACAAGTGTTAGTTATATTAGTCTCTACACTTCCCCATGTGCTTAAAATATTTCTTAATTAGAAAAAAAAAAGCTATTGCAGAAGTCTACACAAGAGCCATAGCCCAGGGTGCTGTAACTTGAGGAAGAGAGAGTGGCATTGAAGAGAGGACTTAAGGTGCCACCACCTGGCTTGAGAAGAGAGACGGCCATGAGGATAGCAGAAGCGTGGGGATGGATGTGGGGGAAAGAGGAGTGATGGTCTTCTGTCTGGTGTAGCTGGTGAGAAAGAGGGAAGAATTGAAAACACACAGGGATGTACTGCCAGTTTGACTAGGAGAAGCCTGGTGACGAGTGAGTGACAGTGAAAGATAAGTTAGGAGAATCAGTTTGGGGAGGAAGAAAATGAACTTAGGTTTGCATCTTCATGCAACTGCAAGACAGTTAACCTTAAGAAGCTGCTGATGAGCATCTGGAGCTCAAAAGAGAGATCAGGACTAGGTCACTTGCTGACCCAGAGGAAAGTGGTCAGAAGGGCTCTGATTTTTAGGGGGATAGTTTTGTTCAGGTGATGAGAGAAAGAAGAGGATTCCAGGAAGGAGTCAGAGAAGCTACCAGAGAGGCAAAGGACATACGAGTATTCTACAATGTACTAGTCAGGGTTAGCTAGCTGCTGTAATAAAAAATGTTAACAAGTTTATTTCTCACTCCCATCACATGGAGGTTGGTGAGGAAGCTCTGCTCTGCTCCACGCATCACTCAGGAACCCAAGTTTCTTCCAGCTAGTGGCTTTCTTGTCCTTTGGAATCTCAGAGCCCTCCACTGCATCCTCTATATCTGGGCAGCAAATGAGAGAAGAGAGAGAGAACATTCAAGATTGCACAGGAGGCTTTATGGGACAGCCCTGGAAGTAGCAAACTTGAAATTTCATTTCTTTCAGAACCCCATCATGTGGCCACCTCTAACTGCAAGAGAGGTTGGAAGACAGTCTAGCTGTGTTCTCAGGAGGAAATAGTTGGGTGAACAACTACTTGGTCTCTTCCAATAGTCAAAATGTTGAGAAATGAAAGTTCTAAATCCTATGGGAAGCTTCCCTACGCTACAGAAATTTGACCTGTCTTCTCTTTCCTAACGGCTACTTCTCCTGCCTGAGCTTCTTTCCTCTGAGAATCCTTGCTGGATTTCTCAAAATAAGCCCTGTTCCTCTCCTCTTGCAACTATCATATGTACAACTTATTTACAAGCTGGACTTTGCAGTGGTCTTGTCTTTCATGGAGTTTCATTCTAGGAAACTCAGTACACACACACACACACACGCGCGCGCGCGCGCGCGCATCATCAGAGTAATCTACAACTTTATTCTGTCCTCCAAGGAAACACGAGTTTATATTCTCAAAGCCCATATTTATCTTGCTGTCAATACCTGGCAGCTACCTTCTCACTCACATCTCCCAACCAAATCTCTCCTCGAGCCAGTTTTTCCTGGCTCTTTAATCCTTTGCCCGCCTACTGATAGGTCATTAGTGTCTCCACTGAGAAGACATGTTTCCTCAGCCAGAACCAGAATTCGATAAGTTGGGGCTGAGTCAGGTGAAAGAGTGGATTCTCCATGTCTCTTTGATCCCTGATATTCTAGGTCTTGTGTTTTAGGAGTTGTGATATTTGAGGCTGTGGTGATGGTTTGGAGATCCAAGGCATGAGATTGACTAAAGATGGGTTTGTTACACAACAGTAGCCTTGTAACACAAAAGCAGTGAATCAAGAGCGAAGGCGAGTAAGCTCACTGTATCTGTTAAAGGATTGAGACTCGCTTCTCAGTGTTTCACAAAACATTGATTTTCCAAGAGATATTAATAAGTGTTATGTGAACTTACTAGGACCATGCTACTAATATATTTTCTCCAAATATTTTTAATGTAAGGAAAAATAAGCCATGTTTATTACAATTTGCAAGAACCAACTTTTAGAAACTCTTTTAATATCTACTAATAACAGGATAATTAAATAAATTGCTATATCCACACCAGGGAATCCCACGTAGACATTATAAAGAATGAAGTAAGCCTGTATTTGTTGATATGGAAAGATGTCCCCGATATATTAAATGGGAAAAATGACAGCCCTAAAATAAGCTTGTGTGTGTGTGTGTGAGTATGTGTGCACGCACATGTATGTACAAACACAGAAAAAAGTCTAGATGACTAAGCACCAAAATATTAGTAGTAGTGATTCCCTCTGGGGAATGGGATTATAAGAGTGGAAGAAAATTCCACTCTTAATAAAATTGTTAACAAGTCTGGCTCTGGAGTCGGACTACCTAGGTTTAAACCTAAGTTCCACCTTTTACTAGTTGGGTGATCCTGGACAAGTTATTTAACATCCCTGAGTCTCAGTTATCTGGAAAAATAATATTACCTGCCTCATAGGTAATGATGTAATACATTACTCATTAATGTGTTAATACAATATGCATTACAATATTGATTAACATACTATATTGATATATTAACATCAATATAATACATTGATTTATAATGATGCTGTAAATACTTTATGTAAAATGTTTAGAACAATGCCTATCACATGGTAAGCACTCAATAAATGTTAGTGTTTTCAGTGGGGAAGTTATGGACAACTTTTACCTTTTCAGAGTGAATTTTTATGTATTTTTCACAGAAAAAGTCATTAAATATGGTTTTTAAAAGATTTTGAAAATGCTTAACATATTTTATATAGTTAATAGTGTTAAATTAAGTTTAGCCTAAAGTTGCCTCCTTGCATATTTTAAGTCTGGCCTAAAAGTTTCAGTACATAGTGGATTGTAACGTAACTGGATGTGTAAAGAGGCTGTAACCTGCTCTTGTGCCAATCACCAAGTTTCCTTCAAACAAAGGTGGCCAATTATGTTCAAATAAAGCAAATGCCAAGCTGTAAGAAACCCAGCTGCTTCTGTATTTCACTTCTGTTTTCCGTATGTCATTTTCATTTTTCTACCCATAAATCTTCTTCAGCCATGTGATAGGATTGGAGCCTCTCTGACCTATTCTGATTTTGGGGGATACCTGATTTGTGAGTCATTTTTTTGCTCAATAAAACTCTGTTAAATTTAATTTGTCTAAGGTTTTTCTTTTAACAATAGATATAATCCCCTTTGAAGCTGTGTCCCTCCTAAGTATGGCAGGTAACCCTGGGAGAAATTGCCCGTTACTAGAAGGTACGTTGTTTTGACTGCATAAGAAGTACTTACCTCCCAGCACTTTGGGAGGCTGAGATGGGTGGATCACGAGGTCAGGAGTTCGAGACCAGCCTGGCCAACATGGTGAAACCCAATCTCTACTAAAAATACAAAAATTAGTTGGGCATGGTGGTGGGCACCTGTAATCCCAGCTGCTTGGGAGGCTGAGGCAGGAGAATTGTTTGAACCTGGGATGCGGAGGATGCTGAGATCGTGCCATTGCACTCCAGTCTGGGCAACAGGGCGAGACCTGGGTGACAGGGCGAGACTCCATCTCAAAAAAAAAAAAAAAAAAATGGAAGTACTTACCAAGTAACTATTGATATCATTGATGTATGTCTTCTCCTTAGTAAGTGCTATTATGCCTTGAGTCATAATTTTAACACATAGGTCTTTTAAAATTAGTTAATATTTCTAAGCTGACATTTTAAAAATTCTGCTTAAAAGTATTGGAGAATCAAATTTTGTAGTAACTGATTTGTCTTAAGGACTATTTTTGCTTTCTACTCTAATCCAGGCATAGGTTATAACTCCAGAGCTCCTGTTGATGTTGTGAAATTTAGAACAGTTTTAAAAGAGTTTCATGGTTAAATAATATTAGGATGCACTTTGGTTTCAGGATGTATTTTCTTGTTTGATCCCGAGCTGCCCAGTGTGCTGTGGGTGTAAAGGGAAGAACTTGTGACCTAGCTTAGATGAGGACATTCCAGGGAAACAGTGCCCCACCATCTATGGGGTCCACCAGTGCTGTTCCATTAGTGGGAATCGAACCCTCTGATACAGGAGGTAGAAAAAAGCTATTTAGCATTTTTTCATGTGTCTGTTGGCTGCAAAAATGTCGTCTTTTGAGAAGTGTCTGTTCATATCCTTTGCCCACTTTTTGTTGGGGTTGACTGATTTTTTTCTTGTAAATTTGTTTAAGTTCTTTGTAGATTCTGGATATTAGCCCTTTGTCAGATGGGTAGATTGTAAAAATTTTCTCCCATTCTGTAGGTTGCCTGCTCACTCTGATGGTAGTTTCTTTTGCTGTGCAGAAGCTCTTTAGTTTAATTAGATCCCATTTGTCAATTTTGGCTTTTCAGTGATGTGCAAATCAAAACCACAATGAGATACCATCTCACACCAGTTAGAATGGCGATCATTAAAAAGTCAGGAAACATGCCGGGTGTGGTGGCTCACGCCTGTAATCCCAGCACTTTGGGAGGCCAAGACGGGTGGATCACGAAGTCAGGAGATCGAGACCATCCTGGCTAACATGGTGAAACCCCGTCTCTACTAAAAACACACACACACACACACACAAAAATTAGCCGGGCATGGCGGCGGGTGCCTGTAGTCCCAGCTACTCGGGAGGCTGAGGCAGGAGAATGCTGTGAACCCAGGAGGCGGAGCTTGCAGTGAGCGGAGATCACACCTCCAGCCTGGGTGACAGAGCGAGACTCTGTCTCAAAAAAAAAAAAAAAAAAAAAAAAGGCAGGAAACAACAGGTGCTGGAGAGGATGTGGAGAAATAGGAACACTTTTACACTGTTGGTGGGACTGTAAACTAATTCAACCATAGTGGAAGATAGTGTGGCAATTCCTCAAGGATCTAGAACTAGAAATACCATTTGACCCAGCCATCCCATTACTGGGTATATACCCAAAGGATTATAAATCATGCTGCTATAAAGACACATGCATACGTATGTTTATTGCGGCACTATTCACAATAGCAAAGACTGGGAACCAACCCAAATGTCCATCAACGATAGACTGGATTAAGAAAATGTGGCACATATACACTATGGAATACTATGCAACCATAAAAAAGGATGAGTTCATGTCCTTTGTAGGGACATGGATGAAGCTGGAAACCATCATTCTGAGCAAACTATCACAAGGACAAAAAACCAAACACCACATGTTCTCACTCATAGGTGGGAATTGAACAATGAGAACACTTGGACACAGGGTGGGGAACATCACACACTGGGGCCTGTCGTGGGTTGGGGGGAGGGGGGAGGGATAGCATTAGGTGATATGCCTAATGTAAATGACGAGTTAATGGGTGCAGCACACCAACATGGTATATGTATACATATGTAACAAACCTGCATGTTGTGCACACATACTCTAGAACTGAAAGTATAATAATAAAAAAAAATAAAAGAAAAAGAGAAAAACTATTTAGGCAGTTAGTGAGGGCAAAGAGTCCTCGGCTGAACTTCACTTCTAACAAAAAGCAACCCAAGAAATCACTTCTTTTCTAACAAAGAGCAGCCTGGAAGATTGGGCTGCAAACATAGATAAGGAAGCTGGAAGCTTCCACAAGGGGGATGGCTGCAGCTGCACAGATAAAAAGGGCTACCTGGGGCCAGGCATGGTCACCATGGGGGTTCTACCTCACCTTTTTTTAAGCACATGCAAAGTAAGAAAGAAATAAACAACTTGGAGTAGCCAGGCTATGGACCCACCTGCATAATAAAGGATTGGGGTGGGGGCTGGCAGAGATCCGTGCCCTATGCAGACGGCACACCTAGTCCTAACTGGTTTTCCATGCTTTATGTAGATCAGATACTGCCTCCCCACTAGCTCATCTGTTAAAAACCCCTGAATTTCACTGTGGGCCAGCAACCCTTTTGCTGGGACCCCTCTCTGTACCAGAGGGCTGTTCTCTTTTTTTTCTCCTATTAAATTTCTGCTCTAAACCTCACCTTTGGTGTCCCCGTGTCCTTGATTTCCTTGGCTATGAGACCAGGAACTCTGGGTGTCACCCCAGACAACAAGGTCACTTCACCTCCCTGGCAAAACTGTTTTCTTTCTCTTCAGAGAGGCAGCAATTCTCTAACAATCCTCTTTCCTTTTGAAGGTGTTAAAAGCTTCCAGCCATGGCAGGACCCGTCTTCATTGGCAGATCTCTGTGGTCAAAGTGTTGGTGCCCATTTTTGCCCTGATGGCCATCCTGACTTCTCAGCTCACACTAAGACCAGAAACCCAAATATGCCTTTCTGGCTGAGATGGTCTGACCCATATATGTCCCAAATTCCCTCTGTTAACTCATTTGAGGGTCTCCTTTCACTTTCCCAACCCAAGGTATTGATCTAGAATTCAGCCACTACAGATTTACAATATCAGCAGCACTTCCATATCCAGCAACAAAGAGGCAGCACCTTCCTGGCACCAGCATGGTGCCTGGCACATAGTAGGTGCTTGATGGAATAAATGAATGTGTCCCTTGGGAGAGCTACTCCGGGATCTCCCACTTAATCCAATAAGAGTGAAAAGAATAAGGTAGCTGTAGACCAAGTTTGTAAACAGACGCATGCACAACAGGTTTAACTGCTGATAATTTAAATGAGGCTCTTTTAAAAATGGGTAAGGATAAGGGAACCAGCAGGGGATGGTGATGCATCCAAATACAGAAAGCTGTTAACACCCCCCTGGGCTTGAAAGAACAGGGAGGGAGAATTCTCTTACTGGAGCCAAGTGAGGGCTGGAGCCATGGAGGAGCCATCAGTAGGAGCTGTGGCCATAGAGGAAATCAGCCATTGTCTGAACCACATCAAAGCATGGATGAGGTAGGGAGAAACAAACACCACAACTTATTTCTCTTCCCACGTTCCAAGCTCCTTTTGATGTCCCTTTGGCCAGGCCCAGCAGTAAGCCTGGGCATAGGGTCCAGAGGGATCAGTCTCCCAGGGATGGAGCAAGACGGAGCAGGGCAGAGCATGGGTCAGGGTGGGAGCAAGCATAAAGAACCAGCACAGTGGTCACCCATGTCAAAGGCAGAAGAAAAGCTTAAGAGGTGCCAGAGCTGAGAGGAGGCCATTCACGACTTTCTAGGGAGCAAGTACACAGGAGCAATTGAAGACTATGAATAAAAAGTTGTCTGGGCTGGGCATGGTGGCTCACACCTGTAATCTTAGCCCTTTGCGAGGCTGAGATGGGCAGATTGCTTGATCCCAGGAGTTAGAGACCAGTCTGAACAACATGGCAAAACTCCACCTCTACAAAAAATACAAAAATTAGTCAGGGGTGGTGACACATACCTGTAGTCTCAGCTATTCAGGAGGCTGAGAAGTGGGAGGATCACTTGAACCCATGAGGTCAAGGCTGCAGTGAGCCGTGATGGCTCACTCCAAAAGACAGATTCCAAGAGCTTCCAGCTTGCTGAGTAGGTGGAGGTGCCTTGAGGATGGTGCACCCAGAAAGGACATGGAAGACTACTTGGATTAGCCCAAAGGACTCAGGAACTAACCATTGGTCACAGATAGAATAATCTGGCCAGGCATGATGGTTCATGTCTGAAATCCCAGCACTTTGGGAGGCCAAGGTGGGAAGATTGCTTGAGGCCAGGAGTTTGAGACCAGCCTGGGCAATATAGTGAAATCCCATCTCTGCAAAAAAATTTAGAAGTTAGCTGAGCATGATGGCACACACCTATAGTCCTCGTTAGTCAAGAAGCTGAGGCAGAAGAATTGCTTGAGCTCAGGAGGTTGAGGCTGCAGTGAGCCATAATCACGCCACTGCACTCCAGCCTGGGTGACAGAGTGAGTGAGACCTTGTCTCTTAAAAAAAAAAGAATAATCTGAAAGTCAATAACAATACTAACTATAATAGATTGTTATATATCAAATATGTCTAAATCATTCATTTATAATTATACTAAAAATTAAAATCTAATTAGTCATAATTGAAGAGTACTAATGAACTAATGCATAATTTTAAAAACATGTTAATTAAAGAAAGAATAAAGCATTCCTCTTGCCCTTCTTGTACAGGCCAAATGATGGGTGAGAGTAAGTATACTTGCCTTATAGAAGTATGCCGAATAACACATAAAAAAGGAATGATCAACTTTGCAACCTCAAATGAATTAGTGGATCTGGGTGTTGAGCCAGAACAGCTGCTAGCATGACAGAAAGAGCACTCCTCCACGTCAGGTGCCTCCTGGTGGAAGAATATACTGCCACTTATGAAGTATTTGGCAAAAGAAAAAAATCTGAAAACCCTCTATAGCTAAGTATCAATTTATAGAAAATGCAGGGCACAGAGGAGAAAGCTAAGCAATACTGTGGGGATGAATCAGCAAACTTCACATCACAGGAAATTCTACAGGACAAACAATCTGGTTTCTTCAACAAATAAATTGCAAGGGAAGATAAAGATGAAGGGGGAAACTACAGATTAAAACAGACCTAAAAATTTGGGTGTGGTGGCTCACGCCTGTAATCCCAGCATTTTGGGAGGCCGAGGCAGGCGGATTTCCTGAGCTCAGAAGTTCGAGACCAGCCTGGGCAACATGGTGAAACCCTGTCTTCTACTAAAATACAAAAAATTAGCAGGACACAGTGGCGCACACCTGTAATCCCAGCTACTCGGGAGGCTGAGGCAGGAGAATTGCTTGAACCCAGGAGGCGGAGGGTGCAGTGAGCCGAGATCGCACCACTGCACTCCAGCCTGGGAGACAGAGCAAGACTCTGTCTAACAAAGAAAAAAACAAAAAACAAAAAACAAATAAAATAAAACTGACCTAAAAGACATATTGACCAACTGCAACGTGCAGACTTGTTTGGATCTAATTTATTTTTAAGCCTGGAAAATATATATGACATTACTAAAACAATTGGAAATTCCTTAGGTTTTATTTTCAGTTTTAAAAAAGAGTCTCTTAGCTGAAATCATTACAGATGAAATAATATAATGTATGAGATTTGCTTCAAAATTATACATGAGACAGGGGAGTGAACCAAGCAAAATTGGCCACGAGTTTATAACTCGTTGAGGATGGCTTATTGGTAGATGGAGTTTATTATACTTCTACTTTCGTGTATATTTTAAATTCTCCATAGTGAAAAGGTGGAAACTTTTTCTTTTTTTTTTTTTTAAAGAAGAAATGTGTGGACAGGAAGGAGTGGAGAAATCAAAGACCCTGCAAGAGAGGATTAGGAGAGAAAGCAAGTTGCCAGGGACCATCCAGGGTAGAGAGAACAGTCACCCGGGAAGAGGAAGTGGACATCCGGGATGGAGGGAGGCAGGAGGATGGAAGGAAGATTTCAGGGAGAAATAGATTAAGGAGGAGGGAAATTAATACCAGCTACCTTTATTTTATTTTATTTTATTTTATTTTTTGCAATTAACAATATGCCATAGCTTTACGTACCCAGATAGTGAAGCTAGGCTCAGAGAATTAAGAAACTTGCTCAAAGCCACATAACTAGTAAATAACAGAGCTGGGTTTAAGCAGAGATTTGTAAGAAGCCAAAGTCTGTGTACTTAACCCCTACTCTGTATTTTTAGTTTCCTTCCCACCCAGGCTTCAGTGCCCACACTTTTCCCTCATATGCAGGCTGGATATCCTTCCTGACCCGTCAGAATCTGGAGCAGTTCTGATTGAATCAAGAAGCAGGAGAGGTTCCCTATGCTTCCATCTCAGCCCTATGATGCCTGCGATGTCTGCACCAGGCTTAGCACCTGGGTTCATCTCATTTCCTGAGTTCTCATCCAGCCCTTCCCTTGGTCTAACATCCTGCATCACTTCAGTTGGGCCCATTGGCTGCTGCTAGACTGGCCTGCTGCCTGCCTGAGACCTAGTCCAGTGCCATCACACACTCGCATGTACACACACACTCCCCAGGAGGTGTCCTGGCTTGGAGAGGGGAGTCATTGGCCCTGAATAGGAACCGAGATCTTCAACTTGGAAAATATGAAGTGTTAAAATGGAAGAACTGCCTGAGCTGAAAGTGTCAGAGGATGATGCAACAAATACAAAGAGAGAGATGGGAAGAAGGGTCAAGTCTGAGCCAGATCAGAGGCGGGATAAAGATTGGGACTTGAAGGCAGGGGTTTGGATGTAGGAAGGTAGGATAAAGTAAAAGCAGAACAGAATCAAAGAAGGAACTGGGAAAGAGAAGTCTTAAGTGGCTGCTTATTAGTGAATGGCATTTGTGGGCTCTTATGTTTGTAGTTTGGTGGCCCCAGCCAAGGGTGGAATGGACACCACCAATCACCCCTTTAAGCCCAGTTCTCAGGCAAGGCTTTGCAGGGGCTGTCCCAGGTTGGGCTGACAATAAGCCTAATCAAATTGGAGTTATTCCAGCTTTGAGAGGCCTGTTCCTATGTCGGCTGTTCCAGTCACATGCCTCCCCAGCCTAGCACAGGGGCTGGCACTGGCCATGGTCCTGACCAACACCTAGTGCTTTCCTGGCTGCTCAAGCTGGCTGGGTGCAGATGGGAAGATAATGGAGGATCTGATCTGAAAGGTGGTGAGGATGCTCATACTTGACCGTCTTGATTTACTCCTAGGGAGAAAGGAGAAGAGAGAGTGAAAGTGTGTGTTTGAGGAGAGTGATGATTTGGAACAGCTACTCTAGCCTCCAGGAGTTCTGAAGAGGATGACCAGGCAGCTGTGAGGTCTCAGTTAAAGTTAGACATCAGGAGCATGTCATGTGTGCAGTCATGCTTCTGGTTCTGAGGCTTTCCCCAGCAATGGTCACCATCATATCTAGGAACACAAAGGCTCCATGGTTCTGTAACACCATGCCTGGCACATGAATGAATGCATACATCGGTGAGTGAGGAAGTTCAGACGTAATGACAGAAGGACATAAACTCTGTGCCCAGATGTGAGGTGGAAGGTATCTTTGAATTCAGATTTAGCAAAGGGAAAAGAAGAATCCTGTGCTTGGGAGTGCGGGTGGTGCAGAACTGTTCCTGTGCTCAAATATAGGATCGAGGGATCAGGAAAATTAACACAAGTTTAAAGAAGAGCCTTTGATGTACATGTGCTGTGAGTAATTGGTAAGGATTTCTTGGTGCCTTCGCTTTTCCATGAGGTTTAAAGACCTTTTCCTCATGTGGGAAGGAGTGGGGACATGGGGTCAATATGCAGCTTAAATGGACCAGAAGATAAGATAAAAACTTATGGAGCTTATGAGTTATGCTTCTGCCTAGGAAACAGAAAGCTAGAATCATGTAAAATAGCACCCCAAATCATAAAATATTTAGGTAGAAATTTAACAATATATGTGCACGATTTGTATGCTGAAAACTGAAAACACTGATGAGAGAAATCATAGAAGAAACAAATAAATGGACAGCTGAACTGTGTCCATGGCTTGGAACACTCAACAGTGTTGTCTATTTCCCTCTAAAACTAAACCATAGAGTCAATGCAATCCCAACTGAAAGCCCAACAGATTTTTGGGGGTGAGAAGAAGAGGATTAGAAATCCACAAGCTGATTTTAAATTTTACATGGCAAAGCAAAGTAACTAGAAGAGTCAAAACCATTTTGAAGAACCACTGTTTGATTTTAAGACAGTGTAAAGCTACAGTAAGTTATCAAGACAGTGTGATATTGGAGAAAGAATAGACATATAGATCAACGGAACAGAACAGTCAGAACTAGACCTACATGTCAATTGATTTTCAACAAATACACTAAGGTAATTCAATGAAGAAAAGAAAGTCTTCTCAACAAATTATGCTAGTACAATTGGACATTCATATGTTGAAAAAATTGCAAAGTGCATCTTATACCACATGCAAAAATTAATGAAAAATGAATCATAGACCACAATGTAGAACCTAAAACTATAAAACTTCCAATGGAAAACATAGGAGAAAATATTTGTGACTCTGAGATGGGCAAACTTTTTAACAGAGCACAGAAAAGCACAAATTGTAAAAAGAAAAATCAAGGAATTGGACTTCATCAGAAATAACATCTATCCATTTAGGCTGGGTGCAGTGACTCATGCCTGTAATCCCAGCACTTTGGGAGTCTGAGCCAGGCAGATCACCTGAGGTCACGAGTTCGAGACCAGCCTGGCCAACGTGGTGAAACCCCGTCTCTACTAAAAATACAAAAAAATTAGCCAGGCGTGGTGGCAGGTGCCTGTAATCCCAGCTACTCAGGAGGCTGAGGCAGGAGAATCGCTTGAACCTGGGAGGCGGAGGTTGCAGTGAGCTGAGATCTCACCATTGCACTCCAGCCTGTGTGACAAGAGCAAAACTCTGTCTCAAAAAAAAAAAAAAAAAAAAAAAAAAAAGATGCTGCTAATGCTGCTAAGGAAATGAGAAAAAAAGTTACAGACTAGAAGAAAATATTTGCAAATCACATATCTGATAAAGGACTGCTATCCAGAATAAAAAGAATTTTCACAGCTCAATAATAATGATAATAATAAACAATTAAAAATGGACAGGACAAAAGTTTTGAACTAATACTTTGCTGAAGAAGGTACAGATGGCAATAAACAACAAAAAGATGTCCAATATCGTTACTCACTAGAAAAATACAAGTTAAAATTGAAGGAGATATCACCTTAAACCTATTAGAAAGGCTTTTTAAAACCTGACAATATTAACTGTTGACAAGGATGTAAAAATGGTACAGCCTCTTTGGAAAAGACTTTGGCAGCTTTTATAGACTTAAACATACACTTACATGTGACCCAGCAGTCCCATTCTTAGGATTTTATCCAAGGGTAATAGAAACATATGTCCACACAAAACATATGTACATGAATGTTTATAGTGGCTTCATTTATAATTGTCCCAAACTGGAAACAACCCAAATATCCATCAGCGGGTGAATGAATACGCTACTTGTGGTTCAACCATAGAATGAAAGATGGTTTAGCAATAAAAAGGAATACATTCTTGAGAAGTGAAACTTCACGCATGCTGAATTTATTCTGATGAGTGAATAAAGACTGACCCAAGAGGCTACATACTATTTAATTCCATGTCTATGACATTTTAGGAAGGGCAGGAAGCTACAGAAACAGATGTCAGCTTAGTAGTTGCCAGGCCCTGGATTGGAGAGAAAGAGACTGGCTAAAATGGGCACAAAGGCTCTCGCTTAAGCTAAATGAAACTTTCTATATTATGGTATTGTGTTACACAGACATGGTGATTGTGGTGGTTGTTATAGAGATGCATGAGTTTGTCAACATTTACACAACTAGACATTTAAAAGGGGTAAATTTTTGTATATGTAAATTATGGGCCAATAAACCTGACTTCTAGAAAAAGACCCTAGAAGAGTACCTACAGAGTGATCTTCAGGCAGCCTCAGACTTCAGCCCCCAGGCCCTTGGGGCAAGGCCGGGCAGTTGGCCCTTTGAGTGGAGGCCTGTCTTCTCCTCACTATGAATTCCCCATCTCCAAGCACATTCCCTGTCCGTAAGTTAGATGCACAGTAAATATGAGTAAATAAATGAATAAAAGAACAAATAAGTGAGTGTTTGCAGGAAACTAAAGTAGACCCTGATAATCTACAGGCTCCTGCAGGCTTCTCCAGCCTCTTCTGCCACTCCCAGCACAACTCCATTTCCCACTCCTAGAATTGACTCAAGCCTCCTCCATCCAATCCCCGACTCACTGGGCCATTTCACACTTTTGTGCCTTTGCACACGTGGGTCCCTGTGCTTGGATCACCATGGGAACCTGTACGTGTAGAAAAACACACCCCTACCCCCAGAACTCTGAGAAATATCCTGTCCTGTCCTGTAGGATAGGATGATCAGGAGTTCAAGCATGTGTGTGCACAAAATAAACACCAGTGTGAGCATGTGTGCACAGGAGACACCCAACAGTTCCAAGAAGGCTAAACTTGGGCAGAAAATTCCAGGTGGGAGAGAAAATTTTCTGTCTTATGGACAGCCCATTTCCCTTTTCCCTTCTAACTAGGATAATGGTAATAGTTAGTATTTGTTGAATGCTGTGTGTCAGGCCCTACTGGAAAGCACTTTACCTGTAGGAACCCATATGGTGCTCCTGATAACCCTTTGCACTATCATTATTCCCACTGTATAGATCAGGGAACAGACACAGGTAGGTTTTGGATGTGTGGTTACACACCCAGAAAGTCAGGAAGTCTGGCTCCAGAGCTGTGTACTTAACTGCTGCCACACTACAGGAATGACAGCCCTGGGGGGATGAACTAAGAGGTGCTGGATGAGGGTCCTGGCCTCTAAAGGCACAGCTGTTCTCCAACTCTTGCAAGGCTGAAACCAGAAGATGGCGGGCATTGCAGCTGGTGGAGGGTCTGAATACAGCTGTGAGGATAGTGATCCCTGGGCTAGGCTCTGCAAGGAAACTGAGCAGTGCAGGGCCTTACCAGCCCCAACCATCTGGGGGCCACCCTGGCTGGCACCAGCAGGAGGGTGGGCTGGCTTCTCAGAGGTCTGGGAGACTCAGCCTCCTTCTGCCAGGGCTGCAGTGGCCGACTCCTCCTCCCCTCTGTCCCCACCCTGCACCGCCTCCAGACCCCAGTCCTGACTATTGCTTAATCCCCAGGAGCCCAGTTCCTGTGGGCAGCGCCTGACATGCCTGATCCTCTCTTTTCTGCAGTTCAAGGGAAAGACGAGATCTTGCACAAGGCACTCTGCTTCTGCCCTTGGCTGGGGAAGGGTGGCATGGAGCCTCTCCGGCTGCTCATCTTACTCTTTGTCACAGGTAGGATCCCCTCCGTGCCCTGTGATGCCTTCTCTCCCTCACTTTGAGCATGTGGTTGGGGCGCGGGTGGTGGGCCCTGGGGTGAATTATGAAGGCGGTGGCAGTCCTCGCATGCCTGAGTGCCCTGTTCTGCACTCCTCTCCTCCCCACCCTGCCCATATTCTTCACACCCTCCTTCCCTCCCCAGTATCAAAACCTACCCTCAGACTCTTTCTGCATGTGGACATGTAAGGGGCTGGTGGACTCTGGTTGCATTGGAAGGGAAGGAGTGCTAACAGTGGCATCCCAGGCACTAGCTGGCAGTTGGGGGAAGCTTTGGGGGGCACTGGCACTGGTAATAGCCTCTGAAATTATAAGCCACTAATTATGAGCCCCTACAGTTATAAAGGAGGAAAGAACCTGAGGATGTTCATCTGCATCTTTGGGGCACTCTCTCCCCTGCTCTGAAGGTCCCCTTGTCCTCAGCTCTTGATGGGAGGTGAGGAGCGTAGAGATTTCCGTTGCTGAGTTGAGGGGAATTGACACACCAAATTTTTGTACACAATTGCTTCTTCCCGCTGAGGAAAGCGCACCTTTTGCTCCCCCAGAGCACTGGACAAACCTGGGCAAGAGGAGAGACGGTGCCAAATGGAGTCTTGTTCCTGCAGCTTCTTAGATGGTGGTCAGGGGGAAGGCGGGGTTCTGAGGCATGGATGGGAGGTGGTCAGATGGGAGAGGGCCACGGCCCATCTGGTCTCTCTAGTTCCAAAAGGCAAGCCACCAACTTCCCAATCCTATCTTTCAAGCCTCTGTCACAGTAATGGTTGAAGATGGCAGGCAAGGGAGGACCAAGAGAGAAGTCAAAGCAGGGGGCTCTGGGGGCTGCCCCAGCAACAGGCTGGTGCTCTAAGCCCATCTCCCCCGCCCTAAGGAGGGTTCCCAAAATAGCAGCCTCATGTCTCCCCCAAAATATCTCCGAGACGGGTCCTTCCTGAAAGGGGAACAAAGCCACAGAAATAGGGAAGCTGGAAGTTAAAGGTCAGGAAAGTCGGTACCAATGTGGGCGGCTGCAGAGCAAGCAAGAGTGGCGGGGCAGGGAGAGCCAGCCCCAGGCCGAGAGGAGAGGTCCCAGTCCCAAATGATGGCAAAGAGATGTGCAGAACAGAACTGGAGGGGGTTTTAAGACCAAGTGCCTCCAGAATAGACCCAGAGAAGGTCAGTTACTTCTCCAAGGAGGCCCAGCAAGAGCAACAGTGAGAAAACCAAACCCAGGTCCCAGGTTTCCTGGTTCCCAATTTCCCACAAACACATGCTGTGCCATCCGCTCCCAACTTGTATAAGAACCTAAGCTCCTTCAGGGCAGGATTTTTGTCTGTTTAGGTCACTGCACAGAGCAAGTGTTCAAAGCGTATTTGGTAAACAAAGGAGTGAATGAATGTCTCCTCCCCAGAGCTGTCCGGAGCCCACAACACCACAGTGTTCCAGGGCGTGGCGGGCCAGTCCCTGCAGGTGTCTTGCCCCTATGACTCCATGAAGCACTGGGGGAGGCGCAAGGCCTGGTGCCGCCAGCTGGGAGAGAAGGGCCCATGCCAGCGTGTGGTCAGCACGCACAACTTGTGGCTGCTGTCCTTCCTGAGGAGGTGGAATGGGAGCACAGCCATCACAGACGATACCCTGGGTGGCACTCTCACCATTACGCTGCGGAATCTACAACCCCATGATGCGGGTCTCTACCAGTGCCAGAGCCTCCATGGCAGTGAGGCTGACACCCTCAGGAAGGTCCTGGTGGAGGTGCTGGCAGGTGAGTGGGCAGTGGCTGCCTCTCTGGCCTGCCCCTGTTCCAGGCCTCATGTTTTGGGCGTCTGTGTGCAGAACCACCCACTGGGCTCTCAGGGATCCTGGGAAAACCCATCGTATGGTCTCATCTCCCTACTCAGGGCTACCAAGGATAGTTGTGCAGGTTGCTCACTATACAAGGGGGCCAAAATCCAGCCCGGACTCCTTTTGCCAGACTGTGTTCCCTGGTGCAGAGCTGCATCACCTGCAAGAAGGGCACCTTTCTCTACTTTGCATTAAGGCACTCTGTGAACTAGCCTGGCCTTGGCCCTCCTTGCCCAAACAGCTTTATCCATCTCCATCCAGTTAGCATGTGAACATGATAGGAGGTCCTTAAGGAGGAGGAGATTAATTTATTCCCTCACCAACCAACCAATGGCCCTATCAACGTAAGTGAAGCACCAACCTGGTGCAGAAAATCACCCCTAGAAAGGAACACTGCTTGTGCTGGGCAATGTGCTTCACTTCTCTGGGCCTCCATTCTCTCATCTGTAAATGGAGAGGGTGGTGTCTGTCCTGCTGACCCCATAGGGTTCCTGTGAGTTTTTATTTGGCGGGGGGCGTTGGGGGCAGGGTGTGACATGTGCTCCAAGCCTCCTGCTACTGAACTGTCTTGGGATCGTCATTCCAGGTGTGAGTAGGTGGGCCAGGGTGTCTCCTTTCCACCCCCGAGCTCTGCGCAGGGACCACCCTCCAGGAAGGCCTTCTGCTTGAGTCTGCAGAACACAACTGTGTCCCCAAAGGAGAACAAATCTGGGGCTACAAAGGCCTTTTCTGACTCTCCTCCTTTCCAACCCCTTCTCCCAGTATGGCTCTTTACCATGGAAATGAGGTCAGGAGTAGTATTTGCCTGACTTGGGGAGGCCAGGGGAGACTGCCAGTCATAGACACAAACCCCACCTCCACCACTTTCCTAAGGATGGCCGGTGGCAGTGAACTCCCTTAGCCACCTCCCAAGAGGGAGACAGAAAAATAAAAGTAGCCCATAGCTTGTGTAGACAGCTTGACAGTTTAGATAGGATTTTCAAGTACATCCACGATTGTATTTGCTCTTCTTAGCCCCTGTGCGGAAGGAGGGGGGCATTGCAGTTACTGAGCTCCGATGAGGTGCTGGATACGGCACAGAGGTGCCCTCACGGAATCCTGGCAACCCTGCTATTAAGGAAGTGTTCCTAACGGCCCACTTTATAAGTGGGGAAACTGAGGCTTATGGAGTGTAATGACCTGATCCACATAGGACCAGTGCCCAGGGGACCTCACCCCACCCATAAAGGTTCTCCCGCCAAGGTTCTCCCCCTGCCTCGAGGAGGAAGGGGCTGGAGGCTCATGGCTCTGCCTCCCATAGACCCCCTGGATCACCGGGATGCTGGAGATCTCTGGTTCCCCGGGGAGTCTGAGAGCTTCGAGGATGCCCATGTGGAGCACAGCATCTCCAGGTACAGCGATGGGTCTTTCCTAAAACCCGTGGGCAGACTTCCACCCTGCAGAGCCCCACGGGGGTGGGGGCTGGGCATCCTGAACTACAAATTACAAGGCAACTAGAGCCTGAAGGGCCCTGGATATCTCTTATGTAAACACCCCTCCACCAGCTGCTACATGTTAGTTAGTTAGCGTGACTGTGTCAGTTGTTCATTTATTGGAAGACTTCCATAATGCTTTGTAAAGAGCAGTTGCTCTACGACTCCTGAATATCAGCTCCCGCCCCTCCCCTGGCAGCCCCCAGACATCCCCATAATTCAGCAACAATGAATGTTTTAGTACTTTAGTACAAAGCTAAGACCCCCAGATCTCTGCTTCATTGGTAGGACCAGAATCAGTTCTGACTGGTCCATGCCTGTGTACTGGTGTTTAAACGTTGTTCATATAACCACATGTGTGTACACACACACACCCATGGCATAGCACTGTATACAGAAGAAAACTGCTCAGTGAGGGAAGGTGGTGTGTTTAAGTGCACTCAGCAGGTTAGTGGCAGAGCATGCCTAGAACTCAAGTCTCTTGACTATGGGCTCCCAAAGCTCCAAAAAGGCCCATCCCAGGGATGGTGCTGGGTGGGATTTGCTGAGGTCCTAGAAGCTCCTGGTTTCTCCCCATTCCCTGAGAGAAGATTCTAATCTGTAGGCCATCTCAAGGCTCCCATCTGCCTTCTTGTCTCTCCAAGGAGCCTCTTGGAAGGAGAAATCCCCTTCCCACCCACTTCCATCCTTCTCCTCCTGGCCTGCATCTTTCTCATCAAGATTCTAGCAGCCAGCGCCCTCTGGGCTGCAGCCTGGCATGGACAGAAGCCAGGGACACATCCACCCAGTGAACTGGACTGTGGCCATGACCCAGGGTATCAGCTCCAAACTCTGCCAGGTGGGCTTGGAGAGCACAGCCATCAAGGGTGGACTGGGCAGGGATGGGAGGCGGTGCCGAGAGGGGCCACATGAGTCCTTGGACTATTGCAGGGCTGAGAGACACGTGAAGGAAGATGATGGGAGGAAAAGCCCAGGAGAAGTCCCACCAGGGACCAGCCCAGCCTGCATACTTGCCACTTGGCCACCAGGACTCCTTGTTCTGCTCTGGCAAGAGACTACTCTGCCTGAACACTGCTTCTCCTGGACCCTGGAAGCAGGGACTGGTTGAGGGAGTGGGGAGGTGGTAAGAACACCTGACAACTTCTGAATATTGGACATTTTAAACACTTACAAATAAATCCAAGACTGTCATATTTAGCTGGATAGTTTTGGGCATCATGAAAGTCTCATTTTCTTCCACAGGGGTAAGAAAATGAATTTGGATGAGAAAAAGACAAGAGATTTTGCTCCTTGAGGCCCAGGACCATAGGATACCACATCCCTCCATTCTCACAGGCTCAATCAGCCAGTCAGTTTTTTTCTTCTCTCTCTTCCCTTCCCTAGATCTGATCGCCAAGTTCTGCCTCCTCCTCTGGGGTTTCTCTAGCACCCAGTCTTCCTCTGCTCTCCTCCCCAGCATTCACCCTCTCCATCAGCTTCCCCTGGATTATGGAACCTCCCTGCCCCAAGGCCCCCTCCAGCTGACTCAGTTCTTCCCCACCAAGGTCAACTCCTGGCAGACTCATCCATTCATCTCCTTAGAACTCTGTTTTCATCATATCATTTCCCCTTCGGAGAAATGACAAGGGCTTGATAATGTACAGCATTATCAAACTGGGAACTGATGGTTCAAGCCCCTCATCATATAGAAGGGAAACTGAGGCTCAACAAGGGAAAGGAACTTACCCAAAATCCCCACCCAAAATCCCCAGTAGAGCCTGGAAATCCAAATTTCACTTGGCATTCAAGGTGCTCTTTCCTCTGACTCACTCCTACTTATTTGTTCAACAAGTATTAGTTTGAGCAACCAGTCTGTGGCGAGTACTATTCTGAACACTGGAAATACAACAGTGGACAAAAGAGGCAAGAGTTGTGCCCACACAGAGCTCACTTTAGTGGAAGGAGAGGAGACAGACAATGCACACAGTAAGTAAGTCAATCTGATTCCCTGTTAGAGGCACAACGTGCTGAGGAAAAAATTAAAATCAAGCAGGGTTAGGAGTATGGGTGTGCAGGAGGGACAGGGGATGATACCATCTTAAATGCAGAAGCCAGAAGGTGCCATTTGAGGAACACTTGAAGAAGGCCAGGAAGTGAGCCATGAGGACATCACGGGGAGGAGTATTCAGGGCCGAGCGAACAGCCAAGGCAGCACATGCAACCTCAACTCTCTCTTCAACACACACACCACCCTGGCCAAGACTCATGGGGAAACTGGGAGGAGACTCCCCTGAGGGTGAGCTGCAGGGGAAAGAAGAAGTGAGTCGGCCATATTCCTGGGCTCTCTGGACTGGGCCCCAGAGAAGTGGATGCCCAGGATCCCCTGTGGCCATAGCTCACATGGCTGCCTTGCCACCTAACCTGCGCTTGGGCACCTAAGGTTTAAATCACTAGGATGGAGCCCCTGGCATGGCCCTCATGTTCCAGCCTCACTTCAACATGTCACTCCCCTGGTCCCAGCTGTGCCCCAACCCTGCCTTGTCCACTCCCAATGTAAGCTGCTCCACTGGCTCCCTGTCCTGGAGCCTTGGGATTCTGGTCCAACCTGTGTTCCCATGGCCTCCCTGGCTCAGGGGCACATTAAACTTCCTCATTGTGTCCTGGGGCATTGCCCCCTTCCTATAGATCTAGGGCACAGGTAGCACCAAGAATGAGCCGAGCCCAAACTGCGCCTTCTCCACCTACCTCCTGCCCCAGTTGTGGGCACCAGTGCCGATGAAATGGCCTGGGAGGCTCCCCGCGGCCTGCCTCGTGCTCCAGGGCAGTGGCTGCCATCAGCCCCAGCCCAGAATCAGGCTTTCCTCCTCATGGGAGCTTGGCCTTTTCTCTTTCCTTCTCTGCCATGTCAGAGACATTCCTCTCTGGACTGGAATCACCACAGGCTCTCCTGCCTCAGACTCTCTGCGAGCACTCTGGACTGAAGGGAAGTGAGGCCATTTGGCCTCAAATTTCAACTCTGCCTCCTATTAAGACACCTTAGGCAAGCTCCTCAATCCCTCTAAAACCCAGTGCCCTCGCTTGTAGAAACAAATAAACAAAACAACCACTTCCCCTACTTTGCAAGGTTTTTGTGAGGTTGAAAGAAATAACATTCGTGGCCAGACATGGTGGCTCACGCCTGTAATCCCAGCACCTTGGGAGGCTGAGTGGGGTGGATTACTTGAGGCCAGGAATTCAAGACCAGCCTGGCCAACATGGCAAAACCCTGTCTCTACTAAAAAAAAAAGAAAGACAAAAATTAGTCAGGCATGTGGTGCATGCCTATAGTCCCAGCTACTTGGGAGGCTGAGGCAGAGAATTGCTTGAATCTAGGAGGCCAAGGTTGCAGTGAGCCAAGATTGCGCCACTGCACTCCCGCCTGGGTGACAGAGTGAGACTGTCTCAAAAGAAAAAAAAAAAAGAAAGAAATAACATTGTGAAGGTCCTTGGCCAGGTGACTGGCACATAGTAGGTCCTCAATAAACACTGGTTTCCTTCATCTAACGCCCAGCAACATGATGTCTCCATGAAGGCCAGGATCTTGCCTGGTCACCTCTGTCTCAGCACCCAGCAGTGGACCATATTCAACACTTAGTCCAGTGTTGAATACAGTTCACCTCTTCACACAACACGCCTGGGTGGCTTGTTAGTATGAAAATAACTTTCTTATAAGGAAATCAAAGAAAGCCTGATATGCATTGGCAAGACAGACATAAGCACATCACCAACTAGGGTGACCCGTCCTGGTTTGTTCAGGACTTTTTCAGTTTTTGCACAGAAAGTCCCAAGAAACCCCTCAATCCCAAGCAAAAACGGGAAGTTGGTCACCCAATCTCCCACTTCCACAAGGCCCAGCTTAACACATTAACTGATTTTCTCATGCTCCTGCTCCCAGTTTCCCATTCCTCACTCCCTTGTTCCCAAAGGAAGGAAGGAAAAAGAGGAAAAAAGGTGAGACGGGAGGAGATGGGAGTGAGGGAGAATGGCCTTTCCAGGCCCTTTTCTAGGTCTTACCCTCCAGATTAGGGCAATACGCCCCTCCCACCCATCCCCAGCTGCTGTAGTCTCTCTGACCACTGGTGCTTCCCCTGTGTCTGAGGTCAGATAGTTTATTAGGTTTATTACTCACACTTTGTCCCAGTTCCTCGAGCCCAATTCCACAGGGCAACATGAATGAGAGCCAGGTGCCTCCTGTGCAGGCAGTGAGTTTGGATCACAGGAGAGAAACCCCCAAATTAGGAGACTTGGAGTTTATATAGAGAATCTGGTATATCTTCCTCTCTGGAAGAGAGAGAGAGAGAGAGAGAGAGAGAGAGAAACGTTTACTCTGGAATGTAAATCTCCGGTGAAGAAGAGGAAGAATGCGAGCAAATCTCTGGACGTTGCACTCAAGGTATGTTTGCTATTCAATCACCCTTCAGCAAAACTTGGCCAATACCCTTTGCACAGAAGGACTAGAACATGCAGCAATGTGAAAATATTTGTGAAGAATTGTCTTCCAACAGAGAAGATAGAGCATTCATGAAACAAAAATAGTATGCCAGAATTTAAAAATGCTCAAAGAATAAGGAATATCTTGTCTTGTAAATTAAAAATATTAAAAAATAACATTTTAAAAGACAAAAATAGAAGGATGGAAGAAAATGAGGAAATCTCCTTGAAGGCAGAACAAAAGAGACAAAAAGATGGAAAATGAGATAGAAAAGATATGAAAATGAGATGAACACACGACATTCAATAACCAACTAGTTAAGGAATTGCAGAAAAATGGAAGGGGAGAAGAAAATGGACATGTAATTATCAAAGTAAGAATTTGTTTCCCAGAACTGAAGAATGTGGATCCAGATGGAAGGGTTCTATAGTGTCCAGGACAATAAATGAAGAAAGACCCAGTCCAGGGCACAGGATCAAGGTGAAACTTCCTGTTTGAGGTTGTACTGCATACAACCTCCTAAAAGCTTGGGTGGTCGTGGGGCACTCCCAAAGAATTGAGAGCAAGAATGGCATTGAGTGAGGTGCAGGGCACTCTACCTTCCTCCTTCATAGCTGTGCACCCTCAGATTCTGTATTAGGAAGATCCTGAAGATCATCTTTCCTCTTCCTCTCCTGTCCTCCAATTGTCACAATCCTCCCATCTCACCCCTTAGCCGGGCCCCAGCCCCTGCAGGCTTCTAGCTTTCTTCGGGTCTTCTCATCCTGTCTTGCCCACCCTTACCCTCAGGGCAGTTCCTGAGCACTGAGCCAACCAGGGCTTGGAAGAACTCCCTTTCCCCACCCCTGGAGGTGCCCATCATTTCCTTTCTCCCACCCCAAGTGACTTTCTGAGGCAGATGTTTCCTGCCCTCAGGCGAATGCTGCATCAGTGCCCAGGCAAGCCCAGGAGTTGACATTTCTCTGCCCAGCCATGGGCCTCACCCTGCTCTTGCTGCTGCTCCTGGGACTAGAAGGTAAGGTTCAGGAGGAGCTGCAGCTCTGGGCCCCATATGCTCAGCCCCATGTCCAGGAGTAACGTGTTATTGTGAATGCCACACCCATACCAGCAGCTGGGCTGGGAGATGCTCCCAGCTCCTGCCCAAAATTCCCACCTCCTTTCCTTCCCCAGGTCAGGGCATAGTTGGCAGCCTCCCTGAGGTGCTGCAGGCACCCGTGGGAAGCTCCATTCTGGTGCAGTGCCACTACAGGCTCCAGGATGTCAAAGCTCAGAAGGTGTGGTGCCGGTTCTTGCCGGAGGGGTGCCAGCCCCTGGTGTCCTCAGCTGTGGATCGCAGAGCTCCAGCGGGCAGGCGTACGTTTCTCACAGACCTGGGTGGGGGCCTGCTGCAGGTGGAAATGGTTACCCTGCAGGAAGAGGATGCTGGCGAGTATGGCTGCATGGTGGATGGGGCCAGGGGGCCCCAGATTTTGCACAGAGTCTCTCTGAACATACTGCCCCCAGGTGAGTTATCCTAGGCCAGCTACCACCCCTTAGACCTACCCTCCCCACCCCCGCCTATTGCCAGGGCTCATGGGTTCTTGAGGAGTGGGGGCCCCTGGGGAGGAGGCATTCCAAGGAGATATCCTCTTGACAGCTCTGCAGGGAGCGGAAACCAAACTGGGTGGGAAGTCTGAGATAAATCAGCTGAAAACCATCCCTTTCCCCCTTCCACACTACTGCGCTTCCCCACAGGAAGGCATGTCCTTCCCACTCCAGGGACTTGGCCTCTTCTTCCAGCATTTTCAACATACTTGATGCTAACTTATTTTTTAATTAGAAATATTTTAAACAATGTTGAATCTGAGTGTATAAAACCAGAATTAATTTTTGTAGCTTCCAGTGTTTTATTCCTGTAATAGCGGGCTTGATGGCTTAAGAATTATGGAATTCATACCTTAATTAATTTTATAAGTCTTCACAGGCCATCTAGTATGTCTCACCTACAAGTAGGTACATTCAGTGCCTGAACAACTTCAACTCCTTTCGTTTTAAAAATGGAAAAATGTCATTAATATTTTAAGCCAATATTCTTGACCCTATTTTCAGTATTAAAGACACTGTTTTTGCAGGTTTCATTCCCACAGCCCATAACTTTTCTAGTATATAAGCATTTGTTAAAAGAAAATTTTAAAATATTAAAAACTTGGGTTTTTTTTTTTAAGAAAGATAGGATGTTCTAAAAATAAAAAATGGTCAGCTACCTGAAGCACAGACAGCCACTCCTTTTCTTTTATGGATACTGGCCATTTTTTCACCTTTAGGTCTTCCTTTTCTCATATTTTATGCCCAACCCCCAAATAATAAAATTAAGTAGAGCATTTTCCCTTCCCTTGTTTTTTGTTTTGTTTGAGACAGGGTCTCACTCTGTTGCTCAAGCTGGAGTGCAGTGGCACTATCGGCTCACTGCAACCTTGGCCTCTCGGGTTCAAGTGATTCTTGTGTCTCAGCCTCCCAAGTAACTGGGACTACAGGTGCCCACCACCATGCCCAGCTAATTTTTGTATTTTTAGTAGAGACGGGGTTTTATCATGTTGGCCAGGCTGGTCTTGAACTCCTGACCTCAAGTGATCTGCCCGCCTTGGCCTCCCAAAGTGCTGGGATTGCAGGTATAAGCCACCACCCCTGGCCCCTTCCCTTGTTTTTTTTCCCTCTAAATAAGAGGGTAGACTATGTTGTCATTAGAATCCTTCTCATCTCAAGCCTGTGGTTATTGTTTTATATTATAAATATATTGTTAATCCTTGTCATCCTTTGCCCTCCTCATTCCTTGACACTTTGAGTTACTAAATTCAGGTTCTAACTCACTAAAAGGCAAATTGTGACAAGATGAGACTCCCTGGGAGGAGCGTCAGGGAGGCAGGGACCTGGGCCCCTGACCTGCTGCCATGGGGCAGGTGCTGTGGAGGATGATGTTCAGGCAGGCAGGTGGCGCGTAGCATCCAGAGATGATGTGGCTTGCGGCTCAGGTGAGCATTTAGCTTCAGAGAAGGTGGTCAAAGGCAGCCTAATAGGCACCAGGAGGGCAGGACATGTGCCACAGCAACCCCAGTTCCTGGTGTGGCATAGGATGGGGAGTAGGAATGGTGAATCTCTCAAGAACAAGGCAAGGCCCCATTCCAGTCGGTCTGAAAGGACTGGCCAGGTTCCTAAGACAAGTCTCCAGGCCCAGAGAAACCAACCCCAAGTCCTGCAGCCAGAAGTCAAGCACATCATATGGGTGACAGAAGCCTTGTCCTCAAACTGAGTCTCAGGATCCCAGCAAGGCTCTCAGCAAGGGTCAGTTGGTTTGTGTTGCATCACATGAGGGCCCACCCAGATTTTCTTCAGTCCTGAGGGCAGAGCTTGGGCTAGGGTTGCAGGGTCACAGGTATGTGAGGAAGCCCCATTTAAGACCCATGAGATCCAGGAGCTATGTCACCATTGAGGATGAGAACTGCAGAAACCTATTCGGGTGGGAAGGAGAGGTGGGTACAGATCATCCAGTAGGTGTTTTTACACAGACTTAACAGCTTGATAAGGCCAGAGGGGTGAGGGGTAGAGCAGGTAAAAGGGAAGAAATGCAGCAGGAAGATGGGGGGAGCTGGTGGTAGAGGGAAAAGTGGGTGTAGTCACAACCAGGTAAAGACATAAAGAGCCAGTGCCATTTCCTGATCTGTGGAGTGACAGGCCCCTAAAGAACATCCCAGCCTCCCCTTTCTGTGTTTCTTCCTGGGGTCCTCTCCTTCCTTGGCTCCACTCCTCCAGTCCCTCAGACCTCAACAGGATATTGAAGCCTGCCCATATGGGCATGCACTCATTAAATGTTTCCTTCTGACTCCATTCCTGGCCTGACAGAGGAAGAAGAAGAGACCCATAAGATTGGCAGTCTGGCTGAGAACGCATTCTCAGACCCTGCAGGCAGTGCCAACCCTTTGGAACCCAGCCAGGATGAGAAGAGGTACTGACAGGATTGGATTTGGGAGGCCAGGAGAAGGGTGGTGGTGGAGACAATGACTTGTTTAGAGCTCCAAACTAAATCGAAGGGGAAAACCTATGATTCTTCCCACCTCTGGGGAACTTCTGGACAGACAGACAGACAGATACATACTTCTCTGTCCTGGGTCAGCAATGGTGCCTTCATGCTGGTGATTCTTCAGCCAGGATACCTTAATGAGTCCCTCTTCTGCCCTACCTCAGTCAGCTCCCCTCATTCTATTTCATCTCCCTCTCCCAATCAAGAATGTAACCCTTCTGTCACTGCTCCAGGGCTCCTGGCCAGCAGCTCCCCACAGGCTTCAGGTCTAAGCCTGCCTATCCCTTTCTGTTCCTCAGCATCCCCTTGATCTGGGGTGCTGTGCTCCTGGTAGGTCTGCTGGTGGCAGCGGTGGTGCTGTTTGCTGTGATGGCCAAGAGGAAACAAGGTAGGTGGCTATCTTCCTATCTCAGCCTGGCCCTACCATTCCAGTATCAACCAGTTGTGCAGATGAGGCCAGGAGTCTAGGTCCAATCCCCCTACAAATGGATTTGCCTGGGCTTAAGTCTCAAGGCCCCCATATCCTAGAATTCCCAGGGCTGAGGGATGGAGGGGAGGGAAGGAGATTCAATGGGAGCAGTCTGCAGAAAGACAGGAATTAGAAAGGGTAGGGCAATGCAATGGGAGGAAAGGCATTGGAGAAGGTGGGGAAAGGGTCTCGGGAGGTAGGCTGAGCGCTGAGGTGGGTTGAAGGGAGCTCTGGAAGCAGTAAGTGGGTGGGGAGATTTACGGCAGGCTGGGGAGATGGAAGGGGTAAAGGTTTGGTGGTGGGAGTGGGGAAGGTGAGTCTGCAGTAGTGAAGAGGTTTCAGAGGCTTCTGAAGGAAGGGAGTGAGGGAAGGGCTCTGAGCCAGCCCCGGAAGCAGACTATGCTGCTGTTGTCTGTCCTGCCAGGGAACAGGCTTGGTGTCTGTGGCCGATTCCTGAGCAGCAGAGTTTCAGGCATGGTAAGAGGCCTCTGCAGGCCCACAGCCAAATTCCCCAGACTTTCCATTCATCTCACTCACTGAGAGGTCCTAGGATGATGGGGTGGAGAAAGGACTGGGACCTAGTTGGGGTCCAAACCCTCTTCCTAAATGCTGTAAACTTGACACTAATGGTCTCCCTTGGCATCCCACCCTCCCAGATTTGGGGAGAAACTTGGGGCTTGAAAATCTTCACAATGAAGCCCTCTTGCCCACTGATATACTCAGGATTCAAGAGATAGATCTAGTGTGGTCCTGGGCTTCCCACCAAAGGGAGTTCTGGGGCAGAGGGAGGCATTCCTGACTTGCCTGCTTTTGTTACAGAATCCCTCCTCAGTGGTCCACCACGTCAGTGACTCTGGACCGGCTGCTGAATTGCCTTTGGATGTACCACACATTAGGCTTGACTCACCACCTTCATTTGACAATACCACCTACACCAGCCTACCTCTTGATTCCCCATCAGGAAAACCTTCACTCCCAGCTCCATCCTCATTGCCCCCTCTACCTCCTAAGGTCCTGGTCTGCTCCAAGCCTGTGACATATGCCACAGTAATCTTCCCGGGAGGGAACAAGGGTGGAGGGACCTCGTGTGGGCCAGCCCAGAATCCACCTAACAATCAGACTCCATCCAGCTAAGCTGCTCATCACACTTTAAACTCATGAGGACCATCCCTAGGGGTTCTGTGCATCCATCCAGCCAGCTCATGCCCTAGGATCCTTAGGATATCTGAGCAACCAGGGACTTTAAGATCTAATCCAATGTCCTAACTTTACTAGGGAAAGTGACGCTCAGACATGACTGAGATGTCTTGGGGAAGACCTCCCTGCACCCAACTCCCCCACTGGTTCTTCTACCATTACACACTGGGCTAAATAAACCCTAATAATGATGTGCAAACTCTTAATGGCTGAATGGGAAAGGAAACTGCCCAAGTTTGACTAATTGCTTGGCCTGTGAATGGAAAAGACTCTGGTCTAAATTTTGTGCTGTATGATCTCCTGTCTCTCGTCAGTGGGGAAATGGCTTCCTTCCCTGGTCAGAACACTACAATGCAGTTTGATTCAAGGGACGCTGAAAAGTCTTCTTCAGAAGTATTTTTTGCTTATCTCATGATGCCTCCAAGTATAGATTCATTTGCTTGAGTCAAGGAAGCTCTTCTCCTTTCTGCTCTGCACCTTGTGAATATGTGACATGATGCGAAAGCATATGATAGGGCGGGGGTGGTGTTAGATTAATGATAAGTTAAAAGAGACCCAGGACAAATGGTGTGTTAGAAATGGCACTGGAAAGAAATAGGAATAAGGACAGAAATGGAAATAGACACCAAGTCTGTTCCCTGGCAGGACAAAGGATTTTCAAGCACCAGAAGACCTTTACAGACATCAGTCTTATCAGAGCTGGCTGTCTCTTAACTAGGTGGTCATCTGGTAGCACTGTTTCCTTTGGTCTAAACTCTGGAGCCCGGGAAGGGCCCCATGGAGAAATGAACTGAGGGGAGGGAAAAGGGAATGGTAAGGGAATGGCCATGGTCAAGTATAAATGAAAGCTAGTCCAGGCTAGGGCTGAAAGAGCCTTTAAGGACTTGCCAGAATTTCTTCTGAAACTGTTCAATTTGAAAATATAGTCATTCCTCCATACCCATGGGTTCTGTATCCACAGATTTAAGCAAGCGTGGATCAAAAATATTAGAAAAAAAGAAACATTAGATATTTCTTTAAATATTAGAAAAAAATGGTTATGTCTGTACTTAACATGTACAGAGTTTTTCCTTGTCATTATTCCCTATACAATACAGTATAACAACTATATAACATTTATATTGTATTAGGTATTTTAAGTAATCTAGAGATGATTTAAAGTGTATGAGGAGATGTGTGGTTATATGCAAATACTACACCATTTTATAAAAGGGACTTGAGCATCCATGGATTTTGTTATCTACAGGGGGTTCTAGAACTAATACTCCACAGATACTGAGGGATGTATGTATTTGCCCATATTGGGATGAAATGCTCAGTAACCCAGTCTTGTTACAATCACAAATAGCTAGGCATAAAGAGGTTTTCACCATCTGGAGGGGCCCTAAGCTTAGCCTAAGCACCTCAGGAAGAAGGACAAGCGGTGTGCCCTGGGCTCCAATTTGCCCACCAATCAACTAATGACTAGGGACTGCCTGCTGGGGAGTGGAGAGGTGGCAGAAAAAAGGGCAGAATAAAGACTAAAAAGAACCCTCTGGAAAAACTCACCATGGTCTAAATATATTTAGAGCTTTTTAGAACATGACAGAAGTAAAAAGTGTATTTTTACTTTTGAGTACAAAGGAAAATACTAAGAAAGATAACAATCAATTGAGTGGTGAGGAAGAGGAAATACAAAAATCCCATCATTGATCATGATAGGAAGTCTACGAATACCAACCAAAGTCATAGTTGTAAAAGTAACTTCTAAGATGAAAATACTGCCATTCAAAATTTTAGAGTAAGAAACACATGCAATATAAAGCAAAGCAAATGCAGGCAACATGGTGAGATGACCTCCTTATATCAGAACCTTTGGAATTCAGTTAAAGAAGTGCTCAGAGGAAAATTCACACTCTTAACACTTAAGCATCTTACTCAGTTAATTTTAAAAGAGAAAGACAATATAATACATAAAAGAACGGATTCTTTAAAATAAAATGAAATTAAAGAGACACTGTTAGGCAACTTAAGAAGAGTGAAATAAAAAATGACAAAGGAGAAATAACACAAAGACAATGAAAAAAATAATGAGAGTATTTTGTGCCAAAGCTGGGAGTACTGATGGAATGGGAATGATGACAAAGGGACCTGAAATAACTTTTTTGGTTGAAATGTTCTCTATCATGATTGTGCTAGTGATTACATAGGTATCTATATTTGTCAAAAACCTATCACTAAAACGGGTGCATTTCCCTATATGTAAATACTATTTTGATAAAGTTGGCCTAAAAAATAGTTGAAAGACTGTTGAGGAATAGTTAAAATAATTTTAGAGAGAAAAGAGCCCTTTAAAGAATGAACCAAACTCAGAAGCCATAAAAGAACTCACACATTAAAACTGATACATGGCAGAGTAAGAACCTCTGAAAATTCTCTCCTCCAAAAAGCAACAAGGCCGGGCATGGTGGCTCACACCTGTAATCCCAGCACTTTGGGAGGCTGGGGCAGGTGGATCACCTGAGGTCAGGAGTTCGAGACCAGCCTGGCCAATATGGTGAAATCCCATCTCTACTAAAAATACAAAAATTAGCCAGGTGTGGTGGTACATGCCTGTAATCCCAGCTATTCAGGAGGCTGAGGCAGGAGAATTGCTTGAACCCGGGCAGTGGAGGTTGCAGTGAGCCGAGATTGTGCCACTGCACTCCAGCCTGGGTGACAGAGCAAGACTCTCTCTCAAAAAGAAAAGAAAAAAGAAAAAAGCAACAAGAAACAAGAAAACTGGCAAATATATTCAGAATCAACTTTTTCAGAACTCTGGAAATTAACCAAAGACTTGCATCAATAGAGGGAATGTTTACTTAAGAAAAATGTCTTTCTCCCCATCTATCCGATTTAAAAGAGAACTTCATAGAGTAACAATTATAAATCTAAAGTTAAAATTATCTGTTTAACACAACAGAAGGTAGTTGATGAAGAGAGGAAAAAAGACATAAGACAAATAGAAAACAAATAAAATGGCAGGCATACATCTAACTTTATAGTAATTACATTAAGTGTAAATGGATGAAACAGAATTAAAAGGCAGAAATTGGCAGAATGGATTAAAAACACATGATCCAACTATATGCTGCCTATAGGAGAAAAACTTCAGATTAAAAAACACAAGTTGGTTGAAAGTGAAAGAATGTAAAAACATATACCATGAAAACTAGCTAAAGAGAGCTGGAATGACTATACAAATATCAGGCAAAATAGAGTTAAGACTAAAATTGTCACTAGAGACAAAAAGGATATCTTATAATGATAAGAAGGTCAATCCATCAAGAAGATACTACAATTATAAATATATATGCACCTAACTATAGGGTTTCAAAAAATGTGAGGCAAAAACTGACAGAATTAAATGAAGAAATAGAAAATTAAACCATAATAGTTGGAGACTTCAAAATCTCACTTTCAAAAATGGATAGAACAAGTAGACAGAAAATCAGCAAGGAAACAGTAGACATAAACAACTCAATAAATCAACTAGACCTAACAGACATTTATAAAACACTCCACCCAACAGCAGTAGAATACATATTCCTCTCATGTGTACATGCAGAATTCTCTAGGATACACTATATATTAGACCATAAACAAGTATCCATAAATTTAAAAGGATTGAAATTAGACAAAAATATGTTCTTTTACCATAATGGAATAAAATTAGAAATTAGTAACAGGGGTAAATTTTGGAAATGCATAAATATGTAGAAATTAAACAACATACTTCTAAATGACAGCTGTGTTAACGAAGAAATTACAAGGGAAATTAGAAACACTTTGAGATAAATAAAAATATAAACACAATATACCAAAATTTATGGGATGCAGCAAAATCAGTGCTTAGAATGAAACTTATAGCTTTAATCACTTACATTAAAGAAGATCTCAAAGCAGCAACCTAATCTTTTACCTGAAGCAACTAGACAGAAGAGCAAGCTAAAATCAAAGCAAGCAGAAGGAAGAAAGTAATAAAAATTAGAACAGAAATGAATGAAATGAAATAGAGAACAGAAAAATAATAGAGAAAAATCAACAACACCAAGAGTTGGTTCTTTGAAAAGATCAACAAAATCGATAAACCTTTTTTTAGCTAGACTAGCCAAGAAAAAAAAAAAAAGACTCAAATCAGTAAAATAAAGAATGAAATTGGAGGGAGAACTACTGGCATTAAGAAATCAAAAAGGATTATAAAGGAATACTATGAGCAATTGTATATCAACAAATTAAGATAACCTAGGTGAAATGAACAAATTCCTAGAAAGACACAAATTACTGAAATGGACTCAAGAAGAAATAAAAAATTGATCTATAGCAAGTAAAGAGGTTAAATTAGTAATTAAAAAAACTCACAACGAGAAGCCCAGGCCCAGATGGCTTCACTGGTGAATGCTACCAAATATTGAAAGAATTTTAAAACCTACCCTTTACAAATTCTTCTAAAAAACAAATGAGAAGGGAATTCTTCCTAACTCATTCTATGAGGCTAGTGTTACCTTAATCCAAAAAACAGACAAAGAAATCACAAGAAAACAAAAACAAAAACAAAAACACTACAGACCAACATCCTTTATCAATGGAGATGTAAAAATCTTCAACAAAATACTATCAAATATAATATAGTAACAAATAAAAAGTATTATACACCATGACAAAGTGGGATTTATCCCAGGAATGCAAAGTTGATTTCACATATAAAAATCAGTCAATATGATATTATACCATATTAATAGAACAAAGGACAAAAACCACATGGTCACCTCAACAGATGCCAAAAAAGCATTTGACAAAATCTGACACCATATCATGTCAAAAATACTCAACAAACTAGGAATAGAAGGGAATTTCCTCAAGATGATAAAGGCCATCTATCAAAAGCATACAGCACACTTAAAAGGTGAAAGACTGAAATCTTTCCCCCCAAGATTGGGAACAAGACAGGAATATTCACTCTTCACCACGTTTATTCAACATTGTACTAAAGGTTCTAAGAAAGAGAAATTAGGGAGGAAAAAGAAATAGAGGGATTCCAGATTAGAAAGAAAGAAAACCATCTATTTTTAGATGACATGATCTTGTATATATAAAATCCTAAGGAATCTAAAAAAAAACTTAGATCTAGTAAGTTCAGCAAAGTTTCAGGATGCAAAATCAATACACATTCTCTAACTTGTCTGAGAAAAAAAGAAAAATATATATACGCAAAAATCAGTTGTATTTCTATATATACTTGCAATGAATAATTCAAAAATGAAATTTAGAAAACAATTCCACTTATAATAGTACCAAGAAGAATATGATATTTAGGCATAAATATAACAAAAGAAGACTAATATTTATACATTAAAATGACAAAACATTATTGAAAGACATTAAAGAAGACCTAAATATATGGAAAAGATACCCCAGTTTCATGGATCAGAGGACTTAGTATTGTTAAGATGGCAACTCTTCCCAAATTATTCTATAGATTTGATGCAATCCCTATCAAAATTACAGTTGTCCTTTTGGCAGAAATTGATGAGCCAATCCTAAAATTCATATGTAAATGCAAGGGACCCAGAATAGCCAAAACAATTTTGCAGAAGAAGAGTAAAGTTGAAGGATTCACACTTCCTGATTGTAAAACTTACTATAAAGCTACAATAATCAAGACTGTATGGTACTGGCATAAGGATAGACATATAGACCAATAGAATAAATGGAGAGGCCAGAAATAAACCCATTCACTTAAGATCAACTGATTTTCAACAAGGGTGTCAAGACAATTAAATGAGTGAAAGAATATTTTTTTAAAAAACAAATGGTGCTAGGACAACTGGATAGCCACATGCAAAAGCATGATTTTGTAACATGACCTCACATGATATACAAAAATTATCTCAAAATAAATCAAAGACCTACATATAAAAGCTAAAACAAAAAAGTCAAAGAAGAAAACATGAGTAAATCTTTGTGACCTCAGATTAGTTGATAGTTTCTTAGATATGACACTTAAAGCACAAGGATCCAAACTAAAAAATAGATACACTGACTTCATCAAAACTAAAAACTTTCATTTTGCAAAATGATTCTGTCATGAAAGTGGAAAGACAACTCACAGAATTGGAGAAAATATTTGCAAATCAAATCCAATAAGGGTCCAGTATGCAGAATATATTTTTAAAACTCATAAAACGCAGCAATAAAAGGCAAAAACTCCAATTAAAAAATGGGCATATAATTTGAATAGACATTCTCCAAGAAGATATACTAGTGTCCAGTAAGCTCACGAAAAGATGCTCAACATCATTAGTTACTAAGGAAATATAAATCAAAATCATAAGATACCACTTCATACCCACTAGGATAGCTATAATAAAAAAGACAAACAAAAACAAGTGTTGGCTAGGCTGTGGAAAACTGGAAGCCTCAATCATTGCTGGTGAAAACGTAAAATGGTACAGAGGCTTTGGAGAACAGTTTGACAGTTCCTCAAAAAGTTAAACACGGACTTTCTGTATGACCTGACAATTCCTGGAAACGCCAAGATAGGTATATATGCAAGAGAATTGAAAGCCTATGTTCACACGAAAACTTGTACATGAATGTTTACCATAGCATTATTTATAACAATAGTTAAAAACTGGAAACAACCTAAATGTCCACCAACTGATGAACAGATAAACAAAATGTGGCATCATGTGCCACAATGTGGTACAATGGAATGTTACCTGGCCATAAAAAGTAACCCTACACCATAAATGAACCTTGAAAACATTATGCTAACTGAAAGAAAAGGCCATGTGTAATAATTCCATTTATATGAAATGTCCAGAATAGGCCAATCTTTAAAGACAGAAAATATATTAGTGGTTAACAAAGATTAGGGGAAGGGGAAATGGGGAGTGACTGCTAATGGGACCAGAGTTCCTTTTTGGGGTGATAAAAATGTTCTGGAATTAGATAATGGTGATGATTGTACAATCTTACAAATATACTATAAAGCACCGAATTGTATACCTTAAAAGGGTGAATTTTATCTTAATAAAAAAAGTGCCAAAAGGGAATGCCAAAAAAAAAAAAAAAAAAAGGATGAAGTAGTGCAGGGTGTTATTACCTATCACCACCATTTGTGGGAAAGAAGGATGCAGTAACTATATACTATTGCTTACATGTGCATAGTATAATTTTGCTAGGGTACACAAGGAAGTGGTAACACTGATTATCTCTGGGGAGGGCAACTGGTGTCTGGAAGACAGAGATGGGAAAGAGTTTTTCACTGTTACACACTTGTTTCTCTTGAATTTTGTACCACATAAATGTAACATCTACTTTTAAATATAAAAGCTGAACCAATAATAATAGCTACTAGTCACTGAGTGCTTACTATATGCCAGGTGCTTTATAGTCATTTAATCTTCACATTGACAGTCTTTTGTCCTATTTTTAGGACAAGAGGATATTTTAACTCCATCTAGAAAGGAAAAGGAAACTTTCTAGAAAGGAAAAGGAAAACTTCCTTTCAGAAAAGGAAACTGAGGCATATAGAAGATAAATTATATGCCCAAATGAATGCAGCTAATAAGCAGCAGAGTTAGAATTTCAACCCAGTCTATCTGGTTCCAGAGTCCTTGTCTGGACTGCTACTCTATATTACCTCCCAGAAATTTAAAGGAATGAGGAAGGAGGACAGAAAGTGGGTTAGAAGAAGAAAGAAAGGAAGGAAGGGGTAAGATGGGAGGAATGCAAGGGGGAAGATGAAGGGAATAGAGGGACAGGAAAAAGAAAGGTAGCAAGAGGGAGAAAAGTGGAAGGAGGAAATGTATAGATTAGATTGCATGATTTAAAGGGTAAGTACAGGCCTCCCTTTCATAAACTTCTCCCTTCCTGTCCTTAAAGTTCTGATCTTGGCCATTTGAAGAGAATAGTGAAGACTGGGTACAGGAAAGCCTAGTTCCCATGAAAGCCTGCATAGCCTAACATAATCTCTGGAATCAAATCTGACTTAGAAGCTCAGATCTACCATTTTGTGGCTGTGTTTGTTGGGGTAAACTCTTTCTAGCCTTCCATTTCTTCATCTGTAATATGGGATAATAATAGTACTTACCTCACAGAGTTGATAAAGGATTTAAACAATGTATTTCAAGCACAAGTAAGTAAATAACAAATTGCAGCTATCATAACATTAGCAAATTCACTCTATGGACACTAGATGATTGAGTTATAAAGTGTAAGAAATCAATGGGAAGATCATACTCAGCAGAAGAAACACCATCAAACAGATAAAGGCCAAAGATGGCAACTCCAAAGAGAAGAAAAAGGAAGAAAGCTAAAGTTAATACATACTCTGGCAACTTCACAATTTTACCTGGGAATGCCCAAATCACATAGCACAAAGGAGAAATGGATTCCCACAGCCCTTTGTACCTCTCAAAAGACTCCTTGACTTCTTAGGAGCCCATTACCATATCTGTGCCAAAAGAGGGCAACACCAAGGCACTGCACTACCAGCCTTCCTTAAGTAATGGCAATTTCTTTATTAGGGTCATAGTTTTTCATCTGCTAATGGATCTCACCTTATAAAAGATGGAATCAGTTCATCTTAAAGCCTTCCAGGCCTCCCGTCTACTCCTGGTTGTAACTTCTGGTAAAGTTGTGCTAATGACTTTTAAGAGTGAAAAAAAATCTAAGTGGCATGTTTTAGAAAAAAATAGTCTTTTATTTTGATAAACATGTAGATAGCAGTAACTATAAAGGCTAGTATACTTAATATGTACATTATATCTTTTAAAGGAGAATCTGGGGCATTTCCTTGTGTTATATACAATAACAGAATCATGGTCCCTTCAGGTTATTGTTCTTTTGTTTTAATACATACATCTTGAGTTTCTTCTGCATCCTTGTTCTCCTTGACATCAGCCACTCTGTCAAATCCTGAAAGAAGGAACACAAAGAATGTCACAAATACAAAGAATGTCCTCAGCAATTACAAAGTTAAATAGCAGCCATGGGAAAGAAGATTTGCAGGCCTCTGAGGAAAGGAACTATATTCTTTCCTCTCCTTTTCTTGCCTAATCTTATCATTCACCTTCATAGACATTACATTGTGACTTCTAAGACCTTTTTCTCTCCTTAGTGACCATCCAGTTACTTCAAGGAAACAACCCAACTGCTTTGGCTAAAAGCAAGGAAGAACTTTCTATGCCAAAGAGTTACCAATACTGAAACAAAGAGCTGAGAGAAGCTGAAGAAATTGCTGTTTAACAATAGAAGGGATTCCTATCTGTCCAGGCAGGGCCTAGCACTAGGAAGAGGATTATACTTACCTCTGGAGCAAGGACTAACTCCTTACATCTGTGTGTCCCTTTTTATTTCAGAGGTGCAGCCTTTGACTGCTTGTGAGTAAGAATCTGAGACTGTCTTTATGTCTCTCACACAAGGCTTCCAGGAAGAAATGCTTACTCTGTATTCCTAAGTTTCTTTTCTAAGAGTTATTTTCCTGCAGAAATTCTCCTTTTATCCAAATCCTGGTCAAGCAGGTGTCAAAAGGTCTGATGCTGTTAGTCAGGGACATCAATTCTCTCTTTTCACATCTCATTACAGAGGCCTTAAGCTCAGATACCCACTGGTGATAGACAGGGCAGGTCACACATTGAGAGAAGAACTCCTTACAGTACTGAAAGGAAAGGAAGGTCCATTAGCTCTGGGATTAGTGCTTCATTCTCCTAACATGCTACTTCATCAGAACTTACAAAGGTCCTCATTCAGCATATTCACTCATGGCTGGGGGAACAGGAAGGAGTTACTGATGGCAAAATAAGCCTGGAAAACAGAGGAATTGGAATGTGTTTTAGACTCAGAAGGGCTGGAGGGAGCTGTATCAAATTATAGACTGAACCATAGACTACAGGTCCATTGAGCAAGGCTAAATGTTAATATTTTAATGATACTGGGTAGCAGCTGGCAAAGGTGGAAAGTTAAGAAACCCAGTCCAGAACTAGATGCAATAATATCGGGAAGGATACATAAGGTAGGTAGAAACTTTCTAGGTGGAGAAACAAAGGATTCAAAGAGTAAAGGGAAACAGAGCCAGTAAAAGGGAAAAAAGGAAGAGATGCAGGTGGTAGAAAGAGCACCATAGGGTAGAACTAAGTGAATCAGGTGTTAGTCAAAGGACAGCTGAGAAACAGGTACCTCAAGGGTTTGGCTGTGAAGCTCTAGAGGAATATGCATGAAGATACCCTCTGGCATTTTCTGTAACATTAACACATGGCATTCTAGGAATCGGACAAAGCCATGTGCACCAAATAGCGAGGCATTGGTTCTTTTCACCAACTGCAAGCGTTGGAGAAATAGTGCTTAAACAGGTCCCACTGTGATTCCTGGGCAAACCTGGAGGAAAAGAGTAACAGCTTGCAGCAATATCCGCTGCTTACCCACCATGACTTTTGCTTAAAATCATCACTTCTTTAAGGCTCTAAGACCTCATGGACAATCAGAATTGTGATGCTAGAAAGTGACCAAGGCTACTAACTCACATACAAGGAAACTTAAAAGGAGACCAATTATATTCAGCCTTGCTATGGGTTACTCTAGCAGTTAAATGTAACCCTAAACGTAACCCTTGACCTATAGGCCAAAACCTGTTAAAGGACAAGAGCCCTTCTAATAAGATGGGAGGGTATGGGAGGTGAATGGTCTTTAAAAGTTGGTTAGAGAGGTTCAAAAGTCCTGTCTGGTGGGGAGAGACAGCTTAAATGACATAAATGTCTATCCTTTTCCACAGCCCTTGAGTAAGACATTACCACATGGCCAGGGAGGAGTGGACCCCCAGCATGACATTGCTCTGAGAGGTTAGAACACGGCTGTGCTCGTAGACTTGAACGAAACGCAGACACTCACTAAAGGGCCGACACAGCAATCCTGTGGACAGAGAAGGTAACCACGCTAGTATATAATATCAGTGTAGGAACCAGGGTATAGAAGGTATGTGATACAGGGAAGGAAAAAAGACCCCAAAGGCAGACACCCCTGAATCACAACATGGTTCCCAGACTTTAAGGAGCCAGAGGTCAGGGGCAGAGGCCATGCCTGAGGGACAGGTTCATGACTGCCTGTATTCCAAACCTAGAGCCCCATCTGAGGTCTGAATCCCTCAGGAGTACAGCAGAGACCTGCGCAAGATTTACCTTTTCCATAGAGCAGCAGATCTAAGCAAGCAGAGTAAAAGCAGGCCAGGCCAAGGACATCATAACTCTGAGAAATGAGCGCCCACTGACTCTCCAGTACATGGACACACAGACCAAATCTGCCGAGAGAGAGAGCCACTGGGACCAGCTAGGGAGTGAGGAGGATGGGTAGGAAAGGAAGGGGTCTTACACCTTCAAAGCAGCCTAACATCCTTTAAATCTCTTCATAGCTCTATTTATAAAGAGAATATCTAAGCCTGGGATCAGACCCATCTCTAGGCAAAGGAGGTGGGAGATTGCCTCTGAGGCAGTTTCCAGAGTCTTCAGCTGCTGCAATTCTCTATCTCCCTGCAGATTTTTTTTTGAAGAAACTTTGTCCATGAGACCCAAGTACTGAGGAATATATAGTAGCTCTGACTCTGCATTTCCACTCCTGACTCTTCCACACTTAAGATAATGTGTCTGGAGTGGCCAAGGGAAGGATATCCCAGGGTGTGGAAATGGAACAGCATCTCCCTCTCCACTCCAAACTTCTCTGGGAAAATATACACACCCCTCTTAGGAAACAAATACAAATGACAGAAAATGATCTTAATACTTCTTCAGAAATGCAGATCTGAAGAGAACTGAGAGAATCAGATTCTCCAGAGCTGGTTTCTGGAGGTGTCTGCATATCTCACGAGCTTGAAAACCTGAGGAGGTTTAAGAGCACCATGTGAGGTCTAGCTGTGAACATGTACTCTCTAAAAGCCCTAGACCCACCATCCCTAAGTCCCATTACCCAGCTTGATGGAGAAGTCAAGATGACCAAGGCAGAGCTTGGTGTAGGCCAGGGCCTGCATGAGCTGAGCTGTGGCCAACAACCCCTCCCTGGAGAACCAACATAAACTGCTTTTCTGAATGGCCATCTGCTCACAGTGCAGCCACTTGTCCTTGATGCCCACACTCTGGGAGAACTGAGAGAGCTCCACATAGGTAGAGACAACATGCAGGGAAACAAACACAGGGCAAAATATTCCCATTGTATATTCATGTGACATTTCCATTTTGATCCTTTCCTATGTAAGAGCCTATTATGGTGCCCTGCTGCTCACCCAGTCTAAACTCCTGGTATCCCACCACTTGCCTCCAACCCAGCTAGAAAAACATGCTCCTTCTCACCCCTACACTTCTAATTGGATCATTCTCACTGCATGTTCTTTAAACAAACCACTTTCTCTACATGCTCCTGCTTTTCCTCTCCAATCCATGACTTTCCCTTTCAAAACACTGATTAAACTCCCTCTTCTTTGTTTTCTAATTTAAGACCTCTGATATTTGCTCCATAGAGCTCTTCAGGGCTGCTGCCTAGATCTCTCTATATAACTATGTGCACATTTGAAATAGTTAGTGCTCTATATAACTATGTGCACACTTGAAATAGTGCTCTCTTCTTGGAACACTGTCTTCCCTAACTTTCCAGGATGCCATGCTCTCTTGGTTTTCCTCCTATCTCCCTGGCAACTTATTCTGTTTCTTTTGCTGGTTTCTCCTTACCACTCTGACCTTTTAACACTGGAGCTGTTAACAAAGTTCCTGGACTTTTTCTCCTTTCTATACTCATTCCCTTGGTGTTCTCACCCAGTCCTGTGGCTTTAAACAGTATTTGCACACTGATGGTTCCCATATGTCTATTTCCAGCTCAGACCTCTCCCATGAACCCCAGACTTGAGTATTCACCTGGACTCATATTCACCAGACTTGTCTCCACCTTGATGTCTAATGGGCATCTCAAATAAAACATGTCTAAAGCCTAGCTCCCAAATCTTCCCCCAAATCTGTTCCTCCTGCAGACTTCCCTATCCCAATTAAGAGCATCTCTGTCCCTCTAGAAGTTCGGGTCACAACTTTTCAGATTATCCTTGACTCTTTTCTTTCCCTCACATCCCAGAACTGATCCATAAGTGAATCCTGTTGGCTCTATTTTGACAAAAGACCACCCCCAACTTTTTTTTCCCTACCACAATAATCCAAGCCATCACCATCTCTTGCTTAGATTACTGCATTAGCCTCCTAACTGGTCTCCCTGCTTCCTCCCTTGTCCCCTTCAGGTTACTTTCAACACAGTAGACAGAATGATCTTATTAAAATGTAAGTAGATACTGTCACCCCTCTTCTCAGAACCCATTAATGGCTTCCCATCTCTTTCAGAGTAAAAGCCAAAACTCCTACAGTGGCCTAAGGTCTGCACCGTTTGCCATCCCACCCCTTCCTGGTCCTTCTGACCTCATCTCTTGGTTCACTCTCCTCCTCTTCCTCCCCTCCAGTCACACTGTCCTTCAAACACAGAGTGTATGCCTTGGGCATTCACTGTGCCCTCTGCCTGGATACTCTACTCCCAGACAGCCTGGCTTTCTTGCCTCTTTCAGATATTTACTCCAATGTCACCTGCTCAGCAAAGCTTTCTCTGACCACCTTGTTCAAAACTATACCCCACCCCTCACCTCACAGAACCCCATATCCCCTTGCCTCCACTTTATTTTTCTCCACTGCATTGATTATCACCTAACATACTCTATATTTTACTTATTATATTTCCCTGGAGTCAAGATCAGTGCCTGGCTTATAATAGGTGTTCACCAAATAGTTCATTGTTGAATATGTGGATAAGACAGAGAGAAAGATAAGACACTAAAATGAGGAAGACACATTTCCTTTTGTTTTTTCCTAGGTCAGCAGTTTTAAATCTTTTTTAGATAACAGGCTTCTTTGAGAATCTGATGAGAGCTATGACCCCTTTTCTTCCTCCTGCCAACCCCCAAAGGTTCTTTTGAATATACACATAAAATTCTGCATTCAGTTCAGGGAGTTCGCAGATAATCTCATACCTGGAAACCCATCTATAAACTGCAAATTGAGAAACCTCGCTTGAACAGTGTTGTCTGGGTTATTGGAGAATCATGCTAAAACCAGGAACTTGGTTTCTGAGTGAGGTCCAAAGGTAAAGCAAGGACTTGCTTACCTGGGCTTCATTTGCAAACTCATCAGCTGAATTCTTCTGCATAAGAGTAGCCAGGCAGGCAAACCTGTAGCTACTGGCTGTGGCCTCCAGGTTATAGAGCTGCCAGAGTAGGGAGAGGCAATGCACCTGCTGCTGCAGGACTGCCAAATTCTTCTTACTGTTGTGAGGCACAGGGTGGTTAGCACACCCTTATTCTTTACTAATGCCCAACGTTCCCTCCCTATAAGAGCTCCAATCTACTCATCATGGGGCCATCTACAGATGTTCAAATTCAGAAATAGTCCTTGGATCCCACTACTCCTAACCTCATATGCCATTTTGATTAATCCCACTTGATCGGGAAAAGTTCAGAGAGAGGTTTCAAAAAAAGATTCATTCTTTGAATCCCTATTTGCTACATGTAACTGGCTGGGGGAGTAAGGTGGAAGAGTTAGAACTGTATGTTATACACTTATCTGTTACATGCATATATATATGTATGCTGACTGTTACATGTCTTGTTATCTGCTTGTCTGTTAGATGCTTGAAGATTACTTGATAGAAAAAGAGTAGTTTTAGGTCAAAAAGGCAAAGCTCAGGCTAGTTAACTACAGTTTTAGGAAGACTTCTCACTTCTCACTAGGGTCGTTTGGAGGTTGGCTCAGGGTACAGGAATGCCAATACTTTTCCAGGAATGTCTGGAAAAGGACACCAAACCAGGTCCAAGGGAAATTCCTTTTCAGCAGTCGAAGGGCTTTCCTAGCCAATTTTTTGGCTAAAGTGATACGTCCCATGTTGAAACAGACCTGGAGATGGGAAAAGAAGAATTAATGTAAATATAAGGTTTTGGATATAACACACTGGCTCTTTCATTTTGAGATGTGTAGTTGGGGTTACTGAGGTGCTAGAGTGAGCTGAGCTAGAGCATAGCCTGGTTAGCAGTCACCCTAACAAGCACCAGTATGGCCATAAGTGAGTAAAGGGTTTAGAAAATAGGATTATGGAGAAAGTATCCTCCCTTCTCATCTCCCACACATTTGTCAGTGGGCAGTAGAGGAAGGCTGTGATTTAAAATGTGATGCTGCTAGACTGAGAAGGGATCGTCATTTGAGTGGAGACTCAGATGCTCTCACATGACATAGAAAGCATCTATAATATCACCAAATCCTTTATCTCTCTTCCTAAACAGGTTGAATCATAGTAGATGTGGGGTGGGAGCTGGGGAACTACCTTGAAGTTATCCTGTATCTTCACATTCTAAGGCTGAATCCCTCAAGAAAGTGATAAAGTCTACGTGATTCTAGAACAAAGAACAATCTTGGGAGGACTGTACAATAACTTTCTCTTATAAAGGGAAAGAATAATTATTTAACTTTGCTCTGAAGACCTCTTGGTTGAAGCATAAATAATGCAACAATGTGACAACTCTAATATTCCCTTTGGCCTTCAAGACATTATGTACATTAAGTTTACTCTCCTAACCCAATTATCTTAAGGTTTACATTAAAATTAGTTTACATATACTCCAATGAGCAAATTAGTTTATATCTACTTCAATGAATAAGAATGGATAATTTACAAAAAATACAAATGACCAATAAACTTAGAAGAATGATGTATCTTATTAATTAAGAGAAACACATTAAAACAATATAACTTTATCTAGGAATTAGCAAGGTTAGAAAAGACTGGTAGTATCTGATCTTAGTAAGGATATGAGGAAATGGAAAAAACTTGAATTGATATAATATTTTTGGCTGGCAATTTGGTAGTGTATTTGTGAATTTTAAAATTGTGTCTTAGCATTGCCACCTTTGGAAATTTCTCTTACAGAAACACTCTCACAAGGGGAGAAAGAGATACTTAAGAAGAATATTCACTGTAGCAATGTTTATAATAATCCCCAAATTAGAGATAACCTAAATGCACCTGAAGAAGGGAAGAGCTAAGCTATGATCTAGCCAATGGAATACTTGGCAGTTGTAACTATGTGGTGGATCAGTATGCATACCAAAATGTAAATATGTTCCGTCTGTACTATTAAGAATAAAAGCAAGCTGCAGGAGCAAGAAAATGTAGAATATGAGCCTATAAAAAAATGGAAAACAATGATATGGCTGTTTGTATACAGTTGGTGGAACATGCACACAATTACTAATTATGGTGGTGGGTGTAGGATTAGTGGGAGCTCTTTCACTTTCTACCTATTACATATTTCTATATTTTAAATGTATATAAACGTTTTATCACATTATCACATTTATAATCATACACAAAAAACAATGAAAAGATTTTAAAAGAAATAATAGGGTAACCCTCAAGGAGAAATAGCCGGCACTTCAAGGTCACTCCCTGCCCTCACCTCTGACAGAAGACGGCAGAAAGTGGCCTCCTCAAACTGACAGATCTTCACCTTCTGTTTTTTCAAAAATGAAAATGCTGAGGGTTGGCCCAGAAGACTGCTTGCCTTCCTCAAATAAAAGAAGGCCTCCAAACAGGGCAAGGGATAAAGAAACCAGATTAGGATTAGGATGATGCTGGGGTGAGATTAGGGCAAAGGCTGGAGTAAGGTTATGATGAGGGTCAAGATCAGAATTTGAAACAGATTTGGATTTCAAGCTAGAAACGGGAGCTGGACTGCTTGTGCAAGAGTCAGGGGCAGTGCTGGCACAGGTTGGTGCTATTCCATTACCACATTCCCACTGCATGTTTTTTCCTAAATCCTTTCTAGCTCTTCTCTCTCTCCTACTTTCTTCCACTTTTCACTCATGGTTATGATTGTAAGAGATCTCAATCACATTCTCAAAGTAAAAGGCTCAGCTGAAGGGCAGATTACAGAGCCTGCTCACCATATAATTATCTGACAGGTCCAAGCAGGCAGCCGCAGCCTCCAGCAGGTAATAAAATGCACAGGTGGTTTCTCCAACGACCAAGCAATGCTGGGTGAGGGGTAAGAGCACTAACTTCAGGATATCCTTACAGTGACAAGGCTTTGTGGTCAACAGGTCTTTCTCAGGGCTGGTCTGAGCCAGCTTCCTCTTCACTTGATCTAGGAACTCTTCCTCTGTTCTTTGTGGAAAGAAAATGAAAAACTGAGAGTGGCCACCTTTACTGGGGCATTACCGGGTCTCAAAGTCACTTTTTCCAGGAAGTCTTCCTGTATCATTCATTAATTATTTGCCTATCCTTCTCCTCCATTACTCCATAAAATTTTAAAAGTCAGGGACTACAGCTGTAACTGCAAAGCTCTATTAGGAATTTTTAAAAGCTGAAAGCCAATCTAAATACCTCAATCTAAATGGGGAAATACCACACTTGAATAGTTAAATAACAACTAAATATTAAATAAAACATAAAAATGATACAAAGCAATAATAATACATTTTTTCTGTTAGCATTTTTGAATTTTCTAATACCACATTTTAATATTATTTTATATATCATCATCTAATCCTACAACAACCCTGTCATTCAGGCAGGCAAAAATTACCTCTTTTAGGTCATTGAGGCTCAGAGAGATTACATATAGCTTCGTAGCTATTGAGAAGCCAAACCAAAACTAGAGCTTACCACTCTGACTACTGATCTAGTGTACTTTTCACAGGCACGCTGAGCTCAAAAGTCAGATCTCTCTGAGTTATAATGATCTAAAAAAGTGGAGACTGAGGAGGGCCTTGAAGGATGGTCAACATATTAATAGGTAGAGAGATGTGGAGGTCACTCAGCATTTAACAAGGGAGAATTGTGTGAGCAAAGACACACAGGTTAGTGTGGGAGTGGTTCATGTGGAATAGATTTTTGTTTGAAAACAATAAGAAATCAAGTTAGATAAGTGGGATGGAAAACTGTATATAGAGTGGCTGGTGAACTCCAGGTAGGGACATTGAACACTGATAAGCATTAGAGACCCAGGAGGTACATGGTTAGGAAATGTATATTCATTTTAATATCATCTGGGCTAAAATAATTAACAAGACAAATTTATAGCTGGAAATAAATATGCTACATATAAAATGCACTTAAAAGCTATTAAAATGCTGGGTGTGATGGCTCACGCCTATAATCCCAGCACTTTGGGAGGCTGAAGCTGGCGGATCACCTGAGGTCAGGAGTTTGAGGTCAGCCTGGCCAACACGGTGAAACCTCATGTATACGAAAAATACAAAAATTAGCCAGGCGTGGTGGCATATGCCTGTAATTCTAGCTACTTGGGAGGCTGAGGCAGGAGAATTGCTTGAACCTGGGAGGTGGAGGTTGTAGTGAGCCGAGATGGTGCCACTGCACTCCAGCCCGGGTGACAGAGGGAGACTCCATCTCAAAAAAAAAGGTATTTTAAAAAAGTTTTTCTCAACCATTATCCTTGATGAACATTGATGCAAAAATCCTCAATAAAATACTGGCAAACCGAATCCAGCAGCACATCAAAAAGCTTATCCACCATGATCAAGTGGGCTTCATCCCTGGGATGCAAGGCTGGTTCAATATACACAAATCAATAAATGTAATCCAGCATATAAACAGAACCAAAGACAAAAACCACATGATTATCTCAATAGATGCAGAAAAGGCCTTTGACAAAATTCAACAACCCTTCATGCTAAAAACTCTCAGTAAATTAGGTATTGATGGGACGTATCTCAAAATAATAAGAGCTATCTATGACAAACCCACAGCCAATATCATACTGAATGGGCAAAAACTGGAAGCATTCCCTTTGAAAACTGGCACAAGACAGGGATGCCCTCTCTCACCACTCCTATTCAACATAGTGTTGGAAGTTCTGGCCAGGGCAATTAGGCAGGAGAAGGAAATAAAGGGTATTCAATTAGGAAAAGAGGAAGTCAAATTGTCCCTGTTTGCAGATGACATGATTGTATATCTAGAAAACCCCATTGTCTCAGCCCAAAATCTCCTTAAGCTGATAAGCAACTTCAGCAAAGTCTCAGGATACAAAATCAATGTACAAAAATCACAAGCATTCTTATACACCAATAACAGACAAAGAGCCAAATCATGAGTGAACTCCCATTCACAATTGCTTCAAAGAGAATAAAATACCTAGGAATCCAACTTACAAGGGACGTGAAGGACCTCTTCAAGGAGAACTACAAACCACTACTCAATGAAATAAAAGAGGATACAAACAAATGGAAGAACATTCCATGCTCATGGGTAGGAAGAATCAATGTCGTGAAAATGGCCATACTGCCCAAGGTAATTTATAGATTCAATGCCATCCCCATCAAGCTACCAATGACCTTCTTCACAGAATTGGAAAAAACTACTTTAAAGTTCATATGGCACCAAAAAAGAGCCTGCATTGCCAAGTCAAACCTAAGCCAAAAGAACAAAGCTGGAGGCATCACGCTACCTGACTTCAAACTATACTACAAGGCTACAGTAACCAAAACAGCAAGGTACTGGTACCAAAACAGAGATACAGATCAATGGAACAGAACAGAGCCCTCAGAAATAACGCCGCATATCTACAACTATCTGATCTTTGACAAACCTGAGAAAAACAAGCAATGGGGAAAGGATTCCCTATTTAATAAATGGTGCTGGGAAAACTGGCTAGCCACATGTAGAAAGCTGAAACTGGATCCCTTCTTTATACCTTATACAAAAATTAATTCAAGATGGATTAAAGACTTAAATGTTAGACCTAAAACCATAAAAACCCTAGAAGAAAACCTAGGCATTACCATTCAGGACATAGGCATGGGCAAGCACTTCATATCTAAAACACCAAAAGCAATGGCAACAAAAGCCAAAACTGACAAATGGGATCTAATTAAACTAAAGAGCTTCTGCACAGCAAAAGAAACTACCATCAGAATGAACAGGCAACCTACAAAATGGGAGAAAATTTTCGCAACCTACTTATCTGACAAAGGGCTAATACCCAGAATCTACAATGAACTCAAACAAATTTACAAGAAAAAAAGCAAACAACCCCATCAAAAAGTGGGCGAAGGACATGAACAGACACTTCTCAAAAGAAGATATTTATGCAGCCAAAAAACACATGAAAAAATGCTTACCATCACTGGCCATCAGAGAAATGCAAATCAAAACCACAATGAGATACCATCTCACACCAGTTAGAATGGCAATCATTAAAAAGTCAGGAAACAACAGGTGCTGGAGAGGATGTGGAGAAATAGGAACATTTTACACTGTTGGTGGGACTGTAAACTAGTTCAACCATTGTGGAAGTCAGTGTGGCGATTCCTCAGGGATCTAGAACTAGAAATACCATTTGACCCAGCCATCCCATTACTGGGTATATACCCAAAGGACTATAAATCATGCTGCTATAAAGACACATGCACATGTATGTTTATTGTGGCACTATTCACAATAGCAAAGACTTGGAACTAACCCAAATGTCCAACAATGATAGACTGGATTAAGAAAATGTGGCACATATACACCATGGAATACTATGCAGCCATAAAAAATGATGAGTTCATGTCCTTTGTAGGGACATGGATGAAATTGGAAACCATCATTCTCAGTAAACTATCGCAAGAACAAAAAACCAAACACCGCATATTCTCACTCATAGGTGGGAATTGAACAATGAGATCACTTGGACACAGGAAGGGGAATATCACACTCTGGGGACTGTGGTGGGGTCGGGGGAGGGGGGAGGGATAGCATTGGGAGATATACCTAATGCTAGATGACACGTTAGTGGGTGCAGCGCACCAGCATGGCACATGTATACATATGTAACTAACCTGCACAATGTGCACATGTACACTAAAACTTAGAGTATAATAAAAAAAAAAATTAAAAAAAATAAAAAAATAAAAAAAAATAAAAAAAAAAAAAGAAAATGTGGCACATATACACCATGGAATACTATGCAGCCATAAAAATGATGAGTTAATGTCCTTTGTAGGGACATGGATGAAATTGGAAATCATCATTCTCAGTAGACTACTGCAAGAACAAAAAACCAAACACCGCATATTCTCACTTATAGGTGGGAATTGAACAATGAGAACACATGGACACAGGAAGGGGAACATCACACTCTGGGGACTGTTGTGGGGTGGGGGGAGGGGGGAGGGGGGAGGGATAGCTTTAGGAGATATACCTAATGCTAAATGACGAGTTAATGGGTGCAGCACGCCAGCATGGCACATGTATACATATGTAACTAACCTGCACATTGTGCACGTGTACCCTAAAACTTAAAGTACAATAATAATAAAATAAAATAAAATAAAATAAAATAAAAAGAAATAATTTCCCGCCGGGTGTGGTGGCTCATGCCTGCAATCCCAGCACTTTGGGAGGCTGAGGTGGGCTGATCATGAGGTCAGGAGATGGAGACCATCCTAGCTAACACGGTGAAACCCCATCTCTACTAAAAATACAAAAATTAGCAAAGTGTGGTGGCACATGCCTGTAATCCCAGCTACTCAGGAGGCTGAGGCAGGGGAATCACTTGAATCCGGGAGGCGGAGGTTGCAGTGAGCCAAGATCATGCCATTGCACTCCAGCCTGGGCAACAGAGAGAGACTCCATCTCAAAAAAAAAAAAAAAAAAGAAAGAAAAAAAAAGAAATAATTTCCCTATAGAGAATCAAAAATTGCCTTTCCAAATCTTCTCTGTTAACCTTAATACTGAGTACAAGAGTCACCACTCCTCATCTGCAAGTGACATAAGTGGCTCAGTTTAATGGTCATCTTTCTGTCACTTTTGGTCCCTCCATGTTCACCCTCAGCATCTCTGTCTACCTGCAGCATTCACTTGAGAAGGCCTCCTGAGTTCTGGATGGTTTTGTCTGGAACTGAAAACTATCTGTAGGGAGAAAAAAATATGATTAATTCTCCATGTTTGGATGAACTGAGGACATTTTAAATTCCTGACTACCTTTCTTCTGCAGTTTACAACACAAAATTAGGATGGTAGTTTGTAAATTCCTTCACAACTACTTGTGATTCAAATAATAACTCTCTTCATTCCCAAACCTTTAAACTAGTTCTGATTTTGAAGGAGGTGCTCAGTAGTTTCAAAATGAAGGAAAAATAAAGAATGTGTCTATCCTGGTTTGCTGGCTATCACTAATAGTGGAAATCCTTGAATACATATGGATCAATTTCATGACCAGATCGGAGTGAAGTGTAAAGGCTAAAACCAAGTGAAGAAAATTGTGACAGTATAAGATACCACAGTTCCCTAGTCAGTGACCAAGAGAGCTTTCCAGCTTTACCTAGCAGGCTTTTAATTAGCCTTTATCCTAAAGATTTGACTCTTCTTCTAAAGCTGCCTTCTAATAGATCACAACAGCAAATATTAGGAATGATGTTCAGATGTTACCCATTGGAACTCACAGCATGGATGGTGGGATTGATAAGGAGTCTAAGAGGACTGTTTTAGGGAGGATTTGGGTTAAGTAAAAGGACTGGCTTGCTGATGATAATAATGTTAAATCACAGCTAAGATAACTGAGGATATTGGCAGCTCTACTGCAGTACATAACTCCAAGAGGCACCATCATATCATAGCCTCTGTAACAGTACCCTCTGGAATCAGGCAGTGCCTGGTCTGCAATGGCAATGCACAAAGGCCTTGGGTCTGGGAAGCCTCCTTAAGGTTCTGCTGGGCTGAGAAGGTCTTGAGCCTTTTTACTATAGATGGACCAGGCTGTCTAATCCAAAGCAAAATAAATAAATAAATAAATAAACAAAACTGACCTCTTTTTATTTATTTATTTATTAATTTTTTTGAGACAGAGTCTTGCTCTGTAGCCCAGGATGGAGTGCAGAGGCGCGATCTTGGCTTACTGTAAACTCTGCCTCCCAGGTTCACACCATTCTCCTGCCTCAGCCTCCCGAGTAGCTGGGACTACAGGTGCCTGCCACCACGCTCGGCTAATTTTTTGTATTTTTAGTAGTGATGGGGTTTCACCGTGTTAGCCAGAATGGTCTCGATTTCCTGACCTTGTTATCTGCCTGCCTTGGCCTCCCAAAGTGCTGGGATTACAGGTGTGAACCACTGTACCTGGCCAAAACTGACCTCTTAAAAGCAAAAAAGTCACACAGGAAATATGAACAATAGCACAATTTCTTCACAATACCAGACTTTGGAAAGCACAACAGGTGCAAATGCACATAGAGCTCATCAACCAATGACTAATTGCTCCAAGTCATTGGTCCACCTTCATAGTCATGATGCTATAGCTAGAAGAGGAATTGTATCATACACCAAATCCCTCATTTTAGCCTTTTGCCAACAACTATCTATCATTTTCCACATACCATCCACCCCACCCCCAATACCAAACCAACTCCTCTTTTATCAAAGTAGGGAAAGAGGACTTGGTTGGGTCTTGATAGCTATCTTCAAGTATGGAAGAGAATATAACTATGAAAAATGGGGGAAACTACAACGAGGCAGCTTACATCCTGATGAAAGAAGAAACTTTCTGACAGCTGGAGACAATGAGCTGTTCTGTAATGTAAGCTAACTGAAAAGGCTAAACAAAGATGAATGAACTCATCTGGGATGCAGTTTAACAGGATATGGTGAATATCTATTAACTAATAAAACCTTCTTCAGGTAGCTAACTCCTGCTTATCCCTCTAGATGCAATTCTGACATGATCTACTTCAAAGGAGAATCTTCACTGACATATTTCCCTGGCTGAGTTAATGGCCCCTTCTCATTTTCATTGCTTTTACCATGCCATACTAGAATTCTCTATCTATATGTCTATAGTAACCCCCAAAACAGATAGCTTCAAGAGTGCAAAGACCAAGGCTTATTCACACCATATTCCTTAGTATAGAATCTGATACACATAAGGACTCAATGTGTGTGTACTGAGCTGAAAAATAATAGTAATAATCAAAACAATAGCTAAAGGGTATTGAGCAATCACCACATGTCTGGCACTGTTCAGAGCACACTATATATTTTAACTAATTTAATCCCCACAATGACCCAGTAAAGTTGATATTATTATTTATTAATTAATTTATTTATTTCGAGACAGAGTCTCACTCTGTCACCTAGGCTGGAGTGCAGTGGCGCAGTCTCGGCTCACTGCAACCTCTGGCTCCCAGGCTCAAGCGATTCTCCTGCCTCAGACCCCCAAGTATCTGGGTTTACAGGCGCCTGCCACCATGCCTGGCTAATTTTTGTATTTGTAGTAGCGAGGGGGTTTCACCATGTTGGCCAGGCTGGTCTTGATCTCCTGACCTCAAGTGATCCACCCACCTAAGCCTCTCAAAATGCTGGGATTACAGGTGTAAGCCACTGCACCCAGCCCATGAAGTTGGTATTATTATGTCCCCAATTGATTGAGGTTAAGTAACTTGCCCAAGATTGCCAATCAAAACAAATATGATCTCTAAGGTAGTTTTTAACTCTGAGATTACATTTTTTTTTAATCTCTAGTACTTCAGGAATAAATAAGTGGTTCTTTCTACCTACTTTTCTCCTTTAATCTGATTTCAACTTTTTGATGAAGAACTCCAAGTACACGAATACCCATGTATTCTTTCTGCCTCCTGGGTTTACCTTGGGGAGAAGGCAGCTGCAATTTTTCTGTGATCACTTGTGTTAGCACTGAGCCAGTATCTCTGTAAGTACAGAATCGAGAGGTCCCCTTGGAATTCTTAGTAGAACAAACTGCAAAATGATGAAAGGGGACAAAGTCTCCTCCATGGCAGCTCCCACAGCGGCAGGCCAAAACTTGGAGAAAGCAGGCACATTCAAGGTGCAGAGCTATCTGTTGTTCCTTGGGCCAGAGCTCCCAAGCAGCTGCCCGTAGCAGAGGCACTCCAAATTCCAACACCTCAGTTTGTGGTAGGGATAATTCTTCTTGTAGCCTGAGAAGAGAGGCTGACCCACCATCTGAAATTTAGGAAAATCTAAGTGAGATTTTCCTTTATAATCCTTTGTGCTTCAATATGGCAAACTCCCAAGCACATGGCTGCTAGTGTGTAAGAAAATTCTATTTACAACTCTAAGCTAATATTACTGCCTCCTTTGTATAAAAAATTTTGCACCATTCTAAGAGTGATACTGACCATATCTTGTATAAAGTACAACAGAGAAGAAATGATCAGTGGTACAAAAAAATCCTGTACTTCTATACCACTGATTTCTTTTTTTTTTTTTTGAGACGGAGTCTCGCTCTGTCGCCCAGGCTGGAGTGCAGTGGCGGGATCTCGGCTCACTGCAAGCTCCGCCTCCCGGGTTCACGCCATTCTCCTGCCTCAGCCTCCCAAGTAGCTGGGACTACAGGCGCCCGCCACTACGCCCGGCTAATTTTTTGTATTTTTTAGTAGAGACGGGGTTTCACCGTTTTAGCCGGGATGGTCTCGATCTCCTGACCTCGTGATCCGCCCGCCTCGGCCTCCCAAAGTGCTGGGATTACCACTGATTTCTTAATTGTTTCTCCTAAATTGAGGTTTTACTTCAAATTATTACAAATGTCAAATCATAGGAAATTCTCTGTTCAAATATAGGGCCCAAACATATTTCAAACTCAAAGGGAAAGTATTTGTGAATTCTATGTGCTTTGGGTAGTCCATGCTACCATCTTATTCTTTCATGTGGATAATTCGAGATTGCAAGCTATTTATATCTTGCTTTGTTCATGTCTGTTTCAATGCCACATGTGTTTGTCTTCCTTGTGAGTTTCTAAAATTGGGGATGGTTTATCCTTTTATCTCATTCTTTGCACCTAGAAGCCAATAAAAGATTATGTCAATATTTTCAGAACCAAAAATCAAAACACAAATACCAACACCTGGGTTAAAAAGGCGCTAGAATTCCTGAAATGAAGACAAGTCTGAAAATACAGGATATTTTTTCACTATCCATGGCTCTTTCATGGTTTAAATGATAATTTTCTCTCTGTTTCTTAGCCATAGGCTTTGAGAGAGAGACCCTCAAACTGGGTGTGGTGGTATGCGCCCACTGAGCCCAGGAGTTACAGCCTGGGCAACATAACAAAACTCCATCTTTAAACAAACGAATGAGAGAACCCCTTGATATATGATATTGATGGCCTTTCTGAACACAGATACCCCCACAGGGACTCTTTGTTCAGACCTGAGAAAAAGGGAACAGCCCTTCCTTACCTAACTTTGTCTTCTTCTCTTTGGTTCCATCAATGATGTCGATAGAGGAAGGCATTAATATGGGCTCAGCAGGAAGCTCTTGGCTCTTGTCAGACCAGCAGAGCACATGTATATCCACAAGAGCTCTCAAGACCTGAAGTAGCTTATTTTTATCCCAGCCAGGCAGGAGGTGCTGCAGCAAATCTATATGGAAGGAGTGACCAATGATTGCAGCACACTTGACCAGCAACTGTTCCTCTGGGCTCAGTTGATCCAGTTGGCTTACTGCTATTTCTGCCAAAATCAATCAATCAGTCAATCAGCAGTGAACAAGATTTCTACAAATCTAGAATATATCATGTTGAAAATGTGTACAGTTTTTTTTTTAAATAAAGATGAAAACTTTTCATCTACCCCTGTCTACTGCTCCCACCTCAATCCTCCCTTCTCCACTTAGCCAAACTTCTTTGCTTATGCTAAGAACAACCTCTGCTTGGGAAACTGAATTTGGACTGGGAAAACTGAATGAACTGGTGGCAAGCCACAGATTTGGGCTTCCTTGGGTATAATAATTCTTGTAAAAGGTCATGCCTCTTGCAGAGCCTGAAAGTGATGCCTGTTCGGGCCATTATAAGAGATATGGCCTTCAGTTGGTCCATGAGGCCTCTAAGCACCCATGAGTCATGGTTTCATTCCTCACAGCTGAGCTATTACTTGAGGTTCCAGAGAATAGCCCCTGGAGTGCTATGTAAACTCCTGTAAAAACTCTCACTGAAGAAAAGTACCTGCTGTTGTCCTGTTAGCATCCTGTATTTCCTTCTGAGTAAGAAAAGCCATTGTTAAGTATGGTCTATCATAGTTCTATCAGTGTAAACTGTCTAGTTGAACCTAAAACCTTCAGAGTAAAAAGCTTATAATATAATAGCTAACAGTCATGGAATATTTATTATGTGCCATAATTTATTTAATTTAATCCTCAACTAGCCCCAAGAGGTAGGGACTATTATTATCCTCATTTGACTGATGAGTGAGAAGTTGACTAACTTATTCAAAGTTCCATAGTTGGTTAGTGCAGGAGCCCATGGTGCCCAGGGTTTTCTGACTCTAGAGCCCTGGCCCTTAACTACCATGGTGTCCTGAACTGCTGTTTCATGTGTGTGTCTTATTTTCTCAACAAGACCATACTTTACTTGAAGGTATGCTGTTCATTACAATATTCCTCAAGAAGGCTTAGTATTAGTACCTTGCCCACCAAACACTTGAATTAAATATTAAAATAAGAAAAATTCATTTCTAAGAAGAACATCCCCTCTCCAACTATGCCTACCTGATTCTGATAGTTTCATTATTCTTTATGGCATCAGTCATTCTACTTTGCACTCTTTTTTTATTAAACTCTTGCTATGTGCATAACATTGTATCTTCACTAACACCATGGATTTTCTTAAATCTTAGCAACATCATCTTCTTTGCTTACTGTCTACTCTGGAACAAGAATATGCACAAAGGGAAACTCACGACCTATTTTGTATTAAATAATTGGAAAACTTTTCCAGGTCATCAGTCAGCCCCAAAGAGAACAATAAGCTCGCTTAAGTAAAACCTTACTCAAGTAGCATTACAAGTCTTCAAAGAGCTCTTCAGGCAATGCCAGAACTTATTTCTAGAAGGTGGATTTCTTTTTTAGAAGAAATGAAGCCAGAATGATAATGAGAGACCTATACTCAACTACTCACCAAATCACTAATTGCAATGATATCTGTAATTGGTTCACTTGAAGTCTTCAAGGGACTTACCTTTCAAAAAGGGTAGGAGAAGTACTGTATCCAAGTTCACATCATCCTTGACTGTGCAGACATAAAGTTCCTGGCCTTCCTCAGAGTTGGCAGGAGAAATACTATACATTATGGATTTCATGGCATTGGCTATAAAGAAAACAGGCTATGACTGAGGAAAGCACCATTCTCAGTGACTGTAGTTTTAAAGGCACAAAAATATAATAATTTAGTCAAAAAAAAAAAAAAACCTAAAGGATGAAGATGACTGGAGTGTACCATGGTTTAAAGTGTTTTACCCCACCTGTCTGCCTGTTCTCTAATTTTCTCTTATAAACTAACAACATTCTCTGTACCAATCGGTATCTTACAACTAATCACTATTCCTGTTCACCTTATAACAGCTCTTGCTTCTATTACATCACAGCTCTGGGATGCCTTCTGCTTTTATACATACTTCTACCCTTTATTCCTCTCCTAATTTCCTCCCTTCTCCCATCCCCCATCCAAATCCTCAAGTCATCCTTCTCATCAATAGTGTACAATTCTTTTTTCTGGACTTTCATGTTTATAAATCGTAATTTCCTAGCCCTACCTCTTGGGCTGCTTATAAAAGGAACTATTGTAGATTGATTGGATTAAGTTATCTGAAGCAAATCTTGAGTATTTTCACCCTACTTGTATAAGATTTGTACAGTGTGCTTATCTGGGAAGGCCTAGTGTGGCCCACAATGTTAGCAAGGAAAAGGTATGTACCTCGTAAAGGCCAAGTAATGTCATGTTGGAGAATGAGCTTCAGCAGCTGGACCAGGGTAGAACTCTGGGAAGCTAAGCTTACCTGAGAGGGTTTCCCACTTGCTGTTTTCCTCTTCCTCCTTTTGTAGGACATGAAAGAGCAACACGTCCTTAGAGAGAAGGTCCTGGCATAGGACCTCACAATAAAGTGGGTTTCCAAAGCACCTGTGAAGGGTAGCTGCAGGGAGGTAAGTAAGGGATTGCACATTAGAGATGACCACTTTAGGGGAGCCAACCTCGAAATTCATGAAGGGTTAGAGACAGATATCTATCTCCTTTCCATACCAGACTCTAGTAAAACCCTTAAAGGGTTATGACTAAGGAGTAAATGACAGGTTGAACTTAGCAATGACAGTTTGGGCAGCTCCAGTACCCCAGTTATTCCAAGTATACCAGGATGAATCTGTACATGAGACTTGTCAGAACAAGATGCAACACACATCACATAACATTGTTTCCTGTGCTAGGCTGAGGCACATGAACTATCAGGAACCTGAGAGCCAAAGTGAGATGACTGCTAATCTACGTAGGCAAGGGTTTAGAGTCCCAAGCAAGGCCTATCTTAAGAGAGGGATATGTTGAGGGATTAGACAGATCTTAGTGTTCCATTCCAAAATACTCTGCAGGGTGGGTAGATTAGGAGAAGTGACAGAGGATAAATAAAACAAATTGTGGACCAGTGAATTTTTAGCTTGTTCACTACTGGAAACCCCATAAACCCTAGACCTCTGAAGGCTTTTGAGATCCAGATGCTGGTTTCAAATGATATATTCTGTGGTAAGGGAACAGGAAGGTAGGGTTAAAAAAATAAAGAAATTGGAACCAACTCAAGAACACGTGGATATAATTCCTGGGGATATGCCACTGGTGAGGGCCACCTTAATGTATTTAGTACTTTAAAATATACAATGCAATCTCTCATATACCATCTCCTTTAAAATTCACATAAAAACATACAGTAATATAATTGTTATTTCACAGGTGAAAAAGCTATGACTCAGAGAGGCTAAGTGATTTGCTCTAGGACATAAAACTACTAAGTGTCAGGTTCAATACTAGAATTCACTCTCCTCAAAAGGAGAAAGCCTGAGTTTTGGTGTTGAAAGAATTTCACATCTTGGTCCTACCATATATGTATATGTATATCCTCAGGTTATTAGATTAGAAAACAATCCTAGGTCTGACTATCCACAAAATATAACAGTAACCCAATTCAGAAAGCCACTGCCTTCATTACCTTCACAAATAAGAGGTCACTAAAAAGGCAGTGAAGTTGTTCTTCCACTATCCCACAAAGCTGTCTTTGTAGGCACTCTTGCCGGTAATAGGCTGGGCATGTATCAATCTCAAAGAAGATGGCCATGAGGGTCTGGATGGCATAGAAGCACTGCTTGGAATCTGCTTCCTTCAGCATCAATGGCAACACCCTGGTGAATATGACTATGGTCATCAGGAGTCCCCTGTACGACACATAGGTTACTAACTTCACCGGTCCAAGAATGCTGAATCTAATGACACAAGAGTCTCACTAACAAGAGAAAGAGGCCCCAAGAGAAGTAGGCTCTGACTAAGTCAGAAAGCAGGAGTTTTTACCTATGCCCTTCTTTCTGTGCCAGAAAGTTTATTTCAGCCAACAGCTGGCTTTTTCCATAGCCTTTTCCACCTTCATACAGAACTGCTTGTCCCTTCTTCTGGTGCAAACACCCTTGCTGTGCCATTTGGAAGGCTTCCAATTCTTTCTCCCAGTCTGTAGAGAGACAGGGAGCACCTAACACTCCTGGATAACAATAATCAACATTATTGATTGTTGCAGGCTTTTTGGTAGATACTCTATTGATTTGAATCAATTTGCAAATCTAACTCTCAGAATGGCTTTTTTCCTCCAGAATTCCCAGAAGAATCTCATTCATTGATGGGGCTTCATATCTCTTTCCAAAAAATCAATTCTGAGCTAATATATGCTGGTCTTGAGGGCTTATTCCAGAGCCTAAGTAGTAACATTCAGAAAAATTAGGCACCTTGTGGACACGGGTGTCTCTTAGCTTTTTGTAAAAATTTTCTTAATAACAATTTAGTCTTCAAAATCTGTCACTACTATGTAAAAGTAATGGACTAATAAGTATAGACTAAAATAAATACAAAGATAGGGAATATATAGCGTGGGTGACAACAGTCTTGGTGCTATTTTCACTATTCTAAGGATTATGAATTTTTCTCTAAAGATGATCCACAATAAGCTGTTCCGATCTCAATAGGTAAACTCTGACTTACAAAGATTATTACTAAATGTTGGTGTTTCTCAGGCAGTTATAGGACTTCACCTGAAATTTGAATATTTGACATGGAAAAGAAATAGTAAATCCTCTTCAAAATAAATATAATTTCACTAAGAAGGTTGCTCTCTATTTTTTAATAAAGCTTAAGAGCATTTAGTCTTGCACTGTTTTGTTTTTTAAATCACATTTAGCTGTCTATAACTGAAACAAATATGATTTAAGTTACAAAAGAAAACATACCTAACAAAGGGTGATTTTTGTTTCTCTTTCTTGCCAAATGTCTTTTTCCAAACATTCTGGGAAAAAGAACAAAGTGAAATGTATCTGTTAAAAATAGATTAGGAACAGCTGTCTTCATAAGCAAATACTTTCAGATAATTAAGGAGGTACAGAGTTCTGAATAAAAAGGTTTTTAAAAACTAAAAATTTTGGGGGAGAGGGAGTAAAGAGGGAATATTATTGATTGTTCCAGGCTCGGGGAAGTAAATGAATGGTGAAGTACACAAAGAAAAAAAGAACAAAGAAGATCTGGGTTAGTGACCTATTGCTATTCTCTTCCTGTAGGAGAAAAGGATGTTCATTGAAGAACTAGCTAAGAGCTAAACATAAAAGCTAAATCTCTCAGACACTAAACACTCCTTTTGTGTGTCTTATTCCAGCATGCCAGTACTAGCAGCATCTTTTTTTCCAATTTCATGTAATCAAAAACTTATTGTTCTGTAAGAGATGAGAATGAAACTATCACACAATGATACTCACATACATCTTCTGTGGCCAAGATATTCATATATCTTCCCTGGGTTGGAGATGTTTTTCATCATTTTCTCTGGGAGTTTCTTGAAGTTGTAAGCAGGTAGCATGGATCTTAGATATGTTACCTCATCACAGGACACCAAACCTGGATAAGCAGTTATCATTCTGGCCGCAAGACTCACTTTTGGGCCAATAACTGTGTCAGAAAGACAGGTGGAGAATTTTTGGGCCATGTCTTCCACCTTCCTCCCTTAAGTCACAAAGATAACAGTCCAATGTCCTATTCTACCTGTATATTCGTGTCTTGCTACTGCTCCAACCACGCCACAGAATACTGGTCCATTAGTGATACTGATGGAAACAAATCTAGGGATCTGAAAAGCAACAATGGATAAACATACAGTCAGAAGCCTCCAAGTCAGGCACTAGATCTGCCACTCCCCAGATCCAGAAGTCTAGTTTTAGAGCTTAGAATGGAAAAGGCCAGAGGTTGCTGTCAGTCTATATAACATGAGGGCTACAAAGTACTGAATATTAGGGAGAGAACCAAAAGAAACAGAATGGTTCCCCTAATTCAGGAGTTTTAGTTTTAGTTGGGGGTTATTAGTAAACGATTTTCTTTCTTTTTTTTTCTTTTGAGATAGGGTCTTGCTCTATTGCCCAGGCTGGAGCACATTGGTGTGATCTCAGTTCACTGCAATCTCCGTTTCCTGGGCTCAAGTGATCCTCCCACCTCAGCCTCCCAAGTAGCTGAGACTACAGGCACACACCACCATATCCAACTAATTTTTTTTTTTTTTTTTTTTTGAGAGAGATGGGGTTTCATTATGTTGTCCAGGCTGGTCTCAAACTCCTGGGCTCAAGCAATACACCCGTCTTGGCCTCCCAAAGCACTGGTATTACAGGTGTGAGCCACCACACCTGGCCAGTAAAAGATTTTTAAAAATTTTACATCTGGGCCAGGTGCGGTGCTCACGCCTATAATCCCAGCACTTTGGGAGGCTGAGGTGGGTGGATCACAAGGTCAGGAGATCGAGACCATCCTGGCTAACACTGTGAAACCCTGTCTCTACTAAAAATACAAAAAATTAGCCAGGCATGGTGGTGGGCGCCTGTAGTCCCAGCTACTCGGGAGGCTGAGGCAGGAGAATGGCATGAACCCAGGAGGCGGACCTTGCAGTGAGTGGAAATTGTGCCACTGCACTCCAGCCTGGGCAACAGAGTGAGACTCCATCTCAAAAAAAAAAAAAAAATTTTACATCTGTGGTAAGGCAAATATTTAAAAACCATTTGAGAAAAAAAAATTGAAGGGGTTAATTAACTTTCCCAGAGTTATATAGCAAAAACGAACAGTAAGTCAGAATGAGAATCCAGGCCTCTTGCCTCCTAGACTGATATTATTTCTACTATACCATGTTGTCTCAGATAAAACTGAAAAATGAAAGTAGATAAAGAGATATCAATACAGGATTAATAGATCAAATAATGCTAGAATGTCACAGTTAAGGAGTGATCAGAATGTCAGGACTGCAGACAGAAGGCTTTCTGAAGTAAATTAACATTTGGAACAAATTTTTTTTAATGAGTAATATTTTAAAAATTCATTAATGCATACATACATTCATTTCATTCACTAAGCACTGAGAAGTGTGCATAGTACTGAGTACTTGGCTGGATGTTTAAAATATCCTGCCCTAGAGAAGTTAAGTTTGGGGAGGAGGGTGGTAGGTTTGAGGGAGGGGAAGAGATACTTATATATGTCAGCAAGACAAATACTCCATATTAGAGATTGATATAGCACATTAGCAGAGCAAACAGAACAGATGCACTAATTCACACTGAAGAGTAGATAGAGTATTCTTAAAGGAGAGGACATTTGGTCGGACCCTGAAAGCTGAAGAAATTGCTAAAGTGGGGGAGTGGTACTGTCTGGTGGGAAAAGGTAAAGGCTTTGAGATGCCTTGTGTGGTCATGCAAAACTAAGTACTTCAAGACGGCTAGAGCACAGATGTGAAGAGAGGTGTTTGGATTAGAGAGAGGTAATGGGAGAAGTAGTCTCACCTCTCTAGGGATGGAAGAGTATTAGACATATGAATTATTTTAAAAGAGGACATATACTGTTCTAGGTGAGGCAAAAGCCCAAAGGTGGCAAGGAGCAACTCATACATAACAAAATAAGTAGATTTACTCACTGACATGAAAATTTCATGTGACAGGTAACAAGATATGTAGGTGGAGAAAGATTATGCAATGAGGCATAGTCACATTAAATCTATAAACAATTTTCAGTGGTTCAGACAACATGAGAAGTAGCAATCATGTTAACACTATTACCTCCTAAGCCATCAAAATTATTTGTCTTCCTCAAAGGACAGGATTAAGGGCTCTTGGCTGGGTGCTGTGGCTCATGCCTGTAATCCTAGCACTTTGGGAGGCTGAGGTGGGCGGATCACCTGAGGTCAGGAGTTCAAGAGTCCAGCCTGGCCAACATGGTGAAACCCCATCCCTACTAAAAATACAAAAATTAGTGGGCATGGTGGTGTGTGCCTGTAATCCCAGTTGAGGGATTCTGAGGCAGGAGAATCTCTAGAACCCGGGAGGCAGAAGTTGCAGTGAGCCAAGATTGTGCCACTGCACTCCAGCCTGAGCAACAGAGTGAGACTCCGTCTCAAAAAAAAAAAAAAAAAAAAAAAAAAAAAAAGTCTCTTACCATTCATTCACTCAGCTCACTGCCCCCAGGGTGAAAAAAAGAGACACTTAAGACAAGACCATGCTGTCAGTTCTGCTGCCATATGAAGAGCAAGACTGAAAATCTTTTAAAATTTCATGATGCTTCCTCTGCCTAAATACCCTTTCCCACCTTCTCCATTTGCTGAACTACTTTTCTTCTCAACCTGTCTCAAAAGTCATCTTTATAGTCAAGATTTCTTTGGTACCTCTGTGGAGAATTAACCACTTCTTCCCATAGCACATTGTTGTAACTCCTGTAGCATTTTATTTCTGCACTTTAATTTCGTTGTATTAAAGTTAGTTGTTTACTTAGCTGAACTGGTAAAATCTTATTTCTCTTTATGTCCATAGCACCTAGCACAGTGCCTGGCTCATAACTGTGTTCAAGGAATGCTTGTTGAATGAATGCATTTATGCATGCCAGAAATTCAGCTATTAGCAAGTCAATAATGAACAAATAATACTTTTATCACTTAGTTATTTCTTATTTCTTTCTATTATACTTTATAATTCCTCCTTGTTTTTCCCGGCAATCCATATTCCTTCTTTCCTTTAAAACCTTTCTGCATTGATAAAGAATGTACTCTTTATTTGATATATGTCATTGTATATAAAGTATTTCTGGTACTGAAAAACCATAATAATGATATTCTGAGACTGCACTCCCTATGTCTCAAAAATATCCTGAAGAAATATGCATGGAATCATCTTTCCTCTAAATGAGCTAAAAGCTGGAGCTATTTCTCAGATTAGGAAGAGGAATTCAGAGGATATCTCAAGGTGAACAGGGTCTTTGAAAAAGAAGGCATGGAAAGTAGTTTTGGGTCTGAGAGCTCATGTAATGCAGAGAGAAATGAGCAATGGTATCTGCTACCGAGGCCACGTAGGTACCTCTGAAGCTTTAGCATCTGCTCAGCATTTCCAAAAATATCTTCCTTAGAACATTAGTTCCTCTGGATGTTTATAGGTCTTTCTGGAGAAAAGTGTTTGATGACCAAGTAAATTTGGGAAATGCTGACTAAAACTAAATATAACAAATTTCTTTCCCATAGCACTACTCAGAACCTTTGATATGTTAATGTTCATTGTGAACCTTGAAGAAGGAAATATAATTTGCATCACTTCCCAAACATATTTGGTGATGAAAATCTTTTCTTTTTTCATGAGCATATTAAGGGAGTAATAACATTCTACCAAACACACTTTGGGAGATATTGAATTAGTAATTATCTTCGAGGGAAAAATCACTGACCTTGAAACCTAGCTTTGAGGCTTTGACATCTGTTTGGCTTACCAGCATAACCTTTCTGGATCTTAGTTTCTTTAAAGAGGTCAAATTTGATGAACTCTAATACCCCATCTAGTTCTTAACATCTATTATATTCTAAACTAAATAAGATGGAAATGACCAAGTTACAGCCTAAGAGTGATGGAAGGCATTCTTAAGGGAATTTTAAGACAGTCTCTAAAGGACAAAGAAATGACTCTTTTAAGAGTAAGGGCCAAGGGTGGGACCTTGAAGGCCATAGGTCAATACAAACTTCAAGAACAGAACAGACCAGCACTGGAAGGGATGGCCCATGTGATGGTTAATACTGAGTGTCAACTTGATTGGATTGAAGGATTCAAAGTATTAATCCTGCGTTGTTTCTGTGAGGGTGTTGCCAAAAGAGATTAACATTTGAGTCAGTGGGCTAGGGAAGGCAGATCCACCTTTAATCTGGTGGGCACAATCTAATCAGCTGCCAGTGAATATAAAGCAGGCAGAAAAATGTGAAATGAGCGAGACAGGCCTAGCCTTCCAGCCTGCATCTTTCTCCGATGCTGGATGCTTCCTCCCCTCAAACATCAAACTCCAGGTTCTTCAGTTTTGGCACTCGGACTGGCTCTCCTTGCTCCTCAGCTTATAGGCAGCCTATTGTGGGGCCTTGTGGTCATGTAAGTTAATACTTAATAAACTCCCCTTTACATATATATATATTTATATATAATATATATTACATATATATATTAGTTCTATATAATATATATAATTATATATACATATATATATTAGTTCTGTCCCTCTAAGAGAACCCTGACTAATACTGCCCAGCATTTCCACCCTGGAGATAAGATTGGGAGGTAGGATATAGGAGTATCTGCAGATCCCACCAAACCTGAAAGAAGTGTTAACATGTATTTGCCTTGGGCAGAGTCTGAGTATCTATTAAGCAACTGTAGCATCTTTCTTATCTCTAAAATAAGGCTTGGATCAGATAATCTCTAAATTCCTTTCCAATAGTAACATTCTATGAGCGTGTATCTATAATTATATCACATTAATAGCATATTCTATTCTTTTGGGGGAGCATTTGCATTTTATAAGAGGCAGGTGGGGGATAAGTAATGAAACAACACAGGATTTGAAGACTGAAGATCTGGGTTTCATTACAAGCTCTGTTATATGCTAGTAACTTCTCTTCTGTGACTTTTATTTCCTCATGTATAAAAGAGGACCTGGGCATAGTGGCTTACACCTATAATTCCAGCACTTTGGGAGGCCGAGGTGGGAGGATCGCTTGGGCTCAGGAGTTCGAAAGCAGCCTGGGCAACACAGCAAGACCTTGTCTCTACTAAAAATAAAAAAAATAGCCCAGTGTGGGGCGTGTGCTTATAGTCTGAGCTACTTGGAAGGATGAGGTTGAGGATGCAGTGAGCCGTGATTGTGCCACGGAACTTTAGCCTGGGAAACAGAGCAAGACTCTGTCTCTAAAAAAAAGTAAAAAATAAAGAGGGATACAAATTTTCACATTGGTAGCATATACTAAAGTATTCTATAAATGTTAAAGTACTATGTACATGTTTGATATAATTTTTATCCATTTTGAATAAGTTGTGGCAAGCAAACCAATCTGATTCGATGTTAACATTGGAAGTAACTATTTTTAAAATTCATTCATGTATACACTTTCTCCATAGCTTTCTATTTTAAAAAGTCAATTGAAAACTTCCAACAAACTTTATCATAATGCAACTAGTGGGAAAATAGATTTTTCTATACCTTCATCTGGGTTAGGTTTTGTGAAAGGTGGTTGGGTGAGGCGTGGATGTGGAAGAGGGAGATCAGTTCAGTGTAAGGTCCAGAAAAAGCAATAAGATCTGGGAAAGACCCAGAATGAAAGCCAAGAGAGTGCTAACCAGCTGTGGTTCCTTTCTATCTAGGTAATTTCTCCACAACTTCTCTCATACTCTCTCGTAGACAGGCAGCCTTTATTCTGCATCCTCTCCACAGGCATGTTATTTGCATCACATTAATTTACACATTTGCTTGTTCCCTTGCAGTGTTCTCGAATCTTGGTATGTCTGTTCTGTTTCTCCCCTTTTCCTGACCCGCTGAATGGGAATGTATCTTTATTTCCCCTGGGTATCCAGTACAGAGATCTGTATCTAGTGATTTCTTAATAGATCTTGTTTGCTCACTTTCCTTAGCATGTTCCCTCCGAGTTAGGCAGATTCTGGACTACTTGAATCCCTGCCACTTGTTACTGCCTCCTACCCTGCCTGAAGAGCCCCTGGGGCCTGAGAAGCTCCTCTCTGCCCCACCTTCCTCCTCAGTTGGTCTTAGCAAGATTCTCCCAGCAGAAGCTGAAGATGCTGAAGGAGCTCTCCAGGGCATGTGCACACTCGTCTGGCTTCTTATCACCAGGAAGGCCGAAAACACAGAGGAACATGCAGCCCTGGGATAGATGACAAACAAAGAAATGAGACACTTACCTGGGAAAGGAATGTGGCTTGCCTAAACTAAACCAGCTCCACCGAATGAACCCAGACCCTATCCTTGAACACTCTTCTGTTGGAAATATCAGATTCTACATGATTCATAAAATGGAAATGCTGGGCCACAGCAACATACACTTTTTTTTTTTTTTTTTTTTGAGATTCTGTCGCCCAGGCTGGAGTGCAGTGGTGCGATCTCAGCTCACTGCAAGCTCTGCCATCTGGGTTCATGCCATTCTCCTGCCTCAGCCTCCCAAGTAGCTGGGAATACAGGCACCCGCCACCACACCTGGCTAATTTTTTTGTATTTTTAGTAGAGACGGGGTTTCACCGTGTTAGCCAGGATGGTCTCGATCTCCTGACCTTGTGAGCTGCCTACCTCAGCCTCCCAAAGTGCTGGGATTACAGGCGTGAGCCACCGTGCCTGGCCAGCAACATAGACATTAACAAAAATCTTGATTTAACTATTCAAAGAACTGAAATTTAAAACACAAGAAAAATTGCTATCAAGAACTTTTCAAAAATTTAATTTCTAGTATATACCTTGAGCTGAGTCTATGTGCCCACATTTTCTTCACCTATAATGTCAAGTGTTAAGATTCTGCTTTTTTTCAAGATCTTTAATTATCTGACAAAGACTTGATTACATTTAATTTACTAATAGAACCAGAAAAACATTCTTTATGCTTTCACAAGGATTCTTCAATAAGAATTCAATAAAAAATGACATGGAGAGTAACCCTCAGTAACCTTGAAAATTAAATTAACAAGAACATCCCAGCCGGGCACAGTGGCTCATGCCTGTAATCCCAGCACTTTGGGAAGCCAAGACAGGCAGATCGCGAGGTCAGGAGATCGAGATCATCCTGGCTAACACGGTGAAACTCCGTCTCCACTAAAAATACAAAAAAAAAATTAGCCGGGCATGGTGGCAGGCGCCTGTAGTCCCCAGCTACTCGGGAGGCTGAGGCAGGAGAATGGCATGAACGTGGGAGGTGGAGCTTGCAGTGAGCTGAGATCGCGCCACTGCTCTCCAGCCTGGGCGACAGAGCGAGACTCCACCTCAAAAAAAAAAAAAAAAAAAAAAAAAAAAAAAAAAAGGAACATCCCATTCCTTAATTAACATTAGTTGAAGTTTTAATGTAATATAGCTTGTTACAAAATAAGTAGCAGGGAATTTGACTTACACTTGCATTATGTGGGAGATCAACTGGTTGTACAAGACCATTACTCCTCACTCACCTTTAATGCTGATGGGTCAAGTTCCCTTGTACTTACTTTCTCAAACATAAAGATCCGACTCAGCTGGCCGCCCCCTTTCTCAATGACTGTGGAGATGTATAAGGCAGCCTCCTGGATAAGATGACACAAATGCAACATCCACGCTGTCCTGTGGAACTCTAGGCTGACCAAAACCAGAGTCATCGTACGGAATTCAGATACATACTCTATAGGCTGGCCTTCATCAATCTATAAAGACACATTGAGTTACCTACCTGTATTTTCAACTATCAACATCATGTTCAGGCATTTTTAATTATGTATTTCATGGTATGTATGAGAAAACAACTTATGGGTCTCAGCAAAAACTTAAAAGAAAATTCAGTATAGAAGATATACAAACCAATGAACTTGGAATTAAAACTGACTTTAGGCAGAATTCACTGATGAAATCTGTCAAGATTTACTCTCTAAGAATTAATTTGACACATCCATTAGTCATTACATCTCTTACTAAGGAATTCACATATATTCATATATATACAATCAGTCAACTTATATTTACCAAACATACACTCTATACCCTTCTTACAGTGTACTAAATTGTTAAAGAACAAACTAAAGAACAAATATGGCTTCTACTTTCTAGGACTGAGAAATCTAACTAAAGGTTTAAGACATGTTCATCACAGTATTATGTTGGCACAGATGGGTAAATTTGCTGGAATTACAATGGGTTGCTGGAGATTAACTGGATAAATATAAAAAAGTTGTCACTTATAATTGTACACCTGTTTATGCATGTGCATGCACACACACACACACACACACACAGAGAGAGAGAGAGAGAGAGAGAGAGAGAGAGAGAGAGAGAGAGAGAGAGAGAGAGAGACTCTATGAGGATTCAAGAACTAGGAAATAAGCTTCTTCAAAAGGTTTTTCATTATGTGCTTCTGCAGCTTTTGGTCAAGTTCAGAGTGTGGATCCAATTCCAGTGCAGTTCTTAAGAGTCTCTGAGAAAAGAAAAACAAAATGTCCCTGGCCATGTGGAAAATTAATGTTTAAAATTTGGGGCTTAGGTAGGAAGGACAAAGTAACTTACCAGCACTCGTACGGTAATGTGGTAGATAATTGAGGCACTTGTCAAAATGCTCATCAAAATCAAATGGATCAATGATCCACATATCTCTTAACTACAGAAAGGAAACTGTTTAATTCTGTGCCCCCACACAAGAAAGGCTGAGGATTCTATTGCCCTTGTTTGCCTTTTATCTCCTCAGCCTCACTGTTCTACCTCATCTATCTTCATAGGAGAATATTCCCAGCCTCCCTCCTAAATTGAGTTCCAATGGTCATTGGTTTGGCCAGGCAATATGTGAACACTACCAGAGCATTGCGCTGTGTACTAGGAAGGCCTTTTCAGAATGGCAGTACAGGAAGCTAGCCTCCTACCTTCACAGCTTCATCCTCCCTCATGATTGCCACTTCAAACATATACTGCTTGCAAAGCATCCAGCAGTTCCAGGATAGGACAATTTCATTCGCCTGAGCCAAACGCTGAGCTAACTGGACATCACTACAACCTGCCCAATCACCAAGAGGTATTGCTGCCGCTCATCTCCAACAATAACCTGGGAAATCCGACTTGCAGGTAGACCTATCCAGAAAAAAATGAGATAAATGGAGAAGAGTCAAATTCAACTGGGAAACTATGCAACAGGAGGGGTCTGGAATCCCCACATGGCTCTGTGCATCATGCCTATCTTGTTACTGCCCTCAGCTGCGGAAGTCTTAGGTGAGCTAACCTTTAAAAATAATACCTTACGGCCAGGCACGGTGGCTCACGCCTGTAATCCCAGCACTTTGGGAGGCTGAGACGGGCAGATGACCTGAGGTTGGGAACTCGAGACTAGCCTGACCAACATGGTGAAACCCTGTCTCTACTAAAAATACAAAAAAAAAAAAAAAAATTAGCCAGGCGTGGTGGTGCACACCTATAATCCCAGCTACTCAGGAGGCTTAGGCAGAAGAATTGCTTGAACCCTGGAGGCGGAGGTTGCAGTGAGCCAAGACCGTGCCACTGCATGCCAGCCTGGGCAACAGAGTGAGACTCCATCTCAAAAAAAAAAAAAAAAAATTCTTCCCCCAGATTTCCTTCTCTTATATAATACACCTGGAGATGGACATTTTGTCTGTCTGGAGATGGTGAAGGAGAGTAGTGGAAGAATGTACAAAGGGGCACGAGGAGACTTTTTGAGTGATAAGTATGTTCACTATCTTTATTGTGGTGATGGTTTCAAAAGTGTATAAATATGCCAATGTATAGTATCAATTATCCTTAATACAACAAAAACCAAAAGAAACAAAAAAGACGGCAGGACAAAAGAGATGCCATATAAGACAGAATATAATCCTTTACCACTGCTCCTCAAAACATAAAAGAATAGCTGGAGCCAACTTTTGCCCTTGAGGAGTTTTCTGAACCCTTGTGAAGGAGCTTTGTATATTGAGCTTCGCCTCCAATCCTGACTCTGCCATTGGTGAAACTTTGGCCCCTGTATGTAGCTTTTTAATTTTTATTATATTGTATTATATTTTTGATTCTGTCAAGCAATAACATAGTTCAAAAACTAAACTATATGAAAGAATATGTATTTTAAAATCTTGCTTCTACCTACATGACCATCTTTACTATTTTCCTGATATTAGTAATTTTATTAGTTTCTTATATATTTTTTCCAGTGTTTCTTTATACAAGATATAAACAAATAGGCCAGGTGCGGTGGCTCAAGTCTGTAATTCCAGCACTTTGGGAGGCCGAGGCGGGCGGAACACGAGGTCAGGAGATCGAGAACATCCTGGCTAACACGGTGAAACCCTGTCTCTACTAAAAATACAAAAAAATTAGCCAGGCGTGGTGGCAGGCTCCTGTAGTCCCAGCTACTCAGTAGGAGGCTGAGGCAGGAGAATGGTGTGATCCCGGGAGGTGGAGCTTGCAGTGAGCTGAGATGGCGCCACTGCACTCCAGCCTGGGTGACAGAGCAAGACTCCATCTCAAAAAAAAAAAAAGATATAAACAAATAAGAAAAATTCTTATTTTCCTCCTTACACAAATGGTAGCATACTAAACATGCTGTTTTGTATCTTACTTTTTTTCACTTAACTGTATCTTGGAGATACTGCCATATCAAGACATCTTATTTTTTTTAAGTTGCAGGTAATCTTATTGAGTATACATATTATTTACTTAACCAGTCTCCTATAAATAGTTTTCAATGTTTTAAAATTACAAACCATATTACAATCAATAACCTTGCACATGCAACATTTCAGATGTGTGAACGTATACCTATAGATGTCCAGAAGGATTGCTAGGTTAAGGAATAAATGCACTTGTAAGAGTAAATAGTATAGATGGTATATAAGTGAAAACAAGACTTTTTAATATATATTTTTATATGGTTTAGTTTTTGTTGACATAAAAAATACAATAGACAATAAAAATAAATAAAGATTGCCAAATCACCTTATACCGTTGTTCACTCACAGTAAGAAAAAGCTCATTCCTCAGACTCACCAAAGAGTACATTGTCCAGCATCTGAAGTTTTGCCTATCTATAGGTAAGACAGGTAGTCAGTGTACTTCCAATTGGCATTTTTCTTATTATGAATGTTGATCATCTTTTTACGTGTTAAAAGACATGCATTTCCTTGTCTATATACAATTTACTCATGTCCTTTGTCCAATTTTTCTCTTAAGAGTACTATTGTTTTCTTGATTTCTAAGTGCTCTTTCCCTAGTAGAGCAATTCACCCTTTGTCTATATGAATTGCAAACATTTTTTCCCAGTTTATCATTTATCTTTTGAGGTTTTTATAGTGGGTTCCCCCTTGCCCAACTGGATCACTCTTTTAGGAGGTACTACCTATCTTTAACTGCAGGTCCTGGCCTTCCCTGGTATGATAGATCCCAAATTTCTCCTGTATCTCCAGACTGCATTTTGCCACCAAGGTAATGATGTCACTCAGTTGATTTTGTTCTACTCTCCAGAGTGCCAGGAGCATGTTCCCTGCAGACACACAGGATAGGCTGATGGGGACCAAATATCTAGACTTACTTGGTCCAGGGCAAAGTCCCAGTAATGCAGAAGATCAACTTGACCCAGTGTGGATATCAAGTAAGTTATCAGGCAAGGTTTCTTGGCTGTATACATTATGCTAGGTTAAAATACTGCTTCAGATCCTCAAAATCATTCAGTAAAAACGTAACTAGGTAGAAGTTTAAATGATCCTAAGGATATTTTTGGTAATCTTCCTTCCACCAGTATACTAACAGAGGAGGAGAGGTACTAGCAAAAGATTCATAAAATGTGGGTTCAAGTTCATATCTAATTTGATGGCTGGTTTTATTATGTTTAAATAAGAAGACAGGCCAACTCCGGGGCATACAGCTGTTAGTGATCCTGAGTTCTCCAGATAGGACATGCTTAACTCCTCCCCATCTCATGCTTAGCTTCTGCTATTAATGACCAAATTTCTCATTAGTTTTCTCAAGAACGCTTTATTGGCACTTATTTTGCTGTCCTTCAATCTAAACAAAAATGCAAAGCATGTGAGAGTTTAATTTGGGCAAAGCTTTTCCATTAGACTGGGGGATCCTTTGAGGCACAGACTATGTCTTCCTCATCTTTGTATCCCCAGGGTCCAGTACCTATTAATCAAACAATGCTGAATAAACCAATATGCTGAATTCCACCTAAATATAGTCCTCCTCACTCAGTCTTTTAAGTATTCAGAAAAACTAAAAAAATACCTGTGATATTTAGGATATCCCCTCCAAAACAGAGAACATCTGAAATCAAGTAAGGAAGAGAGAGGAAAATGAGTCAAAATCAGATATAAACCAGATCAGGGCAGAATCATATATGGTCAAAAGAATGGCCTACTGAGTTTATCCTGACATCATTCTTGTCCATTTGCTCACTCCAAGACTCAGGCTCCTTCTTCCTTCTTTTCATTTTCTCCCCAAATCTATCTGCACCTACATACATCGTTTCTAAAATGGAAGAATTCCTGCTCTCTTCAAAGCCACCCCATTTGTGATAGGAATCTTATCCCCTTTTACCTTCTCAAGAACTTCACACCGTTCCTAATCTCTCTACTGAAATATTCTCATCAATAGCTTAAAAAACAAAACCAAAACACACAAAAATAACCCACATATTCTTGGTTCTACCTTATCTTCTGCCTATTAGCTCCATTTTTTTTCCTGCTACATTCACAACAAACAAAACCCCCAAATCTCAAAAAAGTTGGCTATATATATTTTCCTCATCTCCCATTTACTCTTCCTCTTAAATGTTTTCTCTGTCATTCTTTTTCTCAGCTTACTCCACTCTGACTTCTACCTCCACCACTTCAAATTATCAAGGTCATCAACAGCATTAATCTTGCTAAATTCAATACCTCTCTGACCTCACTGTACTTGACAGCTGTCATTTTCAACCCAGCTAGCTGCAGCTTTCTTCTAGAGACACTACCTCTCCTTTGGCTTCAGGAACACCACAATATCCTACCTCACTGGCTGTTTGTAGTCTCTTTTTCAGGTTCTTTCTCCCTTATCATAATCCTCCCCTGGAGTTCCTCAAGCCTCAGCCAAAGGCTCTTTCTCTTTATTTATGCTCTCCCAACATGAACTCAATCGGTTCTTAACTTTAAGTCCCACTTTATGCCATCAACTCACATTTTCATCTCTAACAGGGATCTCTTCTCTGAGCTCCAGGCTCAATCATAGCTGGATTCTCCACTTGAATGGAGTCATTCTCCACTTGAATGACTTATTGGCATCTCAAACTCAACATACTCAAAACAGAACTCTTGATTTTCTTTCTCAATGTTCAGTCTTTCCTGTCTTGGTAAATGACACGATCAATTCATTTATGAAAGCCAAAAAACTGAGTCCTTTTTCTCACCACTTCCCACTGAAATTCAACGTATTAGCAACTCCTGTCTGTTGAACCTGCAAAATATATTTCAGGTTAATCTACCCCACACAGCTCCCCTGCCATACCTCTACACCAACAATCTTCAGTCTTGACCGCACATTGGAATTGCCTATGAAACTTTAAAAGGTCTTATTCCTGGGCCAACCTTAAGAAAGTCCGATTTAAATGGCCTGGGGTGAAGCTTAGGCATTAAGATTTTTTGTTAGACAAGGTGGTATGGTACCTGCAGTCCTAGCTATTTGAGAGGTTGAGGCAGAAGAATCTTTTAAGCTCTAGAGTTCAAGACAAACTTGGCAACATACTGAGACCCCAGTCTCTTACAAAAAAAAAAAAAGAAAAAAGAAAAAACAATTAAAAAGCTCCTCAGGCAACCACAGCTGAGGTTGAGAACCACTGCTCTAGACCAAATCTCCAACATCTTTCCAGGACAATTGCCTCTTCCAGCTTCTATTCTTAAATTCACTTTCCACCAGCATTCAATCTCCACAAGGTAGCCAAAATCAGCTTTAAAGTGTTAATCAGATCATATTACTCCCCTGCTAGACCTTTCCACAGTTTTCCTTTATACAGAAATATATAATTCCAACTCTTCACTATGGACTACAGAGCGTGGTGGTCTCATAGCTACCATCCCCCAACCTTGCCTCAAACCACTCTTCACCCTGCGAGCTACGTTTTGGCCTGCACTGGCCTTCTTTTAGCTCCTAGAGCATGCCGAGCTTTCTCCTGTCTCAGGACCTTTGCACTTGGTATTCTGTCTGAAATGCTTTACCCCTAGTTCTTCACAAGCTGTTCCCCTCATCCTTCAAGTGTCAGCTTAAATAATACCTCCTCAGAGGAGCCTATGACCACCCTGTCTCATATACTCCCCTACCCTAAAATTATTTTTTGTGTTTTTTTTTTACCACTATACTATGTTTATTTCCTTGATAGAATATATAAGCTACAATTATTGTGTTTATTGTCTGTCCCACTAAAATGGAAACTCCACGAGGGTACTCTGTCTTACTTTCCCCTGTAGTTCTAGTACCCAGAAGTTGCTGGTATTAGAGTACATACACGATATAGAATGTTTATCTTCCCCTTCATCCAAACCTATAAGAAAAAGCAAACGACCTTCCATGTGTTCCTTAAGGATAAGAGGTAAGTCAAATAATCAAATTCTTAACGGAGATGCCTCAAAGTAATTATTCTGGTGAATCTCAGAATGATGGACGGAAGCATACAGGGCACTGTCAGTAAAGGATGAGAATGTTACGTAAGTACTAAAAGGTATAAGGTCAGAGTAATTTCTGTTGGGTAGGCCTAACTAAAAAGTTCAAGAGTGGGTTCTTGCCCTGCCTGCACCTATTACAGTCCATGTCACAGGGTAGGTACTCAAAACATGGGTACTACATAAATGAGTTTTTTCCAGATACTGGATATCTGGCAAATATCTAAAAGCTTAATACATGGCAGAAAATAAGAAAACACCTATTCCTTCCTCACAGGATCAAAATATAATAATAAAAAGATGTTTTATAAATTTTGTCTGAATACACACTTGAGATACGTTATTGTTAGAAGAGAATACTTTATTTTGAAATAAAATACAAATGTGCAAAGGAAATTAGCTCCTCCTGCCCCCCCTTTGAACAATGAGTCAATAGAATGTGAGACTGGGTAGATTAGCAGATAATAGGCAAAGGTCTAGCTTTTCAGTGGCAACTTGAAGAAACCAAAGATGAATGATGCTAAAGGAATGACCCTTTGGTACCTGTTTTAAAGTACTTCTGGCCCCCTTCTTTTATAAACCCCCAGGAGCCCAGCACCACACCTTGTTACCCTACAATGATCACTCACGCTCCACGATGTCACTAATGTAATAACTGAAGATATGGGCCAGTTTGTCCATGTCACGTTCCGACTTGTAGGTCAGGGTGAACCTGTCCATTAATGCTGTAAACCCTGACCAACAAAGCAGAAATTACGATGTTAACTCCAAATCCTAAACTTTTTGGCCCCTTTCTCCCCACACATCAGGCCAGTGTAAAGGAAACAGATCCCTTCAAGCTGAGTAATTCCTTTATCCATTAACATGGTGTAACTTAGAAACTACTAAGGGCCAGGTTGGTTGCTGCTGCCACTGGGAATCCAAAGGACCACCCTCTCTGCTTCCAAGAGCTGGAGATGGTGCCCTTTTCATCTGGAGCCAGCTCTTTCCCCTACTCTCTTAGGCTGCCTAGCTATGGGAAACAATAGGATCCCTCCTCATGTCTGGCTAGAGAACCACTCACACAGTGAGGACAGGCACCTGGTATTACCCATCTTCATATCCCTGACACAGAGTAAGTATTTGTTAAATGAACGACTCGCGGAGTGGCTGCTAGATAGCTACGGCCAGAACAACGGCGGGCATATACTTATGACGCCAAGAACGAATTAACTGAACGAATAAAATAATTGAAACAGAACGCTTAATAGAAAATGCTCGGGGTTGGGAAAAACGGGTTCAAAGCCCGGGGCGTGGTCCTGTAAAAATCCTTTCCTCTGAGTTTCAATTTCATCATCTTTGGGGTGAGCTCAAGGACTGAGCCGGTTCATCCCAAAAGATGTCCTCCCACGCTAAAACGAAGATACTCAAAGTTTCCTAAGGAAGCCGCAGCACGAAGTTAAACTGTGCCTTAGCTCGCGGGAGGCTAGGCCTGTAACCGTCGAGGCCTCCAGGGGCTTAGACCCAACGGCCGCCTCTCCCGCAGGCCAGGAGACTTAAGTGCAAGTGCCGGCCGTCGCCCTCACCCGTCACATGGACGCCTAGGAGGACGCCCTGGGCCGTGGCGAGCTCGGGTTCCCATCCCCGAGGCTTCCGAAAGACCAGTAGGTCGGGAAGCAGCGCCGCCAAGCGGGCCTCCACAGGCCACAGAGGCGGCGTCGCATGCCGCTCGCCGGTCACCATGGCTGCCCGCCTAGGTACCGGAAACAGGGCCCAGCCGCGTAGCAGCCAATCCGCCTAGCAGGCTCTATTGGAGGCCTGCCGCCGATCAATCCGCGCAGGCTTCCTTGGGACAACGCCAATCGGAAGCGACTTCAGTCGCCGCCCCACCACCTTCCCACATTCTTAGCGGGGCCTACTTCCCCGGGGAGAAGGGGCTGGAGGTGCGGCGGTCTGCGCTTTCAAAGGAGCAAAGCTGTCTTTTCTACTGGAAACGGGGGAGGCGAAGACGCTCCTACGATAAAGCCGTTGGTGTGAGATAAATATCGAGAGGTCTTTCCCTCATACCACAGAGTAGAATCTTGGGTCATCTCTGAATTTGGTAAGGACAGGTTCCACTGGCATAAATCTAAGCCAAACTCAAGCACAGTTTGACTAAAGCTATCAAATACTGTCAGTGCTTTTCCTTCATTGTGGAGAGTTTCTCCTCTCTCATCTGCCAGGGCAGGTCTACTGCTCTCATCATTGAGTGCTTCCTCGGGCTGTTTGTCTCTTGTGTGTTGATAATGGCATATCGGAGGCTTCTAGTCTTTGTTGCTTAGATTCCCAGCGACCGTAAGGTAAAACAGTAACAAGGTGAGCATGCTGTGGATTTTTAACAATCAGAAAAGTACTTTTGTTTTGGTCTTCTGCCAAAACAAAATCTAACAAAACGTAAATAGTACATCTTCACTACCTGAAATTCTACAATACTTAAGGCTGTTTTTGTGATAACGGCTAATTTTCCTCATGGAATTACTTCATCACATTTTGATAAACACTTTCAGTAGTAGCATCAAATGTATGATCAGCCTGCAGGTGACAGAAAAAATCTCCTCAACAGGGTGGAAGGGCCAAAAGGGAAGAAATTAAGGGGAGATAAAGCTAAGAGGCTCAGACATTACAAGTTTGATACTGTTTACAGAGACACCGTCCATGCAGACAAGTCTTGTCGGGGGAGATCAAAATTTCAACACTGGAAACACAAACTAGAACCCAGGAGTTGCAGATTCCTCAAAAGTCACATTACTTTTCGGTTATTTTTATAAATTTATTTTAAAAAATAACAATTGCAATGACATTAATGATCGATCACCTGTACGCCCCCATACTGCTGGGGGAAAAACCTTCGATATAGTTGAATCCCAAAGAAAAATCAAGACATTATTATCAGGCACCCTATAGCCACAAAATGCTCTGTTGGTCCAGTGGCATCGACACTGACATGTTCAATGTACCAGTGCAGTTAAAATATATACACTTAAAATTATCCTGCAAAAAAAAAAAAAAGCACTCAAGTTGCATAACTAGGCATTAAACCAATTATTCATTCATCCATTCACTCTTTCTCCATCTGTAAAGTTATCACTACAGTCACAAATAAAAATGAATAAAAGAACTAGTATCAAAGAAAAAATCCAAATGTCAATACCCTGCCCCCACTTTGTGGGCTACTATGGTGTGCCAAAGTGACCACAAGAAAAGGGTCATGAGCTATTTGAAATGCAATGACAAAATGACAACTGAAGCATTTCAAACAAAATTCAAAGTCATCTCCCCCCAAATAAAAAATTCAGCAACAAGGCTGGCATTACTATGTACAAACTTACAGACACAAATAAATAGCATCTTCTAACTGTTGGCAGCTTAAGCACTCAAAGTTAGGTCTGAGTAATTTCTTTCTGAACTCTGCATCTTAGACTCCTAAATTAACCAAGGAATATAAATTCCTCATTGTTAGTAATCTATTCTCTGAAAAACTTGGGACTTACTGAATAACATTAATATCCCAAACTCTTGTAGAGCTAGAAGTTTCTAGTGAGCTTACCAAAGGATCAGTCCTTTGACATCTGGAAGCCAGGAGCGATTACCAGATCCCTGGGACTAGGAATATTTCACTTCCTGTTTCCTTTGCATAGCTCTGTACCTCTATTTCTATCATTACAATCATCTCTCTTTGTGGTGTTTTTAGAGGGCTTAATTTCTGTCTTAATACAGTTAAGCTGAAGTCAAAGAAGAACCAATTTTTATTCTTGGTATTTAACCCCCAATGTTCCTCGGAATTATTGGGTTTTCCTTGTTTCCAGAGAAGGCAGCCAACTCTTCTGAAATATCATCTTAGTTCTCTCAGGGTTCAACATCTAAAAGAGAAATAGATTTCTGAGGCACAACCCGTTCTGGGAACAGTGGCCCAGTTCCTGACCCTGCAGGCATGTTTCTTTCAGTCTGCAGTTTATTCTCACAGTATGGATGCAATGAGAAAACCTTTCTGCACAAGGCCTATGGAGAAAACATGAAAACTGGCACCAAAGAATCAGCTGCCATGGGAAGAATGAAAATGCTCGCTTTCTAGGGCCAGCATTGTGCTGCAGGAGTGAAGCCAACATCCACCTCAAGCTTTAGTGGGTAACTTGGACTCTGTCCAGGACAGTGTGACTGACCAGTGCTTTCCAGAAATTGTCAAGGATCAAATCTCAGGCTTCTTCCTTTCAGTGCTTGTTAAAGGTTCTAGAGTAAATGTGAATTACTCTCTTCATCTTAATGATCCATTCCAGGTATCCATCCACTGGAGAATCGTGCTCTATGATAACATACGGGTATACATGCTCTCTCTCTCTCTTCCTCTCCCCCACTCTCTCCCACTAGGCTGAAACACATGAATCTTTTAGTTCCCCAAATGCTGTCACAAAGTCTATGATTGAAAATCTCTAGTTTGGCCCTTCCTTTAGGAGTATTACAAATCTCCTCAGTGCTTCAGCAAAGAAGTTGTTGAATAGTCTTGTTCTCTACTTAGGAAAGGCAGTTTCAAGGTTTAATAACCCTCTACATTGTCTTAGAAGTAGCCACAGCAAGTACGATGGTCCAGATGACCAGTCAACAGAGGGACAAGCAGGCCACAACTTTTCAAAGCTAGAAAAAGAGATTCGGCAATGTATATTTTTAGTGCTTGAGTCTTTTATCATTCTATCCCCAGAATTAGCTTTTTCTTGGCTAGAGTCCAGAAATATCAACCTACCATCTGGGCAGAGAGGAATTCTTATTATTACCACAGATTGGAAGAATGTATCTCAGGAATTTATTGTTTCCGTATCACAAGATAGAACTTCCTTGCCTGGAAGCCATCTCTGAATACAAAGCGTCCATTCAGTTAGTCAGTGTGAGATTCCCCCACCAGAGGGATAAATGCTGTCTAGATTCCATGGGAAGGAGTGGGCTGCTGCTTTCCTGATTGCAGTTTTGGTTGAGAAGGTTGTTCTTCCCTGCTGAGATGGCTGGCTGACTTCACCAGTCAAGGTAAGTGCTTTGTGTACTGCTGGGGTGGCATGTGTCTCCTTGCATCATCCGAATCCATGAAATGTCAATGTCATCAACAGTCTGAAATAGGTCCTGACTGAAAGAGTAAGACAAAGGCTTGCAACTTCAATTTGCCAGGCATCGCTGCAATTGTAATACTGAGCCACTTATTAAAAACTAAGTGGTTTCTGTCCTGTAGTAAAGGGCAGAATGTGATCATCAATGTCCCATTGGAAGAGTTGATCAATTTCCTGGAACAGTGAGAAACATGACCTTGATCAGCTCCATCACATGGCGTGGGGTTAGGACACTCGGATGATCTGTGTCATTGCTTCTTCATCGGCTTGGTTTGGATCCTAGAGACAAAGATGACATGATGATTAAAGTCCTTTGCAAAAGCAACAGGAACTCATGGCTCTCACTACTTATCCCCCCAAGAGAATACACATAACTTTACCAAGTAAATCAAAGGCTTGTAATACATCTTAAGTCTGCATACATGGCTTAAAGTGTAGCCCCATTAGGAAAGAAGAGACAATAAACCTTATTCTTAAAATAATTTAAAGTCTGGCCTGCACTCCATGGTGAAACACTGCAGGGCTGTTAGTGTATCTCTTTCCTAAGAACCTTGTGTTGTTCTCTATACTTAAGGGTTAAGAGTATTCAGATTCAGGTGTCTAAGGAAAAGACCCAGAGAAACCATGTCATGCTGTATTTTTGTCACTGTTTTTTGATCATCATTTAAATACTGAGTACTTAGCAGGGCTAGAAAGAATCATTAGAATCTATACACTTTAATGTACTCGTTTTACAGATAAATCTGAAGGCCAGATGGGTAAAGTGATTTGCGTGGACTAGGGTCAGGGTCAGAAAGTTAGGAGTCCAGCAAGGGCTAACTCCCAAATCTCCTGACTCCCATTTCATCTTCTTTCCACTAAACTCTATATGCTGTTTCTCACTTAAGACCTACCGTGTTAACACAAGGATAAATCCTTGGAAGCTTTTTGCAACACTCCGCAAGAACCACCTTTAGTTCCCCCATACCAAGGCTCTGAAGCCTTGGTAGGCAGGATCTGAGAAAAAGCTGAAAGCCTTCTGGAGATGGAAGACTGGAACTGGGTCTTGAACAATGAGCAAAAACAACTAGCATTTACTGAACTCACCATGCACTAGGTATGGTGCTACACAGATGCCTAATGTGGATTACTGAATGAAATCCCTACAACATTGCTGTGAAGTATCAACAGTATTCCACTTTACAGATAAAAATAAAAGAGGCTGAATTGACCAAGATCATATTGTTAGCACACAGAATGAGGAGAGTTCCTGGCACAATGCCCTCCTGCCACAATAGCTGTCAGGCCCACATTCATACACCGTTATGAATGAATAGCAATGAGAAAGGAGGGGCTCTCACACTACAGGTGAGGATTAATAGCACTGAAAGAGTTGTTAGTGTTCATGTGTGGGGACACTGAGGAAACCTAGTTTGATTGTTGAGGGGGTGATAAGGCAAAGTTGCTTAGATGTTATACAGAAATAGTTTGAGATTTGATGCAGTTAAGAAATGAGAACTATTAATAGCATGCATCCTTGACCTGGGGACTGGCAGGTTAAAAAAAACACTTTAACCATGTACTGTATAAGTACTATATAAGGCCAATTAGAGGAGACTGGAGATTAATTTGATGGATATTGCAATAGTGCAAGTGGAATGTGATGTTAATATAGAATGGAGTATCAGCAAATGGGAGGAATCTATTAATTCAAGAAACACTGATTGCTTGGTTCAGAACTGGATACTAAACCCAACAAATACATCTAAGTCAGTACTTAAATACAACTTACTTAAATAGAATTAAGTCCAATAAATATAACAGAGAACGAAACAATCCTCTACCCTCTATACAACTTACAGTCTAGTGAAGGAAACAATCTTGAAAAATTCAACAACTTAAATATTATTACACTGTAAAGAAAAGGGCCAAGTGCAATGGTGTGCGCCTGTAATCCTAGCACTTTGGGAGGCCAAGGCGAGAGGATCGCTTGAGCCTAGGAGTTTGAGACCTGCCTGGGCAACAAAGTGAGACTCCATTTCTACAAAAAATTTAAAAATTAGCTGGGCATGGTGGTGCGTGGCTATAGTCCCAGCTACTCGGGAGCCTAAAGTGGGAGGATCACTTGAGCTGGGAGGTCAAGACTAAAGTGAGCCATAATCACACCACTGCCTCCAAAAAAAGAAAAGATGTTGTAAGAACATACTGAGAGAGAAGAGATCTATTCTAGATAGGGTATTTAATTAAACCCAGACCTAACAGATAGGGAGATAGACATGCATGAAAAAGATAAAGGGCATACAGACTGAAAATTCTAAGGACAAAGACCCGTGGCAGGAAGTAGACCAATGAACAGTAAACAGCAGCATAGAGACCAAGAAGTAGAAATGCAGTTAGAGGTAGACAGGAGCTGGAGCATGTAAGGCTTTGCTGGGCATAGTAGTAAGCACTTTGGATGTCAGTCTAAGTGCAAATGGGAAAGGGTAGGGGTTGAAGGAGCTTGAGCAGAACAGGGACTTGATAGGATAAACATTTTAAAAAGATCACACTAGGATGTGGAGAGTAGGCTAGAGGGGAACAAAAGTGGAAGAAGGGAAACCAAATTAAGCAGCTATTTTATAAATCTAAGCCAAAGAAGAGAGGATTAGACCAGGCTCACATCAGTTAGAAGGGAAAAAAGTAAACATTCAAATTATATTTGTGATGGGGTAATAAAACCTGTTCAATAAAAATAAAACTTGTTCCTTGAAAATTAAGAAAAGTGTGATTTTCAAGAAAGAATGAATAGTAATAAGTGACAAAGACGAAGAGCATCTCAACCCTCCAAGTAGCTGGGACTACAGGCATGCATCACCAGGCCTGGCTAGTTTTTGTATTTTTTTGTAGAGATGGAGTTTTGCCATGTTGCCCAGGCTGGTCTTGAAATCCTGGGCTTCCCACCTCAGCCTCCCAAAGTGTTGGGATTACAGGCATGAGCCACCAAGTCTGGCCTAGTGGTTTTAAGATAAAAGATAATCTAAAGAGACATAAGATTGCATCCAGTTTAGAGAATGTGAGTAGTCCCAGAGTAGGAAAATAGCAAGAGGACACTGCTGAAGGCTTCAACTCAAGTCAATACAAGGTAATAAAGAGAAGAATAAAATGTATATGTCTTCCTACCTGCATATGGGGACTATCCTTTTCCTTTGGAGAGAAAAATCGTCCACCTTCACCACGCTTCCGTGCCATGGCATGACGGTGCCGAGACTCATGCAGGTATTTCTAAAACGAGAAATAAAACCATTTAACTATTAATACTATCCAGAACCAGCACAGTTATCTAGTGCACAAATTCCATTCTCCAAAGTTTAAGACAGCTGGGATCAAAGTCACAAGGGACAATTATGACTTAGAATGACGATGGAAGCTTTGGAGAAAACACCTAGTAAGTAATATAGCTAACCATATATAACTACTGTAAGACTGTGAATGCTTATAGTATGAATTTTTTTTAAAAAAAATAACAGACTACCACCTACACTTCACAATATATACACTTTCCTCTGCTTTAATAACAGGCCAAATTTCGTTTGAGCAAATGAGTGTTCAGTAAAAAGACTTTCCTAGCATTAAAGTTTATTATTATTATTTTCTAGAAACAGGGTTTCACTCTGACACCCTTGCTGTTGGACTGCAGTGGCATGATCATGAATCACTGCAGCCTTGAATTCCTCGGCTCATGTGATCCTCCTGCCTCTGCCTTCCAAGTAGGACTACAGGCATTTGCCACCACACCAGGCTGGACTTTCCTAGCCTTATCTGCATGTTAGGTGTGATCAGGTAACTAAATTCCGGCTAGTGGAAGGTACACAACTTCTTCAAAGTTTCCTTGAAAGAAAGGGTACCTGGCCGGGTATGGTGGCTCACGCCTATAATCCCGGCACTTTGGGAGGCCCAGGCAGGTGGATCACCTGAGGTCAGGAGTTCGAGACCAGCCTGGCCAACATGGTGAAACCCCGTCTCTACTAAAAACACAAAAATAAGCTGGGCGTGGTGGCGCACACCTGTAATCCCAGCTACTCAGGAGGCTGAGGCAGGAGAATCACTTGAACATGGAAGGTGCAGGTTGCAGTGAGCTGAGATTGTGCCACTGCACTCCGGCCTGGATGACAGAGCAAGACTGAGTCTCAGGAAAAAAAAAAAAAAGAAAGGGTACCTTTCTTGTTCCCTTTCTTCCTAGGCTGGAGCCTAAGCAGGAATCTTGGACCATGAACAGCACACTAGCAATATTAAAGCAGTGAAACAGGTCTTGAGAACTGTGAAAATGTGCTACCAGTCCAGGATAATTTATCTCTGGACTACTTTTATGTATGAAAAGGAATAACATCTTATTTAAGCCACTGTTTGTTTTCGTTATTATAACTGCAGCTGCATATTAGTAATAACAAATGCTAACTCTTACAAAAGAGACAACAAGTATCTAACGTCAATTGTTTGGAAGGTACGTGAGAAAACAAGCCATATAAAAGATAATTTCAAAAGTAGAACCCTGCTATTCTCCTTTCCTATATCCTTCCCAATGTTATACATACCCTTCTCTCCTTTGGAATTTTCCCTTCTGCCTCTAGTTTAGCTCGGGCTTGCCTCCTCTTAAGAATACGGTGGTATTGTTTGGCATTCACGTAGAGAGGCTCTTCTTCAAGCATCTCTGCTCCAGGTAGAGGGATTCTTTGGATAGCAGGCACAGAGCCAGCCCCAGGAACCATCTGTGTGAACAGGAAACCAGAGCTTATTGGTGGCATGAAGTATGGACATAGAAACAGTTTCTTGGTTCCTCTTCATCCATTTTTTTTGTAAATGCCACAAAAAGTAATTTTTATAGGGTACTTGGGTAAATGCGGATCCCTGGAGAAATTTATACTAAAGATCTGCACTTTAAACAAACACCCCAGATGACTGTGTCATAGGAGATTCAGGTGCCACTCTGAGAAACTATATAACCATGCCCTAATTCATGTCCACCCATGGCTCTAGATATTTCTGCTGCCATCTAATGGTCAGGAACAGTAGTCATAAGACAAAAAAACAGCACAAAAATAGATAGACCAAGTGCTACTAAATGCCTATATTTATAAAAATAATAGTTAACTTATAATTCAATCCTAATTTTTCTTAAAAAACACCAAAACACTGTACTAAATGTAGGTAAAAACAAGTAACAGAGTCCTGTACCCCACAGCTCTTTCCCAAATACAACCGCTTTGAATAACTGTATTGAATCTTTTATAAAAATTATTTATTTTTCATTCAATTCGTAGAAACGAGGTCTCTCTACATTGCCCAGGCTGAGCTCAAACTCCTGGACTTAAGCCATCCTCCTGGATTAGCCTCCCAAGTAGCTAGGACTACAGGTGCATGCCACTGAGCCAGGGTTGGTTCTGTTTCTTTTCATAGCTTCCTCCACCTCTGTGCAGACTTCTGTTACTCATTCTTAATTTATGCATTTTAACATCCTATTTTGACATATGAGGATTTAGCTTTCAGTTACACCACCCAAATCTTCCTATCTTCCCAATACATTTACATGACACTTTTTTTTTGGTTTCTCTATCAATTACAATCTTTCTAATTTTTAGCTTATTTCTTATTTTGTCCATCATGGGCAATACTACTTTCCACTTCTCAAAGATTAGTATATAATTCCCTTCGTTATTTGAATTCTGAAAAGAATTCCATAAAATCACTATTTATCCATTGCTTTATCTCCAGCATCTAGAATAGTCCCTGGTGAATAGTCCCTGGCACATAGTAGGTGCTCAGAATGAATTATGGTTTGTCATAATGTTATTGTCAAAGTAGATTACCGACAGTGCCTTAAGGATCGATCTCAATCCCAAGAGGTCAACATAATAAATTTTAGGAGGCATCAAGTTGCATGTTCAAGAAAATTTCAAAGACAAAGCTGAAAAATACATTTTCTTACCATGACCATCCCTCCTGAATTGACCACATTGCCTGCCACTGGTAGTGTCACAGTGACAGTCCCTTGCCCACTGCTGGTTGTGTTGGTATTGGCTCCTGTTTGAACAATCTGTGCTCCTGCCAAACTGGCTGCTGGGATAGTGATCATGCCTGAAACAGGGACTGTAACTTTAAGAAAACAAAACATAAAACAAACAAAAAACAGGCACACAGAACAGAAAGAAGGGAACATAGTTAGTCCCTCTTCTATCTGGTATACACTCACCGATCCTGGCAAAACACACTGAAAAACACAAGGGGAGAAAAAGTACTCTCCCACTGTGGTGTGCTATATATAATCTAAGTAATCACAATCTTTGAAATTCTATTAACTGTCTAGGTCCCAGTTTTGAGTAACTCTATCCTTAGCAGTTTTCAAAAGGTGAAAAGGTTTGGAGGCCTCCTCTTCTACAGGTCAGTCTGACTACAGCTATACCTACTGCTCTTGTACATAATGAGCAATCTGCTTCAGGACAGAGATTTTAAAACTTATACTTTGTTTATCTCAAACTGACAATGAGTCAGTTGTAGTATTAAAACTTAAAATTAAACCAAGCATTCCAAGTCCCCAGACTATCAATAGCAGCACTTGAGGATTTGTTCACCATTCTGTTTGAGCTCTTGCCTGGGCTCAATCCAGTTCAGGGCCTCCCTGGAGTAATACAAGAGCACACAGTTAGTGCACTCTCTGGATCCTGTATATTGCAAATTTGCAATCACAAAGTCATGGAATCTAACAAAGATGTCCTTTTTTGATTTAACTATTTGACTAACAGGTGCTTCCAAAAGCCTTCAAGTTCAGTTTCTGCACTCCTCCTCCCAGACCAAACATCTATTATTTATGTTATCTATTCCTAGAACATACTTCCATGAGGGCCCTGCATTGTATTTATTTGTTCACGTCTTTCTTACTAGACTAGAGGCTCTTTGAGGACCCTTCTTAGTAAAAGTGCTGTATACATAATAGTCATTTAAAGTAATGGAATGACCCAGAAAAAAACATAAGCAGCAATAGCACTCTAAAGCCAACTTGATTTTTGATCTATTTCTCTCTTTACCAATGAACTCCCTATTTCTATTCTTCTGTTTAGAAACACTTCTTCCCTAAAAGCTTACACAATCCCTAGATTAGCAACCACTATAGAAACTGCTACACATGGAATCACTGTTGGTCACAGATGGTGACAAGAAACCAACAATCAATGGAGAGCTAGAGGAAATCTTTTTTTTTTTTGTCCAAAAAATATGTAGTGTCAAGTTCACCACTCAAATTCTAAAGATGTCAGTTGTCTAAGGGACAAAAAAGTTGCCCCAAAAAGTCCTAGGGAAGCTTATGGGTACACTTACCTTGCTGGAGAATGGTGCCATCTGCATTAACTGGTTGATAGACGATGGTCTGCCCTTCAGCAGTCTGTGCCACTTGCTGTCCCTGGACAGCAATCTGCTGCTGTGTCTGGAGGAAATAAGTAATGACACAATTCAACAGATCCCAAAGATACTAACAAAGAACGATGTAGTCCTTAAAAAAAAAAATTATTTTTTTGAGACAGAGTCTCACTCTGTCGCCAGGCTGGAGTGCAGTGCAGTGGCGCAATCTCAGCTCACTGCAACCTCCGCCTCCTGGGTTCAAGCGATTCTCTGCCTCAGCCTCCCGAGTAGCTGGGATTACAGGCATGCGCCACCATGCCCACCTAATTTTTGTATTTTGACGGGGCTTCACCATGTTGGCCAGGATGTTCTTGATCTCTTGACCTTGTGATCAGCTTGCCTCGGCCTCTCAAAGTGCTGGGATTACAGGCATGAGCCACCGCGCCCGGCCAAAAATATATTTTTTTATGGTTTTCATCCCCTTTTCTACTATACATGCTATACATGAAATATCTGACTCAGTTATCTGACTCTTCCAAATCAGTTTTGCTCCTGTGTGACAGAGCTAGTGGAATTACCTGAGTCTGGCCAGCAGTGACAGCCGTCTGGGGCTGCTGGATGATGATCTGCTGGGTCTGGCCCTGCTGGCCCTGCACCTGCACAGCCTGTCCACCCTGGATCTGGATCTGTCCAGGTGGGACCAACTGTATCTGCAGAAAAGAACATAAAAAAAGGATTGTACTCTACTGACACTGGTCTCCTTTGGTCCCCGAGAGTTATCCACATTTCTCTAGAAAGCAGAAAATGTTCTGAAGAGGAAAAAAGAAGTCCTGCTCTGCCCTCCATTATGAAGTAGACACAACTTATTTTCCATTTATGAAACAAATAGGGAATTTCGACACTGTCTGGATACCTGATATTAACAAATCAATGTCGGTTTTTATGAAAGATAGCAGTGGTATGATTATATATATTGAAAAGCATGCATATTTAAAATACACTCTGGGCTGGGTGTGGTGGCTCACGCCTGTAATCCTTGCACTTTGGAAGGCCGAGGTGGGTGGATCACTTGAGGTCAGGAGTTCGAGACCAGCCTGGCCAACATGATGAAACCCTGTCTCTACTAAAAATACAAAGATTAGCCGGGCATGGTGGTGCATGCCTGTAATCCCAGCTACTTGGGAGACTGAGGCCGGAAAATCACTTGAACCGGAGGCGGAGGTTGCAGTGAGCCGAGATCACGCCACTGCACTCCAGCCTGGGCGACAGAGCGAGATTCCGTCTCAAAAAAATAAAAAAATAAAATACACTCTAAAGTGCTTTATTATTATTTTTTAATCTTGCCATTTTGGTGAATGATGAAGTACTTTTTTACAGAGGAAATACTATATATATTAAAAATGCTGAAAGCCGGGTACAATGGCTTATGCCCATAATCCCAGCACTTCAGGAGGCTGAGGCGAGCAGATTAGGTCAGGAGTTCGAGACCAGCCTGGGCAACATGGCAAAACCCTGTATCTACTGAAAAATACAAAAATTATCCAGGCATGGTAGGACATGCCTGTGGTCCCAGCTACTTGGGGAACTGAGGTGGGAGGATCATTTGAGCCTGGGAGGCAGAGGTTGCAGTGAGCCAAGATCCGCACCACTGCATTCCAGCCTAGGCAACAGAGCGAGTAACTGTCTCAAAAAAACAAACAAAGAAAAAACCCAAAATGTATTCTACTCTAGTCAAATGTGACTGCAGCCCAGGACAACACCTTGATAAGGGCCTTGAGAGGACCTTGAAAGAATCCAACACAGCTGTGTCAGGATTCCTAACTCACAGAAACTATAAAATAAATTTTTTTTTTTTTTTTTTTTTTGGAGACGGAGTGTCGCTCTGTGGCTCAGGCTGGAGTGCAGTGGTGTGATCTTGGCTCACTGCAAGCTCCGCCTCCTGGGTTCATGCCATTCTCCTGCCTCAGCCTCCCGAGTAGCTGGGACTACAGGCGTCCGCCATCACGCCTGGCTTAATTTTTTTTTTGTCTTTTTAGTAGAGACGGGGTTTCACTGTGTTAACCAGGATGGTCTCGATCTCCTGACCTTGTGATCCACCCGCCTCGGCCACCCAAAGTGCTGGGATTACAGGTGTGGGCCACCGCACCGGCCAAATGTTTGTTGTTTTAAGCTGCTAACTTCTAGGATAATTTGTTATATGGTAATAGATAATTAAGGCAATGTGACAGATTATATTCCTCCTATTAGTTTCCAATTACCAATACTCACTACTGTCATTAATGTTTGTCAAATTTTTGTTGATTTAATTTGTATCTCCTATTTGGTCCTAGGATTGGATAGCTAAACCTTATAAAGCAATTATGGAAAGCAAGGGATCGTGTGCTATCCAAATCTATCTTCTTTCTTTTTTTTAATGGCTATAGCCACTTTATTAGGAGTGTTATCAGAAACCTGACAAGAAGCTTGAAAAATATTTCTCTAAATTTTGGAACTAAAAAACTGCAATACAACCCTTTAAATGTTGGGTGTACAAAATCCTATTTTCATATAACTAGTGAACACTTTTTTTTTTAAGTGCAAAAGAGAAAGCAGTGAGGAGAGCCCCATAGCTCAAAATGTCTTGTATTTTATATTCAAGAATACCTCCCAAACTTAAAAGCCAGAATACATGGCTAGTACTAAGTAACCTTCTCTTTGCTTCTTTGACCATTAATTCCATCAACAAACTTTTTTTATTTGAGCATTGCTTCAACATAGATGGCAGTCTGGAAGGAGGATACTTTCAGAAAGATAGATTTTTATAGCCAGGTCACTTTCCATCCATAATTTCAACTTGGGACCACCTTGGTCTGGAAAGAAGAACATGCCTAGAACCTTAAGTTATCACAAAGTCTACCAGCTGATAGGAAAAAGGACTACTGATGGAAGGAAGGTGAAAAAAACAGGTCAATGGGTTCCATGTCTTAGAGACATTCATGGATCCTACTTTGTTAGGGGATAGATTGCCTAGGTCTTCTGAATTATTTTTTCCAAATACTCAGCTCATAATTGGCATTCAGAAAGTATTGGCAAATAAATAAGTAAACAAATTTATCTGGTTATGTGAACCAACTTCATTTCTAAGTTTATATTGGCTGTTAGGATTTCCTCTTCCATCTATTCATATTCTTCGCCCATTTTCCTATTTTTGTATAAATACATAAACGTTATTTATACATATTCTGAATACAAACTCGGTTGTATGTATTAAAAATATCTTTTCCAAGTTTTCACCTTGTTTACTTTTATTTGATGTATTTCAATGCATATTATGTTTTAGTCAATTTGTTTTTAAAAATATCCTTCTCTATAGCATAAAAATTCTTATATTTTCTTTTGAATTTTCCAAGTTTACTTTTCTACATTTAGATCTTTAATCCACCTAGCAAATATTTTTTAAAATACAGTATGAATTAGAAATCAGTTTCTTTTCTGTATCATTCTTCAGCCATTTCTTCATTGATATGTTTATACCACTTTTATTATATGCCAACTTCCAATATTCTTCTATCTATTTCTTGGCTGTCTCTCTGGTTCCAGTATCTTTCTCAGGCCAAGGATTTTAATCTAAAATTATATGCAGAATTTTTCATGAGACTGGACATCTCTACTTTTTCTTAGAGGGTGCAAGCTTTACTAGGATTCTAAAATAGAGAATACAATTCAAAAAAGGTTAAGAAGTAGTCTTCTTTAAAAAATGGCTACTCAACACTAATGAGAAAAAAAACTCCTATACAAAGGGGATTAAAGCCTTAAGTATTGTAAGGGAGGCTATGGAATCTCACCTAGAGAGCTTTATTTACGTAACAGAATATATTTTTTTCAGCTTGGTTAGTTATAGCCCTACTTGGAAGCAGGGAAATAACTATTTGAAGGTTCCTTATAGCAAAATAAAACCCCATAAAAATCACAGAATTTAGAGCTAGAATGAACCCTAGATATCATCTCATATAAATTTTATTTTTGGATGAGCAAACCGACAATTAAATAACTTGGCCAAGATCAGAATGCTTATTTAATGGCAGACCTGGTAATGAAAGCTTGGACCACTACACTCACAGTATACTGTTCCTAACTATACCACATTGTCTCTACTCAACAGTGGAGAAGGCGCAGCAAGGGGGACTGGAGAGGAAGCAAAGAGAGAAGAACAGAAAGGATATAGCAATAGGGAATCAAGGAAAGCACATGCTGAAAAGATATTTAAAGCCTCATATATTTATGCAAAGAGAAATGTGAAAACTATTTTTAATCCCAAGTACAATTCTATCTTGGCAAAAATATGCCAGTGGGCTCAAATATACTCTTACCCTTTACCCAAGCAATCCCCAATCCAAAGAAATTATCCTGAGAATTCAGTTGAAAAATAAAACTATCGTGCCCAAATGTTTACCTACAAAGGCAAATGAAAACCAAAATCCTTAACTATATTTTATAAATTAGAAATTCTGATTCATCAAGTTGACTGAACATTATGAAAGAATTAAAAAAAAAAAATGAAAACACAACCCCACATGCATGGTACAATTATGCCCAAAAATTATGCATAAAAACACAAAAGAATACACAAAAAGTACAAGTTTGATTTATGAGCAGTGGGATCATGGCTGCTTTTTTCAACTTAAATTCCTCCAGAAAACTAAGACATTAATATGACTGCTGTAACTGTTGAAACAATATAAACATTTAGATAGAGTAACTAATAGTTATCTCATACTCTCTTTTCCATGACTATAAACATATACTCATGGGGGGTTGGTTATGAATTACAAAGATGAGATCACACACTATTTCTCTGCAAATTATTTCCACTAAAAATATTTCAATATTAACCCACCCCAAGTCAACAGTTCATTTCTTTTAATGATGATGCAATATTCCCTATGAATATATTATGATTTATTCCAACCATTTCCTTATTCTTATTAATGGACACTCAGATTGCAATTTTATTTTTTGCTAGTACAATGCTATGAAAAGTGTCTTTGTAATTTCCCCCTACTATTGATGCTTTTCTTCCTATAGGACAGATTCTCAGAAGTGGGACTGCTAGCTCAAATATTCATTGTATTTAACAGATAGTGAGGTGCCTTTCCAAAATAACTCTACAGTTTTAAATTACCAAAAATAATGATTAATTCTTTTTCTCCACATCCATCCTAACAGTGGATATAATGACTTTTTGTTTTTTTTTGCCATCTCGATGAGAAATATCTAATTTTAAAATATGATGCCACAGAGTTGTATGTAACATTTCTACATATTTCTGTTAATCTCTTCTTTTTTTTTGAGACAGAATCTTGCTCTGGTGCCCAGCCTGGAGTGCAGTGGCACAATCTTGGCTTACTGCAACCTCCGCCTCCTGGGTTCAAGATATCTTATGCCTCAACCCCCCAAGTAGCTGGGATTACAGGTGCGTGCCACCACGCCCGGCTAATTTTTTATTTTTAGTAGAGATGGGGTTTTGTCATGTTGGCCAGGCTGGTCTTGAACTCCTGGCCTCAAGTGATCCACCTGCCTTGGCCTCCCCAAGTGCTGGGATCACAGGCATGAGCCACTGCGCCTGGCCTTCCTTTAATCTCTTCTACATCTTTGCTTACTTTTGTTTTCTGTTTCTCAATCAGTGTTTCAACTGGATTTACCTGTTTTATTGGTCTGCTTAAACAATCTAGATTTTATTTATCCTTTCTATACGTCAGTTTTCTACTTAATTAATTTGGACCCACTTTTTGCTCGTTTTGTTATTTTTCTAACTTTCTAAATACTCATTTTTGTTTCTTTTAAAATAAAATATACTATAAACTAGATTCTAACCTCTTCATATACTTTACAGCAATTCAAGATCATGCCTAATATCTTAGTCATTACTGGAGCTGTCCAATTTCTGCATAGTTCTAGTTTATATCACTGGTACTATAAAGGCAGAAAATCAACTGAATGCAAAATGTGGGTTAGGAAGCAGTTAAATGCAATATCAATTATCAAATAGGTTGTAATAATCTATTCTTTGAAACCTCTCCTCTGATATACTGCTCAATATTTTTAAATATTACTCACTTGCTGCAAACCCTGTGTTCCAGAAACAGGTACTTGCATGATGGTTTGACCTTGTCCACCAGGGACAGCCTGGACCATGATGGGTTGGCCAGTTGATGTGATTAGCTGGCCTCCACTGACCTGCACCATTAATGGCTGCCCTTGGACCTAGAATGAAATAAAATAAGAACAATGAAATAACATAAGACACAAAATGGTTTTTACCAAAAGACAATCACTGGAACTATTCTGCTGCCTTGCTAGAAAAGGAAAAGGTAGAAAAGACTAAGAAAATATATGTCTCAAGTCCTCAAGTTATCTTTAAATATCTATGAATCCTGTTACTAAATGCCAAGCTCAATACTTTAAGGTCAGACATAATGGAGAATATCCAGAGTCTTTGAGAAGTCTCAATAGATATAAGGCATTTGTCACCAAACACGGGCTAAATCCATGACAAACATTTAATCATAATGGCAAGGTTAGTTGCCTGTTTAAACCAATCCAGGAATGGTCTGTAGTGAAGGCTGGAGAGAAGGCAATGAGAGGGAAAGGTGATGGTGGTGATGGTGGTTGAGTACAAATTCTAAATAAAGTGAAGAAGGTAAATCAAACTGTACCCAGCAATGACTCTAGGAGGCTGGGTAGCAAGCAGCTCTGGAAGCTTATGTAGAGGATGACCCTTTTTTCCCTACAGTCTCTCAAGCTAAAATGAAATGTCAAATGTATACCTTTATCCTGCTCATTTTACTCTGTGAATTCTAGATATGTTTGTTGTTTAAACTCACTACTAAAGATTTCTTAAAAGCACTTTCTGGTCAGTTTGCAGTCTCCATGGTGGAATTCCTCACTGGCCTCTATAATATCCACATGGTTATTTTAGCTTTATCAGAAGCAACAACAAATATTGAAATTACACAGAGCAGTCAAGTGTACAAATTTCAAGCTCCTATGAGTAAACAGACTACTGTAGGAGCCAGGTCACTACAAGTGCTCTGTCACATCTTAAGTCCCAATACAAAAATACCTAATAGAATGCTTTCTGGAAGCACTTTAAAAGTGCTTTAGAAGTAAACTGTAATGATCCATGGAATAGTCCAAAATTTTCATTTTCAGACTCTATCTTTGACAGAAATTACTTAGAACAGAATATTCATGACTGAAATATTCACACTTAATGAAAGTATGTGCAAGTAACAGCAATTAGTTAACAGATCATTCTGTCCTAGATGAGTAGGTTAGATAGTAAGGTCCTCCTACAATCACCACCACCACCGCCGCCACTGCCACCACCACTAATGTATTAGAATCACCAGGAACATTGAAATCCTAAGTTTTGTTAAACTGTCCATTGAGAACCTTTACTTTACTTTTTTAAGGACTTTACAGCCTGACTCTCTCATGCTATCTCTTTCCCTTATTTCCCCATTCCAAATCAAATCCCCTTTGCTACACCAAATGCTTGCATATTCTGTATCAAGAAAGATTTCTCAGAATACATATAGCAAGAATAACCAAAATAACTATTTAAAATTCTCCCAAAATAATCAGATCCCTAGAGGAAAGGTTTCTATTATTTCCATAAAGTGTTTCCACTTCTTTTAAATAAAATCTATGTAAGTAGGAAACACAAGTTTTAAGATACAGCTATTAATAATTTTCTATCTATTCATCATCTTAATTTCCTCCCCAATTGATGTGCTATTCGTGCACATGATAAATGATTTGAGACTCCAAAGAGCTCACTGTATTTACAACAGAAAAATGTTACAAAGACACATGCATCAAACAAGAAGCCATACAGTTAAGAGCATGTTACATTCCTATTCCACAAGGGGTTAATGACAATCCAAAATACTGTTTTATATATGAGTAAGATGAAGCAAGCATGAAAAACATTAACAAGCTGTTGGACTGTGAGATTTGAACACAATTTTGGAATGCCTACAAGCTCAGTTTCTTTCGGCTTAATTTATGTTCAAAGTTGGCTGTACATCATTACCAAACACTATTGGTGGCAGGGGTAGGGGTGGGATTGAAAGGATAAAGTGATGACAATAAGAGGTAGTTATCTGCTGGATGCTTAGCAGCACTAGCAATAAAGTGAGATGCCAGTTCTACATTCTAGATTCTACTTTGAATCATTTCTAATTCAATGGAGGGAAAAAGTAGGGTACCCAAATCTTGCCAATTTCTCAAAAATAGAGTTATTTTAATAAAAGTAACCTACATACACAGAGTAGACTAGTGCTGCTACTCCTGTGTTTTATAGGAACTGGCCAAATTAGAACCCAATTTAGGATACTTAGCCATACACGATGCTAAAGAACTGTATTGATTAACCAAGAATTATCACAGTGGCTTTAACACCTAAGACTTACAGAAAGCACATCCTGCTTCTGCCTAACCAAGAGGTATCTGGGGTAATCTTTGCAGATCTAGTAATAAGACAGGTCACTATTCCCCCAGGAAAGGTAGTGGAAACAATAGCAGTTAACAAGAGATTAACAAGATTCAGTGCTTAGATAAACCTTGCCAAGTGCAATGATTATTTTTCAGTTGAGTTGCCCCTTGAATAAAAATAAAGCACAGCCTAGCCTAGTTTATGTGTGTCTGTATATGTATATATTTCCTTCTCCATTGTAACACAAATACACAAAATTTTTACCATGCAATTAATTGGATCAGAGTGTGAGCCCTGAATAAATTCTTTTTTTTTTTTTTGAGACGGAGTCTCGCTCTGTCACCCAGGCTGGAGTGCAGTGGCGCAATCTCTGCTCACTGCAAGCTCTGCCTCCTGGGTTCACGCCATTCTCCTGCTCCAGCCTCCCAAGTAGCTGGGACTACAGGTGCCCGCCACCATGCCCGGCTAATTTTTTTGTATTTTTAGTAGAGACAGGGTTTCACCATGTTTGCCAGGATGGTCTCGATCTCCTGACCTCGTGATCCGCCTGCCTCGGCCTCCCAAAGTGCTGGGATTACAGGCGTGAGCCACCGCGCCCGGCCGAGCCCTGAATAAATTCTAATGTCACTTATAAGAATTTCTTCCTGTCACTTATACCATTTCTTTTCCAGGCATTCTCAAAGAAACATGCTAGTCAAATCCAATTCTCAGAAAGTTGATACGGGGTCTCTATATGACTTGGCATGAAATATTAGGAAACTGGCATCTTATAAGCCTCAAAGACAAGTTAGCAGCATCAAAGACATGCAACTGACTTTGCCATTCCTACTGGAGATCCTAACACAAACAGCACCAGACATGAGGAGAGGAGAAGTTCATGCAGTGCTCACAGAGAATCAGAGAGGGTACCACTACCTGGAGGGTCTGGACTTGCTGGCCTGAGGCGGATGCCACCTGGGCCTCAGTCTGCAACTGCACAGCAGTGACACCACCCTGCTGCTGAGAACAGGAACAGGAAGAGCTTGAAATATGTCAGGAAGGAAATGTGTAGTTCAAGACACAGATCACCTTACCTCTTGGAGGAGAGAGACGGAAGCCTGAAGGACTTTCAAAATGTACAGACTCCCTATATTGAAGCTGTTTTGTTGAAGGTAGTAGGATTAAAGATATTAGCCCTTTGTCTCCAGAGTGGACCTCAAAAATTTGACTCAAAAACTCAAAACAGTTGTCATCATTAACACAAAGATTTGTAATGCAATCTTTCCCTCCAGAAACAGGAATCTGACACTTCTACTTACACAATTGTTTAATGCCCTTTTTATCTCCTCAGATGAGTTCACAAGAAAAAAATGATTAGGTTTTAATAGCCCTGAAACTACCATAAAAAATTCTGGGCTTAAATGCAATCACCAAGAAAGGAGGAGTAATTAATCACTATGAACCGAAATCATCTTCATGACGTCAATGCTCTCATGTCCCAAAACTAAGATTCTTTTTTTTTTAAACTTTATTTATGTACTTATTTTGAGATGGGGTCTTGCTGTTTTGCCCAGGCTGGTCTTGAATTCCTGGGCTTAAGCCAACCTTCCTGTCTCAGCCTCCAGAGTAGCTGGGATTACAGGCATGCAGCACCATGCCCAGCTTCAAAACTAAGATTATTTCTACCCAACTGGACTGCTTTAAGAGCCATGTTTTCAATGATTCAACCTTATTTTTACATCCACTAATGGCAAATTCTGAAAGAATAAAAACCCACCCTCCAGGGCACTGGTGTGAATGGAGGGCCCTTTGTGGAATCCCTTCCTCTAAAAAGGCAGTTGAAGGAAACTGCCAGAGCCACAGCAGCTGTATGGAAGGGAAAGCTATCAGGGGAGTTCGTCTTTGATCATTAGACGGGAAAAACTCATCATCAATACTACCTTTCCCTTCCCTACTACTTTTCTATATTAGCTAAATTCCATTTTGAAAACAAAGTATTTCCAAAATATCAATCTTGGCCTAAGGTCAAATAGAAACATAATACATTTTTTTCTTCTGGGGTGGGGAAAAAAGTGAAATTTTACTATAATAAACCCAAGCATAAAGCATCAGAAAATGTAACCTGTGTATAAATTCAAGAAAGCAATCTATTAATTAGGAATAAACCAGCAGCAGGGAATTCCTTTCTAGTATGTCTTATCCATAAGAATGGCTGTCTAAATATTATCCTAATGTTAAACCAGAGCTTTTCTGAATAAAAAATGTGGCAGACCAAATCAAAAAACAGAAGATTTATTGGAAGCTATGTTGGTTTGTCTGTTGTGGCCAAAGACTTACTAAATCACAAGTTAGCTCAAACAAGAAGAGAAAAAGACCAAATAGAATCCAGAAAAATTTTAAAGTCCAAATTTCCATCTGAAAACCAGACTAGATGTTTTTACTTAAAATGAGATAAAAGAGGCAATTTACTATAACCAGGCACCCATGAAGAGTAGATTCTAAGTGGTCATGGGCTAGACATGGCATTTCAGCACAAGCCATCAGACCCAATATCTCACAAGATCTGGTATCTTTCAAATAATTCCCCAGGGCAATAGACCAACCAATTGAGTGGTGCTGTTATCAGTTTCATTGCTGTAATGTTTAAAGCAGTTTTGCTTCCATACCTGCTGCTGAATCTGTCCTGCCTGGACAACAATCTGCTCTGTCGAACTATTGCTGTTTGCTGTATACTGCTCCATGGTCCCTCCAAGTGAGATTCCTGTCCACTCTGGAGATCCTAGAAGGCTGTGAGGTACACTCCTGTTAGAAAGGTGGGGAAAGAAACTAAAGTGAGATTGTCAATAAAGGCCTTACCAGACAATTAACCTGGATAATTTATCACTGTACTTTATTTGCAAGAAAACAGGATAGGAGAATAGGAAATGCTTATATTCAGTATCATTTTTAACTGGGATTACATGGCACAATCATAACAACATAATGCTATTTTCACGTTTCTAAAATGCTTTCAGTATACTGGCAACCTTACCTTTCAATACTGTCAGAGCAATACTTGCACCTAAGAGATACTCGTTAAGCTACATCACTTTGATACAAGGCATACCTAACACTGATTTTCAGGTTTGCACATATACTTTAGAGAATAAAGCTTCTTTAAGTTGTAACACGTAATTGCTTCCCACCAAACATGTTACTCAGGTCCACTACATATGGTAGGCAAAATTTACCCTTCTCATAGACTTTAAGAGTTGAAGATCCACTTTTAAAAATAAGGATACAATTAGATAAACTGAATGATATCTGAGAACCTTTAATAAAGACTTCATTAAAAAATTAAAATGATATAAGTTAGCAATCGGCAATTCATCTTGGAAATATGGGAGGGAGGACAGATATATAAACAAAAATGTAGATAGGTCTTTCTCTCTGATTTTTCACTAGGCCCTCATAAATTCCAACATCTGAATAATAAAATGACGTGACCTAACTGAGCTGCTCATTATCGTGGCAAAGTACAGTACCACTCTCCATAAATCCACACATGCTGGTGGAATTAATCATTTGCAAGGTGTCTCAATACAGTGTGAAAGAAGAAACCAAAATATGTGCAACTATATGTCCAAGTACTTAGAAAGAAGTGTATTGATATCTAAAATTTACTTTGAAATGCATCAAAAAATGGATGAATGGGTGGAGAAATATCTGGTAAGGCAATTATAGTAAGATGTTAATAGACCCTAACTGGCAGGTATACAGGTGTTTATTTTCAAATTCCTTTGATTTCACTGCACACTTGAAAATTCTTATTTCTAGAATAAGAATTTTGAGAAATTCTTATTTCCCAAATGAATGTTGGAATGTTAGGAAAAATATAACAAAATTTAATCAAAATAAAAATTAATCAACCCCATTACTCATAACCAAAATGGATACAACATAAGAATCTATGAGCCATAAATAACAGGCTATGTCATCACAGCAAGAGGACTTGTGGCCATATGGTTCTCCAAAGCACTGCCCTTGATCTAATGGAATGCTCGCTAGGTAAATTTCTAGCTATAATTTGGATTTACATATAGATTGGCCAACAGGGAGCAAATATAATCAGCAACATGACAAACCGGTTTTCTGATTTTTACACCAGTCTCTTTGGAATTGGTTGACTAAGTCTGCTCCTCAGAGATTCTGGGTATAGAATAGAAAATCAGGTTTTCAGCCAGACTGTGAGTCTGTTAGGGGCACTAACAGGCTTCCCTAAATTCTATCTTGTCTCTAATACACAATACATTTATGGCTATAAACTAATAAAATTAAGGTTATGATGTAAACGAATATATATGATTCCATTTATATAAAATCTCCAAAAGACATCAGTAATCTAGAGACAGAAAATGGATCAGTGGTTCCTTGGGAGTGGAGAATACAGGGAGACAGGAAAGAGGGAGGTTGACTGGCATGGAGCCTTAGGAACATTGTAGGGTGATGAAAATGTTTTATATCTTCATTGTGGTAGCAGTTGCACAGGTGTACAAATTTGTCAAAACTCATCAAAATACACATTTAAAATTATTATACTTTGTTTCTAAAGTATCTCTCAATAAATTGATTTTAAAAAATAAGGATCATGAAAGGAATGTCTTTTAGGTTTCAACGCCTCCCCAACTCCAAATTTCCTTCTTATATGAGATTTTTTCCTTGACTAATATCCAGAAGTTTACATCTTTACAAGACTAAATATAACTTGAAGCACATAATGACTAATATATGTAACGTACAGATTTTCTTCTTAACTAGTTTATTCTGGTAATACAAATGAACCAATTTAGCAATATTTAAATTTATACTTTGAAGAGTATCAAGATTTGAAGAGCAGCTTCAAATCTAGCAGCAATTCTCTCTCACATTAATGACAGAGTGATTTAGCCTGTATCATGATATTGATACTGTTAATGGTTAATGCTATAAGCAACTGGCTTCAGTAAAGTCATATGTTCCTACTACTGTGAGCTTCAGTTAGCAAGACTGCAATACAATTCGATAGTCTTTCCCAAAGTGCCTCTTTGCCCAAGATTATGACAAACTAAGCCAGATTTAGTCTGTCTAGCTCTTGCTCTTAACACAAAGTTTTGAATGGTTTTTCCTCAAAGAGAGAGAAACAAATAATAAGTGTTTATTCTGGCTAGCATGAAAATTCTCTTCCTAGTGCATTCTCTTCTCAGTGCAATTCTCTTTGCCCCACTATTCCAAGGTGCAAAAGCTGAGACTTAGCCAACCACTTACTAGGAACCCATTCTATGTGGACCTACACAAACTCCAAAGCTAAAACCTCTTCAGAAACTCAACTAGTGTAAGCATATGAAAAGCCATAGGATTATCACAGTTGATAATCACTACCAGGCAAAGCCTAGAACAGTAGCTTTTTAACTTTTTTGACCACAACCCTTAGTAAGAAACACATTTCATTATCACAACTCAGTGCACACATGTATAAAGCATGTAACTGAAATGAAAGTTTCATGAAACAGCATTTACCTTTATACAACACAAGATGCACTTTGGTATTTTCTATTCTTTTTTTTCTTTTAAGAGAGGGGGTCTCCCTATGCTACCCAGGCTGGTCTCAAACTCCTGAGCTCAAAGGATTCTCCCACTTCGGCTTCCCAAAGTGCTGGGATTACAGTCGTGAGCCATCATCATGCCTGGCAGATATTTTCTATTCTATTATTTAAAAATTCCCAGCATTGGCTCACTCAATTTCTTTCACAACTCAACAAGTGGGTCCTGATAGACGCTTGATGAAAGACTAGACTACAACAAAGGGCTGTCCAGCTTCCCCATCATCCTACAGATTTCTGGATTGGAGCTTTCTAATGCACTTCTCTCCACTAATTATGTACCATGTGCCAGACACTGTTCTGAAGGTTTTAAAAATAAAAAGAAATCTCTGACGAAGATTCAAACTTCAAAGAGTCTTTAAGTTTAGTAATGGACTAAAAACCTATACTGGAATCCTAAGAGATAAAGTGATATGGGAATTTGGAGGACAGAGATTTGTTCCAGCTGGGGATAAATCAACAAGGCTTAAAAAAAAAAAGGTACTACTTGAACTTTTTTTTTCTTTGCTATCAGAGGCCTGCAGGATGAACTGGTCTTAAGTGTGAGAAAGATTTAGCTATGTGATGATGTGGAGGAAGGTGAAGTACTACAAATCAAGAGAGCATAAAAACAAGAACAGAAATATTTCAGCATGTGAACAGTGGACTAAACAGGAAAAAAAGCTTGGGGCCACACTACTTTCTCTCAAAATGTCAGACAAAGAAATTCTTCTGCAGACTGGTGGAAGCTTGTAAGGTATTTAGCAAAAAAGTTACCAGATTATAATGCCTTTTAGAAAGATGCCAAGCAAAAGTATTTAGTGATTTTGAAGTGACCAGAACATACCTATTTTTAAATACTAAGGTTAAAACATCTATTTCAGGTCAGGACGCAGTGGCTCATGCCTGTAATCCCAACGTTTTGGGAGAACAAGAAGGGAGGATGGCTTGAGCCCAGGAGTTCCAGGTTAGTGAGCTACGATTGCGCCACTGTACTCCAGCCTGGATGACAGAGGAAAGCCCTGTATCCAAAAACAAACAAAAAAACGTTCCAAAGGCAAATATACATGTTTTTTAGACTACTTAAGCTCTATCATCTCATCTGCTAATGCGGATAACGTGACAATCAAATGAATTAAGAAAATCACTTAAGCAACAATGAAAAACTCACCCTAAAAAGTGAAAATAAAACCTGTCCCCGAAGTTTTAGTAATGAAAGAGCACTGGAATACGAGTTTTCTGAAACCTATTAGTTGTATAACATTAAATGTGAATTTAGAAATGGGCACCAGATACTTAAGACCTTTATGTGCCAGGGAATGCACTAGATGATTCACATGAGTAAAAATAATTTTCAGAGTCCTAGGACAAGTCTCCTCTTCATCCCCAAAGAACTCAGCCACTATCACGGGGCAGAACCCATAAACAAGTCAGAAACTCGTTTTTTCAATCTTAGGAAAAAATATAGCTCTAGATCCCTTCTACTTGAACCTCCATACAAAATAATAACTGTTTCCAAAATATTCCTTAGCAAGATATACAAGTATTTTACCAACTGGGCTTTCCCCCCTAAACTATCACAACTACTGCCCACTTCCCTATCCCATCTTCCTGCCTCCAACAGTGTAATTTGATTCCTCTGCACATGCTTTTCTTCTCTTCGAGCAAGCTCTTCCATCTTTCCTGTGGAAGAATTACCATCATTCTTCAAGGCCAGTCAAAAGTGCGGTGGTGATAAGCCTTTCACGGAGGCTAGCTCACGCATGGATACTTCACAGCAACTGAACTTGGCCCCTTTATAGCACTAACCGTTAGGTATTAACTACCTGTTCACCTGTCAATTTCCATCAGGTAGGCACAGTTCTTATTGACCTCTACGTACTCCCTCCCTAACACACGGATTATACCTGGCATATACTAACTGCTGGATAATTGGTTGCCAACAGCAACCTCTCACCCTAAGGAAAACCCCACAACACTGTTAGTTTCTAAACATCTGCTGAGAAAACGTTAACACAGGACTTGAAAGTGTATCAGAAAAACATAAACCAAGAGATGAGTGGACTGGGTCAAGCCTGACACAAAGTAACATAGAAAGGCGAAGGCAAAAACAAAGGGAAAAAAAACCCCCAAAACTGTACTATATTCCCAAGGGAGGGAGATTTCACAAAATGAGCAGTGGATAAGATTAGTAATATGAACAGCAAGTTGTGCAGCCTCCGGAAAGAATGCGCAAGGGTATCAATCTTCTAAGAGTGAGGTTCCAGGCACCGAATGGACTGGTCTTACAGCCCGGACAAGAAACGGAGACCGCTTGGTTGGGCTCCAAGACGGAGGTGTGCGGTCCTGCCACTGCGAACGGGGCGGGGAAGAGAGGAAATGACGAGCCAAAAGGGGTGGTAACGGCGCCGGGCCGGAGACCCGGGCGGAGCGGGCTGGGAGGAGGGGCGCGGCGGAGCAGGGGGAGTGGGCGAACTAACGGCCCCCTCTCCCCACCAGGGAGACAGCGGGGGCGGGCCCATAGGGCTCCGAGGCGTGGGCGGGCCAGCCCCGTTGCCAGCCGCACACGGGACCCCGCGGCCGCGGCGCGCACCCTCCCCAGGCCTCCCTCCCGACCTAGAGGGGCTGCAGATAAGACAGACCCGGCTCGCTGGGAGCGGGGAGCGGGGGGCGCGGGCCCCGGGGAGGCTTCCTGTCCCAAGGGCCGGAGAGTGGAGAGTGCAAGGGCAGGTTTAAGTTTGCGGCCAGAACGACCAGGAGGAAATCGCCGAGGCCCAGGGCGCGCATGTGTCCCCTAGTGTAGGGCCATTCGTGGCCCCAGGCCTGGGGCCTGAGAACCTGGGCCTGAGTCGGGGAACAGGGACGCATTCCCAACTGGCCCTGGCACCCTGCGAGGGTCGGAGCCCCGAGGTGCCTGCTCCCCGAGGCGCCATCCCCGCGCGGGGCGGCCCCTGCAGGCCTCGGCCGGGAGTGCCCCGAGGCGCTCGCAGGCCCCGGGCCGGGGCCGCTGGCCGCCCGGCTCGGCTAGGCTCAGCTCGACTCCCCGGGCTCGACGGGCGCCTGGGCCTCTCCTGAGTGGTCAGCGAGACCCGCCAATCGGGGCGCTGGGGCCGGCTCTGGGCCGCTGGATATTGGCTCCTCACACTCACCGTGCCTCGCTCCCCCGGTTCGCTGCCCGCGCTGATTGGCTCCAGTACCGGACTCCGAAACCCAATCAGAGGCTCCAGCCGCCGCTGCCGCCGCCACTGCCGCTGCCTAGCAAAATGGCGAACCCGAACAAAGGGGAATCGGGCCTCCCTCCAACCGCCTCCGCGCAGGCGCCTCTGAGGCCACGCCCACTAACTCCAGTTCAGGGATCGCCCCACCCCTTCGGAGGAGCAACGCGCAGGCGTTCCCTGAAGCCACGCCCACCTTCCCGCTTTGACACCACCCCCAGTGAAAGGAATACGCAGGCGCTTTCCAGACGCGCCAGACCCTTCAACTCAAAACGCTGCCTTGAGCTTAGTACTACGCAGGCGCTAACTAGCCCCTTTGCCAGCTGCCCACCCCTTTCCAAGTGGCCACTAGGACACACCCCTGCGGCTAATGCGCAAGCGCCACTTTTCCCGACTCGTGGGGCAGTTTCGTTACGCATGCGCGGGCGGCGGCGGGAAACCACGGAATTTACTGCCGGAAGTTCGGCGGCCTTCGCCAAAGAGTGTGGGCTCGGCTAGCAAGCTAGAGGGGCTCGTTTCCGCCCCGCTACCGGGCGGGGGCGGCCATCTTAGATGCGTGCAATTAAGGGCTTTGGCGGGATTGGCTCCGCGTTTGGGCTGGTCCGCTGCTCCCCACCTACCAGGGTCGGATCCGGAGCCCTTCCCCGCGGGGCGGGGACCTCCAAACAACCGACTCCTTTCCAGGTGAAGGGTGACTTGGGTACGTTGGGGCTTTGAGCGAGCCTCCCCGCACCCTCCCATAGGACCCCAGGACAGACTGCGTCCTCGCTGACCCGCCCTAGGGTAGGAGACAGAGAATGGGAGGCTTCAATAGACTCTTTCCTTCTCCCACGCACCCCCCAAAAAAGTGGGGGGTGAACGTTCCTTGAGAGGCCGCCTTCCTTTCCCCACGCCTGGGGCTCAGCACGCCAGTACCCTGTACACTCTGTGGTTGCGGCTTAACGGGACTGTGGCCAAGTCCCTTCTGTTTTCTTCTAAGCCAGACCCACTGGGGAAATACTTTTGCGTCGTGCAGAGAAAAGGAGACCGTCCTAAATCGGCCTTGCTCCGGAGTGGCCCTGGAGAAAGGAGGAGGCGTGTCTTAGGGATGGGCTTTGCTTCCGCTGACGGAGCGGGGCGCTCCAGGAAAGCACGAAATGAGAGCGGGTCGAGACAGCCTCCGAACCTAAGCGTTCTTCCTCTTTGCCCCAGAAGGGTTTTGTATTACGTCCCAGGGGCCGAACAAACTCACATTCATCGATAAACGTTGGGGAAAAAAGCCTATTAAGTGGTTGTACAGGGCAATCAGAATATTATATACTAAGGCTGCCTAAGCATTTTTACTTCCTTTTCCCTTCTCATAGCTGAAGAAACACTTAAATTCTGGAAATAGCGACTCAGTATCATGGCCAGCAGCCTTAATGAAGATCCAGAAGGAAGCAGAGTGCGTAACAACTATTGACTTATTGGTGAACTGAAATTCGTAATAATGGAGGTCAAAAGCATAAACACTTTTTAATTAAATTAATGATTGCATTATCTTTTTTTCTCTCTAGCTGATTTACTTTAAAAAGGCTCAAAATTCTAGGCAGGGATCATCCATTACTTTCCTTTTACACATGCTGTAATTGGTTTGGCTTTAAATCAGATTGGAGGAAGGGGTGCCGGGAGAGGTAGTCGTGGGGGACACAAAATACAGAAAAATAGCTTAGTATTTTACTGTATCTAATAAAACATTGTCTTTTCCTTTGCACATTTTTTAGATCACTTATGTGAAAGGAGACCTTTTTGCATGCCCGAAAACAGACTCTTTAGCCCACTGTATCAGTGAGGATTGTCGCATGGGCGCTGGGATAGCTGTCCTCTTTAAGAAGAAATTTGGAGGGGTGCAAGAACTTTTAAATCAACGTGAGTTTTGGAAACCACTTACCTGGTTTGCCCTGGCTAGAGCACCTTTTAATCTGTTACACTTTAATAAAATATGCGTGTAAAGAGGGGATTCCTAAGAACCAAATGTTTTTAAGATTTTCCTCCCCAAGAATGGCCTCTAGTTTAGACGTTTACCATATCAAAACCCAACTCCTGTGAAGGTTTTTAATCTCTTCCTCTTGTATCATGAAACTTTCTTGACGATATTACTGTACTTCTCTGAAACTTGAAATAACTCTGAGATGCTTAGTCTATAGGTTGGCATTCAAGATCCTTTACTTACCAATATTCTGCTTTCTCTTCAAAGAGGAATTTAGAAACCTCTTCTTCCTTACAGACCCCTCCCATCACTTTCTACGGGCCACTTTAAACCAGAAATGTGCACTAGAATCCTATGTAAAGCTTCTGCAACAGTTTCTCCGACCACATTCCAGGCTTAACAGCATCAGTGTCCACAGTGATTCTTAGCCTTAGACAAAAGCAATTCTTACTGCTTTGTATTATAGTTATTTGGAATGATGATATCTTCTCTGGATTGAAAACTCTGTAATAATTAATTCCTTTTTTATATATCTGTATTCCTCATAATGCCTTATACAGCTCTTTGTATGTAAAAAGATAATTATTGAGTAAATACACATTTGGCAAGTAAAAAACTACACACTATAAAACAATTTCAAGGCAATAGAGAAAGTTTGTGGACAAATGAGGATATATTTAAAAGTAGTAGTGGTACAAAAGATGGGTTGTGAGGAAACATGACTGTAAGAAAGCTGTTAAGTTAAGGAATATAGTATTTGGGAATGCTGATAAAAAGCAAAGTGTTTGTGGGAGACAATAGGTCTTCCCTATTCCCTTCTTCAGTGTTGAAAATTCTAGTTCTGAGGTAAACTCAGATCTGTAAACATTTTAAAATCTTTAGAGATCAGTGTTTGGTTTTCTTTTTCATTTCTACTATTAAATAACTTTTTCTTAGAAAAGAAATCTGGAGAAGTGGCTGTTCTGAAGAGAGATGGGCGATATATATATTACTTGGTAAGATGGGGCCAATTCCTTTTTTTTTCAGGGCCAGTTCTTAATACATTTTAAGGATTTGTGAACAGATGGGCTGCACTGCATTTGTGTTGATCATGATGTTCTATTCTAGACAACTAAGAATGTCAAAAAGCTTCCTATCTTATGACAACTCCAGTCCAGTGATGGCGGCTACTTGGAGCACTGGGTTAGAAAGAAATGTGAGGCTGCATCCCAGCTCTGTGGGAAAGTCGTGTATCATGTACCATAGGCCTGTTCTAAGACTTGCAAAAGTTAGGAATGCCTGCCATACTATATTTCCTAGGCAGAGTGAGATAAAAACAATAATGTCTCAAGAGACAGATTTCCCAAAGGAGCTTTTCTCTTATTCCATGTCAAATAGCACACTGATAGCAAGGGGGTGAATAAAAACAAAAAATAATAAGTGCAGTCCCAAATAATACTTAGCTCCTCTCCTAACTACTGCCTGAATGTGGGGTTCTTCAACAGTCCAGGATGGCATTTGGTCCCTGAAAGGGTGTGGCTTCCTTAGTGGTGGTGGTGGGTAGCTTACAGCTAACCCACTACAAGCCTGATCTGGATGACAAACTGAGTGGGGAGATGTCCTAGCCCCTTTGAATTCTGTCCTTAAAGCTTATGTGGCTTCCAGTGGTTTTACTTTGGGACCCTACCAGTTTTTTCTGTTGTTTTATGTAGAGAGACAAAAAGCAAGCAAGCACAGTTTCTAAATAAGTAGAGGCTTTTAGCAGGGAATTTTCAGGTGGTATGCTTTCTTCCCTGTTAGAGATATGCAGCTTATCTCTTGGAAGTGGCACAGAGACTTCACCTACCTTGCTTAAAAATATTGACAATAGGCATCATCTGCTAATCTCATGGGTTTCCTAGGAAAAGGAAAGATTGCTACGTGGCAGAGTCTGGGTTTCTCAGCCTCTATTTAGTGGATTTTCTTGAAGGTCTCCCATAACAGTGTGGAAAGGGCAATATGACATTTGTCATCCTTGCTCTAGACTAATTCTATAAAAATGTGCTTACTCTTTTAATTATTGGGATGTTGGGGGAATGTGATGACTTTTCTTTGGCTATCATTTTGGGATGATGAAAGTTTGAATCCTTTGTGTTCAGATTACAAAGAAAAGGGCTTCGCACAAGCCAACTTATGAAAACTTACAGAAGAGTTTAGAGGCAATGAAGTCTCATTGTCTGAAGAATGGAGTCACTGACCTCTCCATGCCCAGGCAAGGAAATCCATGGTCCTAAATGGAGATTTAATTGATTGGTGGGGTTTACTATCTTACCCAAAGACAAACAACTTAAAAGCTTAACCCAAAATATAGATTTAAAGGTGGACAAAAGTCAAAATTTTGTAAAACCACCAGTGAACCAGTTGTCTGGCTTTAGACTAAGGCACAGCCATTTTCTAGCTTGAGTTGAATGAATCAGGACAATTACCTTGAAATATACATCTGCCTCAGCCTGCTTAGCAGAGAGCGACCATTGTCATTCAGCTACATTTGTTGAATTCTCAGCACCCTCTGCTTGAAGCTTGGCCTTTATTCCTAAAGCAATGTAAGCTAAAGAATCAAGACTGAGCAATGGTGGTTTTCCTCTTGGACCACTTCCCATCTCCCAAACCTATTACTTTGCGTCAAGAAAGTTGTAAATTATCATTCCCTTTTATACTGCACACTTGTTTTGGTCAGTATGGGTAATAGCCAGAGGATCTGTCCCTGATGTAACTTCTTAGACTTTAGCTATTGGGAATTTAGGGAATGACATTGAGGGTTCAGTAGTCCCTTTGCTTTCTTTTCAGGAAATGGGCCTCACCTCTTTTCTTCCTGTCACCCTGGTAGTTTTGAGTCAATGCTGAGCATACATGCAGTTTTATCTTGCGCCCCACATTACTTTGCATATGGCCTCAAATGTCCCTTATTTTACACTGGTCTTTGATATATTTATGGTGTACATACATATCAGAAACTTTTTTTTTAATCACAATTCCTTATGGACTTAATTATCACATTATGACATGAAATTACCAATTTTAGGTCTCTTTTTTCCCTAGGCGTGTTGAGGATCACTAGAGTAACATCTTGGAAGGTGCCAAGTAGTAGAGTTTTATGGACTGAGTTTATTCTTACCAGGGTGTTGCAAAGACCTTACTCCTGGATTGCAACTATCTTACCATTTCCCAGCATTCCCTCTTGACTTTCTTTTTTGCAGATCCTGTACCTCATTCCTCTTCTCCTTACTTTCGTTAACATTCTGTTACCATAAGTGCATTTTTAAAATACCAACCTTTCACCATCCATCCACAGCCAATTTTAGTCAGTAGTCATAGAGGGATAATGAGTCTCTAATGTCATGACAGTTACACATTTCTAAATGTAGCATGAAATAGTTGGAAAGTAGTATCTTATTAGGCAAACAGAAGTGATAGTTTTTGGATGTTAGAGCTGTCTAGGAATGGTCTTCGGTGACTCACAACAAGAATTGACTTCCAAACTCCTACCATGGTTGCCCATAAGGGTGTCAGACTAGATTATTTGTTTTTATGCTTTGAGTGGATATAGCTTAAAAGAGAGGAGCAGTTTCCTAGATACTTTCGTTACCATCAATGGAGATATTTTGTCTTTTTCAGGATTGGATGTGGTCTTGATCGTCTGCAATGGGAAAATGTATCTGCGATGATCGAGGAGGTATTTGAGGCAACAGACATCAAAATTACTGTGTACACACTCTGAACCAGTGAACATTTTGGATGTTTCCGTGTTCTCCTGTGTCATCTCTACTGGGCCATAGGACCGGGCAAACCTACCTTAAAATAGGCAGAGGAAAGTTTCATGAGAAGTAGTGTGTTTAACAAGACAGACTTTGGTTGCTGTATTCAAGTATTTGGATTATGACTGTGGAGGAGGGCTTGCTTAAGATATGTGGTTGTGTTTTTTTGTGGAAAAGTAAGGAGTTAGGTGGCTTGATAATAGGCAGGGAAACCAGATTGTCGGGACTATGACCTTTTTCTCCAGTATGCTACCTGATTTGTTTGGCTGGCCACTAGGTGGCAGCATTGGTTCTACTTCTCTGCTTTTTAAGAGAAATTTCAGGAAGGATGATCATTCCAGTTAGTTTGGCATTTTTTGTCGTTTGTGCACATAACTTGGTGTTATCCTTATGTCATCAGATTCCTCCTAGGGGAGAGTTTTTGTTTTAATTACAAAATTAAATTCTACATTGTTACCAAGAAATTTGTGGTGATAAAAATGGAAAAATAAAAATTTGGGGAGTTAGTGAGGTTCTGTGCTTATGTCTATTTGTTCTGGACATGGGTAATGGAGGGTTCACCTGCAACTTAATTTCAAACAGTCAGACAAAGGGTCCAAGCGGGAGGAGAAGCAAAGTGAGAAATAAGAGATAAAAATAGACAAGTCAAAAGGCAGGTTTTTAGAATCTCCTCATGGTGAACTTTTTCTCTCTTTTGTCCACTGCATGGTTTCTGTGATTGAACCTGCCTGAATTTAATCATGAAAACAAGTGAAATAATGTATGTTAAATGCCTGGCAGAGTACTTAGCACAGACTAGTGACCCAATAAATCAGTGATTGTCAAAAATCCTTATGAGTCTTCTTTAAAAAAATAAAGGCCACTTCCTCTCAAAAAATTCTCATACCTGTCATCTCAGCACTTTGAGAGGCTGAGACTGGAGGATGACTTGAGCCCAGGAGTTTGAGACAAACCTGGTTAACATAGCGAGACCCTGTCTCTACAAAAAAAAAAGAAATTAAAAATTAGCTGGGCCTGGTGGTGCAGGCCTGTAGTTCCAGCTACTCTAGAGGTTGAGGCGGGAGGATGGCTTGAGCCTGGGAGGTTGAAGTTGCATTGAGCTGTGATTGTGCCACTGCACTCCAGTGTGGGCAACAGAGCAAGACCCTATCTCAATTAAAAAAAAAAATTTGGTGGTGGAGTGGGATGGCCACTTTTGTGTTTTTAACCTCCATAGAAGATTTGGATGTGCAGCCAGCTGGGGTCTAAATATTAGTCCTCTTTTCTTCCGAAGCTGCAAAGACCAGTCGTCTATTGTGGTCATGGTAGGAAAATAAAGTTCATGGATTTAGCCAATGGTTCAGTATCAGAGCTATTCGGGAAACTAGACATTTTCTTGTTTTCCCTTACAGTGGTGTTGAGAGTTAAAACAGCCAGACTTGCTATTGATTTTCTCCCTAGAGTGACTTTGGGTCTGTCACAGGACTTGCTGCTTTCCCAAGTATAAAAGAACAACTGTATTTTAGAAGGGGCTGGTTAAAACACCAGGAAAGTACTGGTTAAATATAATCTTTGTACTTTAGACTGTGTTCTTATCACATATCAGCCTGATAAGAGGCAACAGTTTCAAAAAAGTATTTCACTTTTGTATTTCTAGGTGGAACAGACAAGTTCTTCATGTTGTTGGGGTAGGGGCAGTGGAGGGTCAAGTTCATTATCAAACTTTTAGATTGAGGCTTTTCTTGAAGCATTGCTTTTGTCCACATAAAGTTGAAGGGAAAAAGGAAGGAGAGATTATCTAAATACACAAAATTGAAAGTGAGAGTGGGGGATAAGAAACTTAAAGAAACTTAAAATATTTTGCTTAACTCTGCAATTACAGATGCTCCTCAACTTAGGTCTATGTCTGGGTAACCCCATCTTAAGTTGAGTTCAGTTGAAGGGTGTACTGAATGTGTATGGCTTTTGCACCGTTGTAAAGTCCAAAAATTGCAAGACAAACCATTGTAAATTGAGTACCATCTGTAAACCTTAACACAAGTCAAAACATGGATTTTCTAGGCTTCCTTTACTTTTAAAGAGATTATGGTTATTATTATTATTTTTTTCTTGGCGTTTGAGCCTTGATTCTTTAGACAAAACCTAGTCTCATTCAGGATTGGCTGTAAGTGGAATTCTGGGACTTAGCAGGAATGTGATAAAGCACTTTGTCATTTGCCGATAGTAGTCTTGGGTCAAATTCCGACGACTTATCACACTTGAAGCCTGAGGAAAGGAGGCATGCCCTGGTAATCAGAGTGAACACATTATTCCTGGAAACCTAGTTAGAGTTTGGCAAACACCCGGAAATTCACCTGTGAATTTTTGCTTCCACATAGGACTCAAACAAACCTTTAAAAAAAAAAAAAGAGAGACTTGACATCATCCTGCCATTACCATCAAACACCATGTATTGAATACTTTTAAATGATTGTATATCTGAACATTAAACTACTACTTTTCACCCGCTCCTCTCTAATAAAGAAGCTAGTTGCTTATTAACTGGCATTTGGGATGTGGCTACCTTAGATTTCTCATGCTTTTTGTTCCACCTTCTGCCCTATTACTTGCCTTCAGAGAAGGGAAAGGCCCTCACTTGATTGTCGTAAGAAGTCTGTATGGGAGAGTTATTCTGCATTGTCTAGGCAAGTCTTGGTTTAACCATGGCTTGGTTCATAGCCTGGAGTGTCCCTGTGTCTGGACTAGCTCGCTTGTCTGTGGCAACTTCCAGATGTTCAAGTTTCTTAAAAATCTGGCCACGGGAAAAACACACCACTTCTTTTATTAATGTTGCTGTTTTTCTTTTTTTAAAAAAATACCCAACTTAACATAAAATGCATATTTCAGAAATCTAAACCTCGGGTCTGAGGCTGTTTGTGTTAAGCAGCCCCCTTGGGTGAGCAATTAGGACCTTCAGTCCCATAGTTGACTGGAGCCCATGTATGGTTGCATTTCTCTCCTTGCAGGTCACTTTCGTCCTTCCCGAGAGCAGCATTAGAGAGAGAGTCACAGCCTAAATAAACTACAGCATGAGAAGTATATTTCAAGTCCTCTAAGGGCCTTGTCCAGTATGATTGGTTGGTGTCAAATGTTGTCCAGCTCCAAATGGTATTAGGAAGACAGGCATGTCCCAGATGGCTGTACATGTCATTGCTGTCTCTTGGTGGCAGCAGGAATACCTTGGTAAAACAAACAAAGAAAATGTGTTACTGAGAGCTCTGCTGGCCCCGAACAATGACTAGTTTCTTTTTGAACTAAGGTTTCTGTGTGCCCTTCCCAACAAGTCCCTGGATTTCTCCTCCATAGTTTCCTTTGCAGGATTGGGTAAATTTACCAGGATTGACTAAACCAGAAGCCAGTCTTTCGTTCATGTTTTGATGTGGTTTACACAGAAAAAGCCCCAGAAGAGATCTGGTTTAACTCTGGTCTTTTGACTAAATATAGGATTAAATACTATTTTGTCATTAAAAAAAAAAAAAAGAAAGATGAAATAAGTATGTAAAATAAGACACTTTATTTAACAAATGCTCATTTCTCAAGATTATTTTAATTAAGCAGGGTTGTTCTTTTGGGCTTTTAGATTACACTCTTATCTCATGCCAGTTTTTTTTTTTTTAACTTGATATATCTTAACCTTTCCCTTCACAAACATGAGCAATTCAAATAGAAGACAGGGAAGCATGTTAATGGGTCCAGATAATACAGTTATATTTGAAATCACTGAAAAAAAAAAAAAAAAAAAAAAGCTCTAAGGACTTGCTAGTTAGGCACCTGGGCCCTTGACTCTGAAAGATGTCTGAAAGGAAAATATACTGGGGTTAAATTTTAAGCTGCCGGTTAGTCTGTAGAATCTATGTTGGGTTTATAATTACAGTGATAGTACATACACTAACAAAATCTTCAAGGAATTCTAAAAGTTAAATTTTATATTCTCAGAGGGCACCCTCAGAAATCTGTTTTGACTACTGTTCACCACTATAAAGTGTCTTATTTTATGTGAGCAGAGTACCACACAGTATACCCTATCATAGGCTCACTGACTTCAGTGACTGGGTCCTGCTTTTTAAAAGAAATGGCTGAAAGTTGTATCTTCATGGGTTGGCAAATGCTCAGCTTGAGAATGATCAGGTGCCCATGTGCATGTCTAATAGAAAACACCTGCCAACATCAAGCTCTGGAACATTGATATTTCCTAAACGTGTCTATGAAGCGACATCTTCTCTTAAGGGTGTTAGGAGTGAGAGAGACCAAAAGTAAATTATCTTCATGGAAGCTTGTTGTTTTCATGTTTTAGTAATATGTGAGTTGTTGCAGGATTAAAGTTGGGTAAGAGTGTCGTGAGTACCCCTCCTCTATTACTGGAAGATTTTGATCAGTAACTGGGGCCTTGCAAAGGGGGCTTCGTCATAGCATTTCTGTAGGCGCAAACTCAATCAGACTAAATGTAAAAAAGATAGTAAAGGATCCTTTAGCCCTCTTTCCTGAGGGTAATTAGCCTGTTTCTGTTAGAGTTTAATTTACCCTCAGCAAGAGGCCAAATTGGCCTTAATTGTGTCCTAATTATTTGCTTAAATAGCTAATCTTTCTCCTATCACCTCTTGATATCTGTAAGAGGTTACTTCTGAGCTGCTGCCTACTTTACAAATGTCTTTTTAACTCTTTAAATGTTCCTGCATGGACTAGCTTGTTGCTATATTATCCCCATTCCTGCATTCGACATCCTCCATGAATTCTACTGAGGTCTTCTCAACATAAGGAAAATGTTCCCGTATTGTATTTTCACACAGCAATTGTTGGTCTCCTTCAAAGTGTAGCCATTTGTTTGAAAACATGAAAGCAGGTCTGGCTTAAAACAAGTTAAATACCAGTCCATTTGGGGAATTTCAAAATTACCATAAGTGAAAAAATTGTCCCTGAAGGACTAAAAAACATTCATTAGAGAAAAATGGAATGGTAAGATTGCCAGTGGATATGGGAGTGAGGCATCTAGAAGATGTCTGGAATTAGTAATCCCTGACATGTACACAGGGGCATACTCAGAGGATTTCAGTATCTTCTCTGCTGTGGTTCAGTAGCAGGTGCTTGCACCATCTAAATCTTACCAAAGAACGTCATCTTGCCTCATGAAAGTTTTAGGATTCCTGTCAACCTTGAGTATTCTAAGTTAGGGGAAAGTTACTTTGATACAAAAGTGTGGGAGGGAAAAGTTTAGAGAGGGATTCAGAGGAAAGAGACATGTTCTAAACTATTTTTGCAACCAGTCAAAAGCAGAGAAATGAAACCCTTCCAAAGGAAAATCAGACATATCACAGATTCTACCTGACCTCACACCTTCTACTGGAGTTAACATAATAAAGTGTTGGTGCCATGGCACCAGGAAAACTCACGTGAGGCAAAGCCCAGTTGCCCTACTTCAGGATGTCTGCCAACTTCTCCTCGTAGTATAGGAAGTTCTCCTGAATGTCCTCCCAGGGCTGAAAGGCCTTGGATTCACCCTCTTCTTGCTCCACAAAATTCTGCCAGACATATTCGAAGTCCTGGGGCTTCATGATGCGCAGTTTACAGCCAGCCTCCTTCAGCTTCTTCAGAGCAGCCTGGATCTCCGGCTCCTCCCACATGAAGAGTCGACCCACCAGAATGAGCAGACGCAGGTTCTTGGTCTTGCTAAGGGTTTTGATAATGCGGTCAGCACACGCTGCACAGGGGCTGGAGGACACATACCAGGTGACATTGTACCGCAGGGCTGGGTCGAAGGCTGGCAGGATGGTGTTGAAGAAAGCTTCCTCTGCATGGGCAGCCGCATGCTCATCCTCTAGGTATCCCCGAGATGCCTGCACTTGGCCCCCCTTGCCCTGTGCTTCAACCACATAGCAGAGGAAGGTCTTGTTCCTCCCGGAACTGTACTCCACATTCCGGAACTGGAATTTAAAGAAGTTGGCAGGCAGCCGTTCTCTGTAGGTCAAGGAGACAAAAGGACAGGAAAGAATGATAAGTTCTTGTTTCTAGAACCAGCCTAGAGTAGGTAGCTCTTCCAGGTCAGTACTTCAGAAATGCATTCACTCTTACTATAAATAGGTCTTGTCTGTGGTAACATCAGTGACAAAAAAAAAAAAAAAAAAAAAAGCATTAAAAAATCCAGAAGGGTTTATCTGAAGGAGAGGAGAATTTGGACTGAGGTGTGCATTTTGGTCACCCTACTAGGACATTGTCTCCACCATCACTCTTCCAGCACAACATACCCCTACATTTCTAAATCACTGAATCTTTAACCTGCCTATACCTTAGAATCACCTAGAAGACTGAGAATGTCAGTGCCTGGGCCTCATGCCAAACCAATTAAATCAGAACATGTGGAGAGGTGGTCCAAGCATCAGTATTTTTAAAAAGCTCTCTGGATGATTCCAATAAGTGGCCAGGTAAGTAGCAAGCATATAAAATTTCTCATGACAGAGCAAAACAAAGATTTTGCAGAGCATTTTATGCTTTTTTCTCTTCCTTGTAACTCATGTAAATTGCATCTTGGCATGAAATGGCCTAAAACTTGCAATAACATGCTCTCCTTCTCAAGTGACTACTTCTCAAGTCTGTTTACTTTCAGGTAAAGGGATTGTCACATGCTAAGTGTCCAAGAATTTTTATCTGTGAGGACAGACTACTCAAGGGTATCTTGGGATAGTTAAGCCTGTATTTAGTATTGAGTCACCTCCAAATCTTAAAGGACTTGGTCTCTGCCCTCCAGATGCTTATAATTTAGCAGCTAGATTGCAGCTGGACAGAGAAGATGTAAATAAAACAGCTGAGAACATTATAAGACTGCTAAAATTGGATAGGTACAGTAAAGGAAGTATTATGAAGGTTCTCGAAAGTTTGGCCTTGATTCGGGAGGCAGTAGAGAATTGTTACAGGTTCTTGAGAAGGAAAACAATAAAAATGATGTCCATGCAAGATTACAGTCTTGGCAATAGGCAGATAGTGTGAAGCTGAGGAAAAGCCTCAAATTGAACAAGTCCAGTAGGTATCTTAGGACACTAAACTTGGTGATGAATTGTGTGGGTGCCTTTGAGGAGGAGATGGATGGTTAGGAAATGAAAACAGCAGGAAAAGTCCAGGAATTTTGAAAATTTTGGTAATAACAAGGAGAAGAAAAAAGAGAAGGGCCAGAGAAGACATCAGAGTTGAAGATTGTTTTTACTTTTATGTGTATGTGTGTGTTTTTCTAAAATAGGCAAGATTTGTTCAAGTTTGAAGTCCAAAGAAAATGAATTTTTAATAGGAGAGATGAAAAATGTCAAGAGAGGAGGAGATGAGTACCAGCTAGAAAGATTCAATGTTTTCCTTTTTAAAAATGTAATCTCTCTGCCTGCCCCAAGAGATACCTATGGCACCATTAATTCTACTATTGCCTGTCTCCACCTCTTCTCTTTCCCCAAAGAAGTCAACAGACTCCCTGGGCTGCAGGGGAATCCCTGGTATCCCAGGGCCTTGGCTGCCTAGGGATGAGCAGCAGATGCCAAAGATATGAGTAAACTTGACTTATTTCCCTGCAGGATTCCCTCACCCCCACCCATCACCAAAATGTATCCACCCAAGTTTCCATGTCCCGTGCTGTCAGGTTCATTTTCCACTGTGGAGATGGATGTGTTTGAGGACCCAGCCCCAGGATTCCATCAGGTACTATACTTAGCTCTCTAAGCCCCTGTGTCCCTAGTTGGAGGTGTTTATTGTTTACTTAACATTTTAGGAGAATGGATCGCCTGATGTTTCCCTGCTCCTCTTCTCAATCCCTGTCAGGCGTTCACTTATAGTGAGTGCTCCCCAAAGGTACTCACCCCACCAGACCACTCCTCAACTTTACCAGTTGCCAAATGGTCCCTTCACTTCCTGGAGTGGCTTTTTGCTTTTGAGAAGCTCAGAGCTTACCGTTCCTGCCCAAACTTGCTCTTCAAGACCTTTTGCCCCACTCCCCAAGTCTAATCCAGGGCCACCTATATGATGGATTATCAGGTGGAACCCTGGCAAGTATTCATGGCTACTCAAATAGCTTGGAAGCTTAAACAGTAGCTGCTGTGTGGTCCCTCTTTTCCTTCTGGAGCTCCCTATAGCTCAGCTGAAAGTATGAATTTAGGCCAGTGTGAATTTGGCCCAGCATGCAATTGCAAATTGGCTTTGATGGTTGTGAGGTGACTGTTTCTTTCTGCCCTTCTTAAGCTCTGACATTTTCCCCTCCTCCTCTTCCCTAGGCAAGAGGAGAAGACCCAAAGAAACCTGAAACCCAAGGGAGAGGAAGAAAGGTCATCTCTCTATAAATACGGGTTTCCAACCCCTCTGGCCAGCAGCCCTAGAATCTACTCTGTCCCTCAGCAGGGCCTTCTGGACTAGATGCCTCAGGAAAAGAAGTGCTTTCAAGGAGCAAAGGAAAGGCAGGGAAGGTTTGGTTCCTAGTCGTTCCCTTGGGCTTGCTCAGAGACTAAACTTGCTTGATTTCTGAATGGGTTTCTTGGTCTTCTAGAAGGAGCAAAAAGGTCAGATGAGATTCTTTAGGCCTCTCACAGACCGAAATAGCTACGTCCTGGGGGGAAACCAGGAGAACAGAGGTAGTAGAAGTCTGGAATTTCTCCAGGGAACTAGACAACATGGCCATCTTGGGCAATTTTGTAGACTCACAGAATAAATTAACACTATTATGCCCACTAGTGGAAGGAAGGAAATAATGACACCTAACTTGTTAAATCATCACCAGCAGTTTTTTTTAAGTAGCATGATAGGCCTAAGTATCATATTTAACTATAGCCCTTTACATTTAACCCAGAAAATATTTTACTGGTAAAGGGGTGGGGGTGTGTGTGTGTGTGAGTGTGTGTGTGTGTGTGTGTGTGTGTGGTGGGGTGGTGTTGGTGGGTGGTGGTCAGTAGAGAGATGCTGGTAGTAGATTTCTTTCCCTGATCCAGTCACTTCCTCATGCGTAGAAACCTGTGTGTGTGTGTGTGTGTGTGGGTGTGTGGTGGGGTGGTGGTGGTGGGTGGTGGTCAGTAGAGAGATGCTGGTAGTAGATTTCTTTCCCTGATCCAGTCACTTCCTCATGCGTAGAAACGTGTGTGTGTGTGTGTGTGTGTGTGTGTGTGTGTGTGGGGTGGGGTGGTGGTGGTGGGTGGTGGTCAGGAGAGAGATGCTGGTAGTAGATTTCTTTCCCTGATCCAGTCACTTCCTCATGCGTAGAAACCTACAGCCTGATTTCTATTCCCTCTCCCCAGCCTCTGATAGCACCTTGTTAAGCACCATTTCCTCATACTTTCTCCAAACAAGACCAGTCACACTTCATCTGCTTAGACCCAGGCTACTGGACATTTCAGTTCACTTGGGAGGAAACAGAGAGTCCAAATATCTAGAAAAAAAATTGGGAAGATAATCTGCTTGATGGAGGGAGAAGGGATGTGAGTAAATGTAATACATTTTTCTCAGGTTCACATTCAAAACGTTTGAATTTTCTAAGCGTAAATCTATACTGTGAAAGGAAGCAACCCAGAGGGCAGTTGAAGCTGGACTGAGATTAAACATTTGCTCCAGAATAATCCATGAGTGGAAAAATCTACTCATAGGTAATTATGTGTTGACTTGTTTCAGCTTTCCCTCACTAGACCTGTTGGTGACTGGCGTGAAAGAGGGAGGATTGCTGGTTTCATTGGCCTTCTGCTTTCTCAGACCACTTTTCAAAGCGGATACCAAGGAGTGGGCATAATCAGAAAGAGTAGTAAGAGCAGGAGCAGAGGGTTCTAGCAGCCTGACTCCCTAGAGCTGAGAAGGGAACTCCAGACTGTGGGACTGGATGGGATTTTGCCCAAGGGAAACCCTGAACTTGCCTGTTTTCCCTGGTAGGCATGGTCTTCACACCTGAGCTTTGACCTGCCCCCAACCCTCTGTGGAAGGCAGGTTGGCCAGAGTCAGTGCGCTGCCTTCTCTTCTTGGTGACACACCACCCAGCGTGCTCCAGAGGCCAGGGTGAGGGTAAAGGGCTGTGGCTGGTGTTAACTGGTGTCGAAGTCCCCTCACTCCTTATCTCACCCTTCTCCTCTGGACACTGCCTCTCTGTGTTCCTTACATGGCTAGAGTAAACTACTGGTAGCTAAAGAAGTGGTTAGAAGAAGAATCACTCTGTGTGCCATTTATCTTTGTTCCATAATAATCCCTGGGATAGGAGGTTCTGCTTTCTGTAAAAACATATACAACATAACTAGAGACAAAGCCAAGCTCACATCAAGGGTGCTGCCAGGCAGAGCCACAGTCACTTCTCACTGGGTTGGAAAGCTGGGGAGACAACCAGCTCTCGTGCCCCAGAGCTCTACTAAAACGTGCTGTGTCCAGAAGCAGGCATGAGCCAGGGGAATTCTTACCTAAATCTAGTGTTGCTGGATCGTCATACACCCTGAGCTGCTGTCCTCAAGAAACCCTCCCCCAGTTCATTCCCTGTCTTGTCTGACAGAGAGCCTAAGAACCACCCAAAAGGTTCTTATTCATTAGGTCATTCATTTATTCAACAAATACGTATTGAGTACCTATCAGGAGCTAGGTGCTAAAGATAAAGCAGTGAAAAAGACAAAGTGCTGTCCTCATAGAGGTTAAATACTAACAGGGGAAACAGGCAGTAAATGAAAAACTCTTATTCAGTAAATATAAAAAGAATCCTCTCTGGTTTTTTGGATGCAGTGTGATGATTTGGAGTCAGACAGTCCTGGGGTTCACATCCTACTCCATCAACAAGCTTTGGCCATATGACTTAATCCCTCTGAGGCTTAGTTTCCTCACCTGAAAGAGTGAGTAATCTAACTTCTAAGGTTTTGGACAACAGTAGACACTCAAAGCTAGTCTGGGCACAGTGGCCCACGCCAATAGTCCCAGCACTTTGGGAGGCTGAGGCATGAGGATTGCTTGAAGCCAGGAGTTTGAGAGCAGCCTGGGCAACACAGTCAGAACCCATCTCTATAAAAATACAAAGATTAGCTGGGCGTGGTGGCATGCACCTGTAGTCTTAGCTACTTGGGAGGCTGAGGCAGGAAGATCACCTGAGCCCGGGAGGTTGCGACGACAGTGAGCTGTGATTGCACCACTGCACTCCATCCTGGGCAACAGAGCAAGAAGCAAGACCCCATCTCCAAAAAAGAAAAAGGAAATTGATGTATGATACATATGATGCCTTCTCCAGGCCTCAAATTGTATCCTTCAGAGCTCCGTCTTAAGCATTACCAAACCTGATCCCTTTCCCACTGCTCTTCCTCTCACTTTCAGAGGTTTCTGGTTTTCAATGGTGTGCTGATAAGTGTAACACTCATCTCTCTGATAGAAGGAAGAATCCCCAATTTCTAAAGTTTGCTGATTTCCATAAGGTAAGTACTCCCATTACAGAGATTTCAAGCTCCCGAGGTGATATCACTGGATGCAGAGTAGGGAAGAGACTTGTGAACCAACAGGAACTGGCTTCAGCACGCTACGGCAGGCTTAGGCCCTTTTCCAGAACATTCTACCATGTTATTTTGTTAATGTGCTCAGTTCCGCTTTCTATCCTGAATGCCCTATTCAACCAGAATCGCTATGAGCTGGGCATCTCTCCTTCCTACCAGCTACCCTCCTCATGTCGGACTGTTTCCGGAAAAGCTACCTGCTCTTCTGCTAGTTTTTGGCCCAAATATAAGGAGCACTAAAGATCTTCCCTATAGGAGACCAGGCTAGAAAAGCTGCTTTGCTGACCCCCTTGACTCCAGGAGGGAGTCCTGGGGGGAATGCATCTCAAGAGGGAAGGAGAGGAAAGCTATTCCCTCACCCTCTCCCTGCACAGACCCAGCTGCACCTCTGGGCTATTTTAAGCCATCTGTTTACCCAGAGGGGCCCAGGAGACAGCTCTCTACAGCTGTTACTTGTGGCCAGGAAACACTCAGCGCTCTGCTCCCACCTGAACTGTTCACAGAATGCTCAGAACGTTGCCCCTTCTGTGCCCCTTTTTCTGAGCCTTGGGTCCTCACTACCTCCCAGATAGAGATAACGTGGAGCTCTGGGAAACCTGGGATCCAGAATGAATAAGAAACCAGTAGAAAGGATACTTTGCTGGGAGTAAGAAGATGTGCCACCTACCAGTTCTGTGGTTTTGGACATACCATTCAATCTCTCTGAGTCTCAGTTTCCCCCTCTGTAAAGTGGCAATAATATATCTCCCTCTCCTACCTTTGTGCTGAGTGTTGAATGGTCTCATGTTCATGAAACTATGTTGTGATTATAAAGCCCTGGACAAATGTAAGTTATATCAGTGGACTTAACCCTTCAGGATCCATTGCTCTGGGACCCCCAAAGCATGTTCAGCTGAACAAACATAGTCTAATTCTGTTCTTGACCTACCCTCCCTCTGTGTTGGAAAGCCACACAAGAGTGTAGTGTGCACACGCGTGTGTGTATGACTAAGGATAGCGTATACCAGCATGCTTAGGTGTTAGAAAAAGGCTCTCCTTCCATAAGAAAGCCACTGGAATTGAGGACTCTCCTGGCCAGGCTGCCTTAGGCTTTCCCTGTGTCTATATTAATCTGTGCCCAGCTGCTCCCTTAATCCTAGGATGAGGGTGAGATTAGTTGGGTGGGCATGGGCAAATGGAAATTCAGGGGCTACTCTTGCCTCAGGAAATAGGATGCATTTTCCCTTAGGTTCTCTTGAAAATCAGAAAACATCTGAGCTGGAAGGGACCTTACTACTATAGATCTTCATGTTATAAGTGCTAAAACTGTGGCTGACTGGAAAATCACTTGTCAAGCTTGAAATATCAAGTCCAAATTGCCACTCAGGGCTTCCTTTCCCCCTTGAAAGCATCATGCCTCCTTTCTTCCTGAAACTTCTCTTAGTCTCGCACCCACTCTGCCTGTGGTCATTCCTGGAGACCCCATGAAGGGAACGTTTGGTTCAAGGAGGAAATATGGCCTCATAGATTCTCTTTTTATTCTTTGCTCAGGATTTAGAAGGGTCTTCCACTACAGGAATAGAAAGGGAAGAGGAAGAAGACTACTTAGTTTTATTCCTGGAGATGGCATAATCTGGATAAGACAGAGGTACCCTGCACACAGCCCCCTCCTTGCAGTCTGTAGACCCTTTTCTTTGGGTCCCAGTTCCTCCAGGCAATGCCTGAGCATGTTGGAACAGCTCCTGTGTCCATAAGCTCCTGGGCTGCGTTATCTGCATGTAATTTCTCTGTTTCTCTGTGGGACAGCCCCTGAGGAGACTCAAAAGATTTAATAAGAAAAAAGCTGCTTCTGAGTCTTGGGAAAGGATGGATCTATCTTTCCTGTCTTGGGAGCATCTACTCCAGGAAGAAGCTCTAAAGAAAGGGCTAGAGGCCTATGGCTAGCGGAGAGACCCACTCAGGAACAGAGAAGTTGAGGGGAAGGGTTGCTTTGAACGGAGCCACATATAGATGTGCCAGTCTCATCCTCTGTCCTCGCCAAACTCCCTGGGACTAAGCTTCTACCCAGAGAGGCAGGTGGCCATCCCAATACCAGGAGGCCTGAAGGGTGGTTTTATTCTCTGGGCTTTTGCCTCCAAGGAGCTCCTCCTACCTCTCCCTGATTAGAGAGCCCAAGGTGTCACCCTGAGAAGCCAAGAGAATTTGCTGCTGGGTCCCCTACCACCCCTGCCGGGCCCACTGGTGCACTCTCACTGCTGCAGGGTTGTAGCTGTCCCTGACGCCTAATATAACCATCCTGAATTTCCACAGCCTAACCCAAGGCTGCACTCTTCTAGGGAGCAGAACCCTGACCCACATCTGAGGCTTACCCTGTGACAATCTCAAAGGGCGGCAGCTCAATCAGCTCTTTCAGCTTCTCAGGGTCGTCCAGGTTCTCCAGATCCTCCCCATTCTGGGAGGCAGCCTCAGTGGCCACAGCAGCCTCTTCCTTCTGGGCCATGGAGGGGCTGTGGCTCAGGAGTCACTGAGGGAGAGGAGAGAGGCAGGCAGGTCTGGGCCAGGCCCTGGCGGCAGAGTCCCAAGCAGCTGTCAGCAGCTAAATCTGGCTGGGGATGACGGGAAAAGGACCCAGCAGGCCAGGCTTCGTGCTTTCCCCACTTAGCCACAGGCTTTATAGCCAAGGCCTCCTGCCCCTCCCCCAGGCTCTCTCCCTCTATCTTTTTTTAATTGAGTGACAGCGGGTGCTGGGGTGGGGGAATGGAAAATCTGGCCATTAGTATCCCCTATTTATCAGTAGGCAAAGACAGGAACCTGGCAGGTGGGTATGGCTTGGCCTGCTCTCTTCTCCCTCTCCCTCTCAGCTCACCTTATGTTCTCCCCTTTGTTTCCCACCCAAATTCCCTAGCTCCACTGGGGGAGAGTGTGGAAGGGGCCCCAGGGCAGGCATCCTGAGATTTAGGAGGGTGGCCTTCTGAGATTTAAACAGGAGGAGATGTGTGTTGAAAGGGGCTGACTGCAAAAAGACCCAGGCCATTTGCTTTGGGGGAACGTGGGTTCAGGAAAGGAGGGGTCCTGGCAGAGGTGGGATCAAAACTGACAATTTGGGGAGTAAGTGTGTGAGTTATGACTCAAAAGCGGTGGGTGCTGATTTGCCTGTTACAAAGCCATAATGTAATGTCAAATCGATCAGGAGCCTCCCTGAGTAACAATAGCTGCCATTTACTTAGCTCAGAGATTTTGAAACAGGCCAGGCAGTGGGTTTAGGGGTTTAAATGAAATCAGATGCATGCTTGCCACAGCCATGGGAGGCGATGTGTATTATCCCAAGTTACAGGTAAACTGAGTCACAGAAGTGTGCAGAGCCGGGATTAAAATGCAGGCTTTTGTACTTCAGGCCAAATATTCAACCTCCATGCTATGTGCCCTCACAGTCAGTCTTTTATTCTTCTTAACAAATATTTATTGAGTATCTACTCTATGCCAGGTGCTGTTTCAGGTACTGGGAATATGGCAAAAGAACAAAGCAAATGAAAATCCCTGCTGTGATGATTTGTGGAGCTTGAGGAACTGAACAACAAATAAGGTAAGTAAAATACATGGTCTATTTTGTGATGACAAGTGCCAAGGAGAAAAGACAGGAAATGGAAACAGGAAGTGCTAAGAGGTGGGGTTACGTACTTATAGGATGGCCAGGGTGAAGGACTTTGAAAAGGAGACAATTGAAGAAGACGTGAAGAAGGCAAGGGAACTAATCATTTGGTTGTCTAAGAGGAAAGCGTTCCAAGGAAGGGAACAACGTGAGCAAAGGCTCTGAGAAGGGAGCATTCCTGGGGTGTTTGAGGAACTAGCGAGGACATACATCTGGGTGACTGAAGAGTTCTAAGAGATTAAGCCAGAGAGATAACAAGGGTAAAAGGGACTGGGGCCTTATGGGCTGTCATAAGTACCTTGCTTTTTCTCAGACTGAGGTGGGAAGCCATTGTCTCTGAACAGGTGAGACAGGTGGTCTGAGCACTTGGGAAGAGCAGAGGCAGGGGACCAGTGAGAAGCCTACTGAGGCCAGAGAGAGATGATGGGGGCCCATAGAAAAGACCCTGAGCCGGAACAGCAGCAGAGGATGGCTAGATGATTTTTGCAGCTCTCATGATGGGTACTTAGCAGAGGCAAAAGTCTTCGTGTTTGGAGCAGTGCAAACACTCTAGGCCATTCTCAGGGAAGCAGAAGGAAGGGGTCAGGGTCACTTGTAGGTTGAAAATGAGGAACCTAAGAACACTGGGGAACGGATCTGAAAACAGCTCCAAATGGGTTTGGCTGGTGGGGATGAGAGGGTAGGGCACCCTTTGGAGGGTCTGACTAAAGAAGAGGAGTCAAGATGGTTTGGAAGATTTAGGGCTCACTCCTCCAGAGAGTCTGAGCAGCAGAGTGCTCTGTTAGTGTGATGCCCAGCATTTTGGTTTGCCAGTCATGGTTTCTTCCTGTTGTCCAGACATAATTACTAATAGCACCCCTTTACTCCCAAAGGTGTCCCGCTGTGGACAATAAATTATATGGTCCCCTACCTTTTGGATTTACTACTAAAAGGATTATTATTATTTATTTTTTGAGATGGAGTCTCACTCTGTCACCAGACTGGAGTGCAGTGGCACGATCTTGGCTCACTGCAACCTCCGCCTCCCGAGTTCAACCGATTCTCCTGCCTCAGCCTCCAAAGTAGCTGGGACTACTGGCATGTGCCACCAGGCCCAGCTAATTTTTGTAATTTTAGTAGAGACAGGGTTTCACCATGTGGCCAGGATGGTCTCCATCTCCTGACCTCGTGATCCGCCTGCCTTGGCCTCCCAAAATGCTGGGTGGCATGAGCCACCGCGCCCAGCCACTGAAAGCATTTTTATCTGGATCTTATTTTTTCAAACATTTTTCGGGGGGAATAAAGCACTGAGTAGAGATAATAGTGCCTGTGTCCACAATAAAAAGACAGTGGCAGCTGATAAACTGCAAAGAATGTTGTTATCACACAAACATACCACGTTTAAATGTAAAGAGTTTACTTCATTTTCTTGTTCAGTCAACATTTATCAGAGGTTCCTATGTTCCAGGTGCGGTGGTAAATACCAAGAGTACAGAGATAAATAAGGTGCTGGCTCACCAGGGGATCCCAGCTTTTATCATATTTGGGGCATTAATCAAGCATTCAAGCATGCATTATCTCATTTAGTCCTTACACCAGTCTCACATGGGTGTGAATTATGGGCCTCATTTTGCAAGTTAGGGACTTGTGGCTGAGAAAGGTGAAGTGATTTGTATAAGATCACACGGGCTTTGAGTTCAGGTCTTCAGAGCCCAAGTTCAAGTTTAGCCTATTCCCAGGGCTGCGCACAGCTACCTTTGATGAAACATCTCTGAAGCATTATAAATGTGCATCCCTCTCACACTTCCCAGGCCCAGCTAGGGTGATATGCTTGGATCAACGGAGGAAGAGTAAAATGTCTTGGGGAGGAAAGCAAGGAGGATGGATCCTTTCAGTTCACTGTTCCCCTGCAAGAAAGACTTCCTCCCTGAGGACAGGGCCTTCTATTTTGGCTGTCATGTATAACCCTGGATTAGGAGGCAAAAAATATTCTACGTTCATATCCCCATCTTAGCCCGATTCACTGTGTGATCTTGGACAAATCACTTGACATCTCTGAGCCTCCGTTTTCCCATCTGTGACACAGGCTGTGCTATTGATTTCTATTTCCAAATGGTCAAAGGGCAGAAAATAGGGCGCCGAGTGGGCTTGTGAAGACCACAGGTGAATGGCGTGTCGAGAATTTCCTGCCTCTCCCAACAGCTCAGAGTGAATGGTGCCCAGGTGGTCTCAGGCTGGTCCTTAAGAGTTGACCCCTTTCTTCTGTCTTACTTATAGACAGTTTTCCCTTCGACCTTTGGGAGAGGGTCCTGGGTCTGCCCCCAGACTGATGACTGACAGCTTCCTTTTTCACTGCTCCTTTGAGCCTTCCCCGTCTCCCAGCCTGCCATCCCTGGAGGCCCTCTGATCTGCTCTAGCTATTTATGGCACCTCCTGGGGGCCTGAATTCCTGGCTGGTCTCTGGCTCTTCTTTCCAAGTCAGACCAGTTTACTCTGCTCACCCCAGAGTGCAGCAACTAATCTGGGGGATCAGATTCCAGGAGCTTGACTCCTCTCCCTACAGCTGCCTCTATACTCTTCAGGGCTGGCACACCCCACACCCAGTGTTAACCCTATTGGGTAAGGTTCTATCAGTAGTCCCCCTCCTGCACAGGAGGATACTGGGCAGTAAGGTATTTCATTCAAGGTCACATGTGGAGTCAGTGGGGTGCTGGGATTTGAACCCATATCTGTCAGCTCCCAAGTTCCATGCTTCTCCTACTGTGTCATATTCCCTGGAATTTAGTAACAAGGAGAGCTGACATTAACACAGTCCTTGCTGCTGGCCTGACATTACTCTAAAATATTATGTAGGTTAACTCATTTATTCCTCACAAGGATGTTTGGGGTAGGTACTATTATTATCCTAATTTTTCTGGTGAGGAAATTGAGACCAGAGAGGTTAAGTGACTTGCCCAAGGTGATGCAGCTAGAGAGGGCAGAGCCATGTGCTTCCAGAGTCATGTTTTACCTCCTTCACCATTCAGTCTCAACTGCTGCCAGCACCCATGAGGCCCAGCTCTGGGAGAAGGGAAGGACAGAGACCAGTGGGAGTTGAAGAAGCTGAGAAGGAGTTCTTGCAGGAAAAACAGACTCTAGGGAGTAATTGGTACATGAGGGGTGTGTGTGTGTGTGTATCTGTGTTTTGGGGGTACAGGTAAAGAGACACCAGACAGCTAGTATCTGGGGATGGAAACCAAAATTGGAATCCTCCCAGCCTGTCTCTGCAGGCCCTTGCCCCCTTCTGTTGGGATGGCAGTGGCTGAAAGGAGCTGGGTTAGGCCTGGGATACGCTGCAGCATGCCTCTCCCTGTCCTGTTTCCCACGGTCATTTCAGAAAACATTCAGAGATTCTAGGAGGTGGCTGAGAAGGAGAGGACAGGGTCAGGCATGGTTGTTCCTTGGATCTTGGCTGGATGTGGAGCTGCCCTCATTGGGAAGGGAGCAGAGAGGCCAGGAGCAGGGCTGGTGGAAAATAGAAGCCTCACCAGAGGAAGGTTTAAATTCTCACTCCCTGAAAGAGGATACCTCAGGGGTGCATTGATGGAGTCGGTGCTTTATGTGCAGGGACAGCTGGGACCCCAACAGTACGTTGCCCCAGAGACACAGCCCAGGCCTGCCTGCCCCTCTGGTCACTACTGAGACAAGGTACACAAACAACAGGGCTCGGGCACCAGACACCCCTCTGGAGGGCGGGAGGCTGCTTCCTCTAGCAACTGCTCTGTTGATATAAACGTGAGGTGTCCAGGGCTTTGAGCAGCCTTGGCCAATGAAGAGGGGAGGGGGCCAAGGGTCTCCCAGAGTCTGAGGCTGGGATTGGAGAAGGCACCAGAATCACAGGGCAGGACAGAGTTTACAGTCTTCTGTACAGGACACAATGCTTGCTTTGCCATGTGGGACACACCACCCTGGGTAAAATGGTGACTTTAGTCCTGGTCACCATGGTTTCCATTCCAGTGGCTACTCCTGGCACTGCCCAGCTCCCGTGGCTGGCACTTTCAGTCTTTAAAGAAAGTGATCTGATAAGGATCATGTACATTAAGGTGACTAATAGTATTCCTCTTTGAAGGGGTGTTTGCAAGGCCAAAGAACCTACTGGGAAGAGGTGACAAACTACAATCAACTTGAGAGGGGAATTTCAGCCCTTAAAATGAGAAATGTGTTAGAGTAGGTGCAAGTGGACGCTAGGGGGATTTTTCTGGTACTTGTCTTAGCGGATAATCTCTGTGTGGGCTGGGCGACCTGGGAAAGGGACAAATGAGGCCCTGATGAACATGATCAAGGCCCTGGTGTGACCAGGGATGGCTTCCCCTGGCTTCCATACCAGAAGAAGAGCCTAAATGTATGGAGTGTCCTCAACATTTGGGGGTGGGGGGAGAAGGAGTCTGGGAGGCAAGTAAATGTTTTTTTGGGCTCTACTTGAGGATACAAGAGGAAGGTCGAGATCTGAGGGAGTTCTCAGCAAAGTTGGGCTTTGGACTGAGTACCTTGTAAGCTGCTAATGAGAATCAGCAGTAAAATCCTTAAAACAAAAGGATTGTGTGCTTGTTTTCTGGAACTACAAGAAAGGGGACCTCTGGGAAGACTCTGAAACTGGGCTTGGGGTACAGGGGAGCCCCAAGCGACAGAGCAGATAGTGGCCATTCACAAAAGAAAAGAGACTTTGGAGCCCTGGCCCAGGACTGACAACATTCAGGGGCCTCTAGGCATCTCCTGCGCAGCAGCTCTACCTGCCTGTAGGTAGGAGGGGCCAGAGATGTGCAGAATAAATACATCCTACACTCTGCCCTGTTCCTAGCCCAGCTGACCAATCTTTGACCACTAGACATACACCTACCACTCTGCCATCTCACCTAGCCTCTCTATGTTTCCATTCTGCAGAAATTGGCAAAGTGAGGAAGAGTGAAGGTTTAGAAGAGGAAAGGATGAACTAGGATACAATAGAATGAGATATGCCACCTCCTGGGTCTGCTGTTTTACCTAGTGCCTCTCTAGCCGCTGGACGGGAGATCTGCAGAGCCTTATGATCTTGTCTGTCTCCGACTCAACCAAATCAGAGGCAAATGGAAAAATACTGCCTCAGAACAAAAATGTGCACATAATTTGAATGGTGGAAGCTTGGGATACACTTGCAAAGAGAAGAGGCAGCTCCAAGTCTATTTAGGCACAGCTCTTAAGTAACAAGAGAGGAGGGGCAAAGGCAGGTGTCCACTAGGCTGGGCTCTGAACTGGGAAGTGGGGTAAGGGGAAAGATAAGAGCCCCAGGGAGGTTGGAGACTGTGGGATTAGGGGCTCCCTTCACCCAGGAACCAAGGAGCTGGGGCAGAGGAGGATTTTAAGGACAACTTTGGAGTTAGAGGATAAGAGTTTGGAGTTGGGATTCTGCCCTTTCATGCTGAGTTTCTGCACATGGCCAAAAATCTCTTTAGCTTGGCTCATGCTGTATCAGGCGGTCGTGCTAGCCCAGGGCTTGGGACACTGCCCAAATTAAGCTTTCTTCTAGGGCTAAGTCCTAAGCTAGAGGCATGGGTTAGTGGCTCCAGCTTGCCTTGGGGAGGTCAAAGTAATACCCTAGGCATCATACATCTTCTTGGAGGTTCCACCTAACTTCTAGAATTAGCTGGTAATGAATAAAATTGGTAGCAAATATTACAATGCATATATTATTATGAGATGATAATAATGATAATGGAAGATAATGTCTGGGGTGCCCACTTGCCAAGATCACACAATGGTGGTAGAGCTGGGTAAGAACCCATGTATTTTGGGTTCCGAGCCTATCCTCTGTCCATCAGTATTTATAGCTAGAAGTTGCACCAGGTTACCAGTTAATAGATAACAGAGTCAATATCCAACCCCAGGTTGGTCTGACTCCATGGCCAGAACTGCAAATCACCATACCCTATTGCTCTCACTCCCCAAGATGACCTGATTTCATGGGTCTGGAGTCCCAACAAGTGTCTCAGGAGGTCTCTGGGGCACACTTTGAGAAGCAGTAAGAAGCAATACCCTGCAGCAGCACATCTCAGTTTGGCTGCACATTAGAACCAGGAGTTTCCAAAATGATTAAAGCCTTTCCCTTCTTTTTTCAGTTGTTCCAGAGTAGGGGTGGGGGTAGGGGTGGCGGCAGGTGCTGGTCAGCATTTGTTTTTAAAGTACAACAATGTGTTCATTTATTCGTTCAATTAATCAACAAATAAAAACGTACAAGCACCTACTCTGTGCTCTGCCCTGTCCTGGGGCTGGAGATACAAAGGTGGGTGGGACACTGTGTGTGTCCTCCTGGGGTGCCTGTGACCTGACCCACTGGGCTGAGCATGCCCTTGGTGGAGGAGGGGAGGCTGCAGACTCCCTCTCTTGGGTGAGCTCTGGAAAGAGCCACTCCTCTTCTCAAATTATGCTGCCTTACTGGCTTCTCACCTGAGAGCATACAGTTTGTTTCAGCTCTAAAACTCAGCTCACAAAACCTCAGAGTGTCAAGGCTAAACGGGCCCTGATAAACGATCTGTGCCCAAAGCACTCAAACTAGCTAGCAGCTGACAGAAGTGCTCAGGAGGTTTTAAATCTGAAGATGCCAAGAGCCCACCCGCAACGTTCTCATTTATGGGTCCTGAGTGCGGTCTGAGGAACATGCATTTTTTTAAATAGCTCCAAACAGCTGTGGTACAGCCTTGGCTGCACCTGAGGAGGTCTTGGGAAGTTTTAAAAATGTTGATGCCCAGGCCTCCTTCCTGGAGAGGCTGATGAGGATTTTTAAACAATTCTGGTGATCCCCATCATGCAGCAGGTGGAGACCCCCTACTGCAAGGTGTCTGGGCCTTCCAGCTGACCTTGTTAAAGATTTGAGGAGGCTTACTCAAGGGCGGTCACTCCTTGCCACCATCAGGGCTTTGAAACAAGGACAGAAGAAAATCAGAGAAGGGAGGAGTCAAAAATTAAAAAGCCACTAAGAAGGTTTAGAAAAAGAGAAGCAAGATAGAAGGCTGAACAAGAAGCTCCTATGGATTCACCTGTCAGCACCCTGAGGCTTAATCTCTTTTTTTCAATCTTCTTTGCCTTATTCTAATAGTAATTAATTGATGTAAAATAAGGAAAGCATAGGAATGTATGAAAGCAAAAAAGAAGGTCTATAATCTTATTTATCAGAGATGTATAACATATATATCATACAACCATAGTATATGTTATAACTAGATATTGCATCATAAATCTGATATATAAATTAATGTATAATATATACTATATAACCTTAACATGTATAATTAGTATCCCCCCCTTTTTTTTTGAGATGGAGTCTCACTCTGTCACCCAGGCTGGAGTGCAGTGGCATGATCTCGGCTCACTGCAACCTCCTCTTCCCCGGGTTCAAGTGATTCTCCTGCCTCAGCTTCCTGAGTAGCTAGGACTACAGGTACTCACCACTGCACCCAGCTAATGTTTGTATTTTTGGAGGCAGGGTTTCACCATGTTGGCCAGGCTGGTCTCGAACTCCTGACCTCATGATCCACCCGCCTTGGCCTCCCAAAGTGCTGGGATTACAGGTGTGAGCCACCACTCCTGGCCCCCTAGTACCCTTTTTTAAGGTGTATTTTTCTGTTTTGGCTTTTTTGTCACTTTTAAAAAGCCTTTTGTTTTTCAGGTAATTAAACATCTGAGTGCTAAATCTTTATGCCAGGTGGGGAGGCATGTGAATGGAGGCGAGCTGGTGTGCCCACCCCTCCCCCATGGGCCTTCACACATTCATTCACGCGCACACACTCACACAGAGGTCCAGAAGCTTCTATCCCACTCTGCCGCCCTAGTCATCATATTATGCATTCAAATACACACTTCACATCATACCTTCAGAGTTACTAATAGGATTTTATTATTTAAGTGTAAAATCAGTTTCCCCCCCTTTCCCATTTCTCTGATTTCTAAGGAAAAACGGCACCAGGGGACCCAGGAGGGTGGTCCCATTGGGGTGAACCCTAACTCCACAGCCCTGCTTGCAGACTCTTCCTCCCCACCCTGGGCGTCCCTCCTCTCCCATGCCCTAGGGCCTCAGTCACTCTTCTCCGTGGGCTGAGGCTGGTGCACTGGACAAAGGCTGTCCCTCCACAGGTGGTAGGTGAGGGCTGAAGTCACGGTGAGCCAGGCTAGGTAGGGCAGCAGTAACAGGGCAGCCAGTTTGTTGATGGGATGCCAGATCAGTGCTGTGCTCACCACCAGCCCATACAGCAGCAGCAGGTGCAGCAGGGCCTGGGCATAGAGGCCGGGGGTCAGCTGGCTGCCCGAGAACCAGCACCTCCACCTTTCTGCAGTACCCAGCCCAGCAACGAGCTCAGTCCCTGGGGCTCTGTGCACACCATGGGAGTGCAGAGAAGTCTGCCCACCCATTACCTGCCTGCACTCAATTGCTCTGCTGAATTATGTGCTTCTGGAGCCAGGTGGTTTCACCCTCTCCCACATTACTTCTGCTACTGAGCACTGTGTGCCTTACCAGACCAGGGTTGTGGACTGTGAAAAAGAGAACCAGGACAGTCCAGCTGATGGTGAGCTGAACAGCATAGAGGCCAAGAGGCAGGGCCAGGGGCCACCCCAAGCCCCCTCCCAGGTCCTTCCACACCAGGTAGGAGGCATAGCTGTGGAGACATGGTGGCAAAAACATTCAGTGGGAGGAGGTTCCGTGGCAAATGGAGGAGGCTCTCTGGCATAAGGACTCTTGGATACCCTTGTGGGCTGAAATGGGGGCAGATGGGTTTAGGCATCATGTAAGGGCCAGGGAGGGAGTTGGTGGGAGGAGCTGGGCATGGTGAGGTGGAGGAGGGGCTGGGGAGACTTAGAGAGGGTGGAAGAAGGGCTAACTGGAACCCCAGGCAGGCATAGAGGGTTTCTTACTTTCTGGAGGACCCACTATGGTGGTGAGAGGCAAGACAAAGCGCCTACCTTTGGAGGCCAATATATGGGAGTAATTCAGATATAGAGGACTTGTTCCCACCCCATTGGGTACCAGGGCCATGTGTGAGAAACAAGTACTCACCCCACGACAGAGTAGATGGCTGTCTGTACAAGCAATAAGACTTTGTAGAATGGGCACCAGGACAGCATCCTCGGGCCCTCACACCAACCAGACATGTGATCACGAGTGAACAGCCAGACCAGGATGGGCCCCAGGTGGGGCAGGAGCACAAAGATAGCCCCTTGAAGCCGCATTCACCTTGAAGAGGCAAAATCTGGGGAGGCAGAGAACATGCTAGTGATGAGCCTTCCCCTGCGGCTCCTCGTCTGTCTCTGCCTCCTAACCTGACTCATTTCCTGGCCTGAGCCCCTCAGAGAAGGTCTACTCACGGAGGTCCTTCCTCTCTCCCTGGCCCAGCTCCAGTCCTGTACCTCTGAGCTCTCTCCAACCCCAGGCCACACCTTGCCCATCTCCTGGCTTCCATGGACTTCTTTTCTCCACAGCACTCCTCTGGCACTTGGAGGACACTGCCCAGCACTGGTAACTGCTTCTAAGTGAATAGGCCTTCCTCCAAGTGCTTCTGAGTCCTGGAGATCAGGTCCCGGGTGATGAGCTTTTCTGCAGTGGGCAGCGCTTAGCCAGGTATGTAGCTGGCCCTCACCGAGAACTGTTCTACCTAAGCTGATCTACCAACCTGGAAAGTTCACAATCTGAAGGCAGGAGCCAGAAATTCCTGGGGACTCTTTTCTAGTCACGAATGCGGCAGCACATCTGTCCCAGGCTTATCTCACCATATCAGACTGGCACACTCATGGGGCCCACCCAGGCTGATCTCCTGCCCAAATTCAAACTTGGCCTGTTGACACCGTGGATTCCTTTTTCTGAACTTTTAGCTCTCTTCTACCCCTGGAGCCATGGGGTATGAGCTTCCTGCTCCATCTTTCCATTCCCAGAGTGTCAGGATGTAAGCACAAGCATCCAGGTTTCTTGTGGCCTGACTTTTCAAGGAAACAACTGCCTGGTCTTTGATTAAAAAGCTGCCAAGGTGGCATGTTGCTTTGCATGTCATTTGCATGTGGGACAATGTACAGACCCTCCTCCAGCCAAGGCCCCACCAAGGCCCCACAAATATCATTCTTCTCATTTGTTCATGATATTTCAGCCTCCCCCCATGATTAACCAGATTTGAAGGAGAGAAAACAATCTGATTATTTTCAGTATTCTGGACTGACTATCTAATCCATCCTTTTTTTTTTTTTCTTTTCATACAGAGTTTCACTCTTGTTGTCCAGGCTGGAGTGCAGTGGTGCAATCTCGGCTCACTGCAACCTCTGCCTCCCTAGTTCAAGTGATTCTCCTGTCTCAGCCTCCCTAGTAGCTGGGATTACAGGCGTGCGCCACCATGCCCGGCTAATTTTGTATTTTTAGTAGAGATGGGGTTTTGCCATGTTGGTCAGGCTGGTCTCGAACTCCTGACCTCAGGTGATCCACCCGCCTTGGCCTCCCAAAGTGCTGGGATTACAGGCATGAGCCACTGTGCCTGGCCCTAATCCATCCTTTTCTGTCAAGGGTCAGGGACACTGGTCCTGGAGGTTCTGGGACAGAGCTGAGCAGCATGCCCACCTGTGCATATTTCTACTTGTCTTTCTGTGCTCCTGACTGTCCGTTTGCTCATCTTCTGCCTTCCTGTTTTTCTACATTTCTGTCCAGTGGTGGAGGCCCCCTCCCTGCCCCTCCCTGCCCCCATCCTCTTTTCTCCTGACACCTGCCTCTCCCAGTGCCTCCTGGTTCCTAGGCCTGTGCTCCCCTTACCTCTGGCAGCACACCTCCCAGGCGGGGGGCCTGATGACATATGATGTGTGGAAGGCAGAGGAGGGTGGGGCTGGGAGGAGGGTGGGGCTGGGAGGAGGGTGGAGTGGTGCTCCCTGCTGATCTGCCTTTCTCAGATGAGAAGGGTGGTGACACTGGCTGGGAAGTCCAAGTTGCTGTTTCATGGCCCCAAAGAGTTCCTCTCAGGAGGAGCCCCTCTGGTCTGCCAGACCCTCCTTGGTGCCTGGCCTCTGGAGGCTACCCCTTGATGGAATGTTTGAGGGCTTGTGGTGAGGGTTTGACACTGGCCCTCCTGTGACAGCTCAGCCCCCAGTTATAATGCTGTTGATGCCTGTGGTCTTTGCATCCCATGAACCAGCTCTGTGGCCATGGGAGTGAGTGGTAGGAGCCTTCACATTTCTTCAGAGCCTCCTTATAATTGGGATTGTCCCCAAGAGTGGCAAGAACTAGCTTGGGAAGTGAGTTCATAATCCATGAACACAGCCCCTGGTTATAGCCTCCTGGTTGGCATGACCTTCCTGGCTTAGAACCCTAGCTTGACAGATCTTTCACAAACCCCTAGGACTTTATGACTCAGAGGAGAAGGCAGCTGACAAGTGGAGGTGGGTGGGGAGTCAAGGAGGAGTGACCTGGCGCTTCCTGGCAGAAAGTCCTGCCTCCCAGCCGCCCTAAAGAGGGGTAGGGGAGAGTGTCCCTGTCTGTTGGCAAAGTCCAGCCTCCTGTGTGACTCAGACAGAGCTTTGTTCAACAAAGACAAACACCCCTACCCCACTCCTTTCATTCCCTATCAAAGTTCTGAGCACCCCTTCCTGGCTTGTCTTTAGGCATGAGGTCTGCTTCCCAGGTTGCCCGCTCTCTACCATCTCTGCACTTTGGGGTACTGGGCTCCCCTGGGAGGTTTATTCCACCCTCTCACCTCCACCAGGGAAGGAAGCAGAGGGGAGGGCATTGCAGTCAGAGACAAGAGGCTAGAGAATTATTAACTGAGACAAAAGCAGAGGAAGTTACTTATTTTCTATGGGAGATGATAACTAGGGGCCTGGGGGGGCGTTCACCATGCCTCCTCAACTGCAGGAGGCCAGACCCTGGTGACAACGGTTACCATCTATTGACCACCCATTCTGTGGTGGGCATTTGACATTTATTAGCTCAATAATGACAATTATTATCTCACACAAGGTAGATATTCTTAACTGCATTTGACAGACAAGGGAATTGAGGTTCAGAGGAGTTAAGTAGCTTGCCCAATATTACATACCCAACGTGTGGCTCACCTGGGCTCAGTGTTGGCCAGTTGGAGCCAAAATGCATCCTTTTCCCTCTCAACTGCTTCACTCATTCATTCAAGACATGTTTATTGAACACCTTCTATCTATCAGGCTGTACCAGGAGCTGAGGAGACAGCCGAAAACATGGGAAAAGTTCCACAAGGAGTTTTCATTCTTGTGGTGCCACCGCTCCTAGGCAGAGTTTTAAGAACTCAGAATGGCAAATGGCCCCAAAGTTCAGTTGTCTCCCAACCGGCAGTGTCTCTGCCAACTTTGGGTGGGGGAAGTAGAAAGCACCTTGTGTAAGGAAAAATATGGGTACATCTCAGGTCCACCAGCAACTGGTGAGTCATTAACCGTCTCAGTGGCTCCACTGTCTTCTCTGTGTGGGGAGCGGGTGGAACTAGATGCTCTCTAAGCTCCTTGGACCGGTTGCATTGGCATCAGCTGGGAGCTTCTTTGAGCTGCAGAATCTCAGGCCCCATACTAGACCTACAGAATCAGAGCCTGCATTTTAACAAGATCTCCCAGGTGACTGTTGTGCACATTATAGTTTAAGAAACTCAGATGAAGGTTCCCTCCTCCTCCTATCTGCTATTTTAATAATAGCCTCTGGCTGGGGACAGCCACTCACCAGCAGAGGGCACTGTAAGGAGGGGTTTCAAGGTGCAGCACCTACACCCAGGTTGTCTCCCTGCCTCCCTCCTTCCTTCCAGACCTAGACTGGAAAGTTCACTGACTTCTGGGATCCTCAGCTAATCCCTTACCTGGGCTGGACTTTGCCAATAGACAGGGACACTCTCCCTCACCCCTCTTTAGACAGCTGGGAGGCAGGGCTCTGCCAGGAAATGCCAGGCCACTCCTGCCTGGATTCCCCGCCCACCTCCACTTGTCTGCTGGCCTGCCGACTGAATCTGGCTGACCCTTGTTTCTCGGAGAAGGAACTGGACCAGCCAGCAGCCTCTAAGAGCTCCTAGACGGTAAGTTGAGCACCCCCTTGGGGCAGCTGGAGAGGGGATGGGCATTGTGATGGGGTTACCTGGAGCTTCGGGGGAGGAGCCAGGCCAGCTTAGCCTGCCTGCTGGAGTGTAGGGACCCTCTGCTGGAGGAGGGGAGGAAAATGGGACTTGGCCAATGGGTATGAGGACCACTGGGATGATTCTGTGTCCTGCGGAAATGTCTACTATACTAACAAATGCCATTCATGACTTGGGTTTGGACCATCCATCCCAGTACTTGTTATGTTCTGCAGTAACTGGACATCTATCAGGTGTTGGGGAGGCACAGGGAGAACCAGTGAGGTGGAGGAAAGGTTGAGAGTTTTCTTAAAGGGTATGAGCAGAACTTTGCAGCAGGAGTTTGGATCTTTGTGCTGGAGGATGCAACTGCCTAGGGACAGGTGATGGCAGCATTCTAAAGGACTCTCGTTTCGGGGACCCGCTACCCAGGGTGATCTGGGGTCTGGAGCAAGACAGACTGGAGGAGTGGGTAATGAGGAGTCCAGGCATGGGGTTGGGATGCCCCAAGTCACACTCGAATGGCTGCAGTGCTATAGTTGCCATTCAGCAAGACTCCGGACCTTTCCCCATTCTGGAGCCAGAGGGAGGATGCAGTGAGGGCCAGGGCAGCCTGGAAGAGCAGTCACCCTGGGAGAGGCCCAGTGGGGCTTTGGGAGTGGTGCATGCCAACTTCTCCAGGGTCGGAGGTTGAGCCAGGGGACTCTACTGCACCACCCAGTGAGGTGCACCTCACTGGGGATCTGGACTCTGGTCTTTGGTGGCCCCAGGAAGGTTACTGCTGTGTAAGCGAGCTGGGGCCCCTCCTTTCATCCCTTTAGCAATTCCATCCCCTGCCACTGGTACCTTGGTAGGTGGGGGTGTGGTGTAGTGGGGTGGGTATTACCACATAACTGAGGATGTAAATTTAGGTCCTTCTATTTGTCTTTACTTCATTTTTGCTTCTTTCTCTTCCAACTTTATTTCTTCTAGAGAAGGAAAGGAAGATACTTGGGGAAAAGAAGGGGTGGAGAGAGAAAGGGGGTATCTCTGGAAGTCCTTGTTCGTCTTTGCTCCTCCTTCCTGCCTGTCTTCAGTTGTTTAGTAATTCCCTATCCATCTTCACTGTGGGGAGAAAGCTCGGATTCCTTATCTGTGAAATGGAGATAAAAATAACACCTCGCTCCTAAGGCTGCTGTGAGGATGAGATGAGACAAGCCATGGAGAGTGCTTTAACACAGTGGCATTGAGTAAAGCTCTGCGAATGTTAGCTATTGTTATTACAGTTGGAATTATAATTATTACTAATGTGAAAGAACCAAAAGAAATGATGGGACATCAACGGTAGCTTGCTGCTCCAACCCCCTTCCCATCAGCTTTGGGACACTGCCAATTCACTGATTCACCTGTGTGCCCTCCAGGATGCCTGGTTGAAAAAGGCTGGTGCATTGTCTGCTGGGTTGGCTCTTTAGGCAAAGAGAACAATGCCAACCCCCGCTTCTTATTCACACTTTCAGTGAGGACATGGGAGAAACAGGTACTGCCCCAGTCTTCAATCCTGAGGATACAGTGGAGGTTCTGCCCTGGTCTAAGAGGCACTAGGAAGGGGCTTCAGTTTTCATGGGTCCTGAGGTTGGAAGGAAGAAGGTGGGCCAAGCCTCAGTTCCAGGTGGGTAGTGCAAGTGAAGGGCGTGGGGAGGACTGGATACTGGAAGCTCTTCCAGTGCAGCCTCTAGTGAGTCAACCAGAGGGGCCTCCCAGGGCTCTGAAGGAGGACGTTGTGCCTCACAGAACTCAGCTACCAAGCCAATGAATTCCATTCCTGCAGAAGCTCCTTGAGAGCGGAATAAGACGTCATCTTTGGCAGGATTGAACTTCCCACAGTGTCCGATACACAGCCGGTGCTTAGAAAATGTTCATTTGAGTGGGAAAATCACACATGACAGCACATAATCAAGAGTGACTCAGTATGGTGGGATGGCTGTGGAGAGAGATTTCGCGAGCTGGAGGCTGTCAAAGGCCGGTGCACCAGCGGGAGGCACTATTGAATGGGAGGATCCACGTAGGGAGAGGAAACAAGTGGGGAGAGCAAGTGAGTGGAGAAACAGAAAACAGCATGAGCAAAAGCCAGAGGCTAGAATTAAGCAGGTGTGGGGAGCCTGGGCAGGCTACAGGGCAGGCGTGTTGGAAATTGTAGGGGCTGGAAGAGGGGAAGTAGGAGGAGGCGGAGGTGGGTTCTGGAGGGCCTCAGGAAGAGCTACTGGGAAGTCTCAGCCTGTGGCCTGGCTGGGTAGCCAGGTGAGCAGGAGGTGAGTGTATGCTTTTGCCCTGCCTCATTCCAGCTTCACTGTAGGGCTGCATCTTTGTGTTTTGTCTTCTTCATTTTTTTTTTTTTTTGCTTCCACTTTTAGCTTTTGTTGTTCTTGTTGTATGTTGCCTATCCCTGTGAGCTACCTTCAGGCCTTTCTGGCAGAAGGAGGGGCATAAAGAAACACATACATTTGGACAGTGCTTTCTCATCTACAAATACTTTTCACATGACCTTATGCCATCCTCACCATTACACAAAGAGGCACTTTTTCCCCACTTTTAATAGCTTCAGAAAAGAATTACAAAGTTAATACAAACTACATGCTTGATGTGAAAAATTCAAAGTACAGAGAAAAGGATTTAAAAAAATACAAAGTTTTTATTCACACCTTCCACCTTCTCAATTTGTTGTGACTCATGGGAATAGTTTGGGGGTGTGTCCTTCCAGACCTGCACAGTCTAAGACCGGATTCATTAGTACACGTGGCTACTGGGCACTTGAAATACAGCCAGTCCCAAGTGAGCTGTTCTGTTCATATAAATTACACATGGATTTCAAAGACTGGGTATGAAGGAAGAAAGTAAAAATATCTCATAATTTTATATCGATTACCTGTTGAAATAACATTTTGAATATATTGGGTTAAATAAAATGTATTAATTTCTCCTGTTCTTTTTAATGTGGCCATCAGGAAATTTAAAATTACATGTGTAGTTCACATTACATTTTTATTGTACACCACTGCTCCAGACCTTTCTCTATACCTTTACATTTCCATATATGCACCCATAAATATGTATCTATTTATATGCAGTTTTGTTTTTCACATTAATGAGCTCAGAATATTTTATCTCTCTGCGACTTGCTTTTTCCACTTATAGATTTTTTTGTATCAGCACTTGTAGATCAAGGTAGATATTTGGACAGATGAGGAAACTGAGGTACATTAAGCAGTATTGAGGCAGGAGGTGGGATTTGATTCCAGGCCAGATAGAAAACTGGCTGAAACAGGGAAAAGGCACCAAAAGCACCTCTCCATAAGACATGCCCACCAGTGCCATGACAGTTTACCACTGCCATGGCGATGCCTGGAAGTTACTGCCCCTTTCCATGGCAGTGACCCGAAGCTACCACTCCTTTTTCTAGAAATTTCTGAATAACCCACCCCTTACTGCATGTAATTAAAAGTGGACATAAATATGATGGCAGAAATGCCCCAGAGCTGCTACCCTGGGCACACTGCCTAGGGTTAGCTCTGCTCTGTAAGGAGCATACCTCTGCTGCTGCTATACTCTGCCACTTTAGTGAAAGTTGCTGTCTGACACCACTGGCTCACCCTTGAATTCTTGCCTAGGTGAAGCCACAAACCCTCCCAAACTAAGCCCCAATTTTGGGGCTCTCCTGCCTTACATCAATATGATAAGTTTACCCAGCCACAGTGACCAAGGTGACATTTGAACTCATGTTCTCTAACTGTAAACCCAAGCTCACTCTGCTTCAGAACAGTTTACCTTGATGTATTAGGTCACGGGGAGCCAGGGTAGGTTCTCGAGTAAGAGAGACAGGTTAAAAGAATTGGTGTGACTAAAGTGTGCAGTGTGCGCTGGAATGAAGACAACTTGCAGCTATGTGTAAGCCAAGCCTTGACCTCCACAACTTAAAAGGGCTTACCCTGACACTGACCCCTTCTTCCCCACCAGGCCTTTGGCTTTGGCTGGCACAGGGGTGAAGGAGAGCCAGCGGCATTGAGTAACCAGGCGAATGTGCCCCCAGGAGAGTTCATTCCAACCCTCCCAGTTCCTACTGCTGGTGGGGGTCCCAGTGGCAAGTGTCCTCCTTCTGGCCCAATGCCTTCGATGGCACTGCCCTAGAAGGCTGCTGGGGGCCTGCTGGACACTGAATGGTCAAGAGGAACCAGTGTCCCAGCCTACCCCCCAACTAGAAAATGAGGTCTCAAGGCAGCACCTGCCAGCCACACTGCCAGAGATGGTTGCCTTCTACCAGGAGCTACACACACCCACTCAAGGCCAGACCATGGTCCGCCAGTTGATGCACAAACTGTTGGTGTTTTCGGCTCGAGAGGTGGATCACCGCGGCGGTTGCCTGATGCTCCAGGATACAGGCATCTCCTTGCTCATCCCACCAGGTAACAGCTCCTGGCTCTCATCTCCGCATACAGTTGGTCAGACTGTACATTAGGTCACCACATCTGAGGGAGCAATGTTCATAGACACCTTTTACTTCTGATAATTGTTTATATTTTGAGTATAGCTTTATTGACTTCAGGGATGGACATATTACATATCTTTTGGGACAACTTCCTGGCAGGTGGAAGTAAAGTGCCTTGTTCTAATGAATCAGTATGCTGTGACAATTCTCTAGTAAAGGGAGGGAAGAGCACCATTTGCAAATTCACACAAGGCACACTATGGGCTAGCAGCAGCCTGGGTGGAAAGGGAAGTGTCTTGCTTAGGGTTACACTACAAGTCAGCTCCACAGTCGTCTTACTCTTGTTCATACCACTTCCCTGTGTGCCCTGCTGGGGGTCTCTCCTGGGCTCCTGCCCCACCTCCTTTCTCTCTGGCCTGGCCTCTTTCAGGGGCAGGGGTGTGCCTGCCTACCAGGCCCATCTCAGCTCTCCCTCTCCCTGCCAGGTGCTGTGGCTGTGGGCCGCCAGGAGCGGGTGTCTTTGATCCTGGTGTGGGACCTGTCGGACGCCCCATCGCTGTCCCAAGCCCAGGGGCTGGTAAGCCCTGTGGTGGCATGTGGCCCCCATGGGGCCTCCTTCCTGAAGCCTTGCACTCTCACGTTCAAACACTGTGCCGAGCAGCCCAGCCATGCTCGCACCTACAGCAGCAACACTACCCTGCTGGATGCCAAGGTATGGAGGCCCCTGGGGCGGCCGGGGGCCCACGCCTCCCGGGATGAGTGTCGCATCCACCTCTCCCACTTCAGGTAGGCACATGCCATTGGCCTGTCTTCCCACACCCATCTCTCTGAGGACTGTCTTTCCTGCCCACTTTCTCTGTCTGCCTTATCTTCATCTCTCTGTATAGAAGATGGTCTGCAAATCCTTTATCCCCTGGTGTCTCTTTCTGGCCCCTCTGTCCTAATGTTTGTAGCAGTTTTTCTCACATCAATCATGTCCATGACTGCAAATCCCATTGCTGTCTCTCTGTCTGTCTGGAAGTGTCTGACTCAGCACCATCTCTCCATCTAAGAGGGACCTGTCTTTCCCATCTCTCTCTGTCTTTCAAATTATCTCTCTCTACACTGTGCCCCTTTCAGGACTGTCCCCAGGCTTAGCACCAGTTCTCTAAGACTCCATTCCATCTCTGTCCTTCTTCTCTTTGTCTTTCTAGAGTCCTAGGTCCTCTGCCTCCCAGCCTCCTTGCCACCCATTGACAGGAATAGGGCCATGTGCGGGTGCCCTCCCAAGCATGGTCACCCTGAGCCCACTTTCCCTCTCTCCCCTGCCAGCTCTCCTCCCCATTCAGTCACCAGTCACTGTGACATGCTCACTTTTCATCCCCAACCTACCAGTTCCTCCCTAAGTGCTCCCCTCGAGTGTTCTCTGAACCTCCTTGAAGGCCCCACAGAGGCCCCTCAGGTGGCAGGAGGCTGGTGGCAGTGTGTTGGTGTCTTAGCCTTCCCTGCACATTAGTGCCTGCCACTGGCTCCCTCTGCAGCCTCTACACCTGTGTGCTGGAGGCACCTGTGGGGCGCGAAGCCCGCAAATGGCTGCAGCTGGCCGTATTCTGCTCACCGCTGGTGCCAGGACAGTCCCATCTGCAACTGCGTATCTACTTCCTCAACAACACGCCCTGCGCCCTGCAGTGGGCACTGACCAACGAGCAGCCCCATGGTGGGCGCCTGCGTGGGCCCTGCCAGCTCTTCGACTTCAATGGGGCTAGGGGCGACCAGTGCCTGAAGCTCACGTACATCTCAGAGGGTGAGGGAGGCAGTGGCCTGTGGGATAGGATGATCGGGAGCCCCACAGGAATGAAGGGTTCTGGGCCTCCCCTGGACATCTGGAGATCTGGGGATCCCAAGTCTCTCTCTCTTTTTTTTTCCCGAGATGGAGTTTCGCTCTGTTGCCCAGGCCGGAGTGCAGTGGCTTGATCTTGGCTCACAGCAACCTCCGCCTCCTGGGTTCAAGTTATTCTCCTGCCTCAGTCTCCTGAGTAGCTGCAATTACAGGTGCCCACCACCATGCCTGGCTAATTTTTTTGTATTTTTGGTAGAGACGGGGTTTCATCATGTTGTCCAGGCTGGTCTCGAACCCCTGACCTCAAGTAATCTACCCGTCTCGGCCTCTGAAAGTGTTGGGATTATAGGTGTGAGCCACCACACCAGGCCCCAAGTCTGTTTGTGACCTCTGGGCCAGCAGTAGCCTCATGGAGCCCCCAGGGCTTTGACCACTCTGCTGTCTACTGAGCCCTTGCCACTCACTCCTTGGACAGGGTGATGCCAGGTGGCAGGTGGGAAGGAGAGGGGTTATACCCCACAGAAGCAGGAAAGGATGGAAGGCTTTTATAGTGCAAGGGCCCTCTTGGGGTCCCAGCCCAGGCTCTGGGGATTCCCATTCCCTTGAGACCCTCCTGCCTTTGTTCTGTCCTCATGCCTCCCCACAGCCCCCTTCAATACTTGTTTAAGGCCCCACTCTCTGAGGCCCTCTGCTGTCTGCCTACTCACCAGGTTGGGAGAATGTGGATGACAGCAGTTGCCAGCTGGTTCCCCATCTCCACATCTGGCATGGAAAGTGCCCCTTCCGCTCCTTCTGCTTCCGGAGAAAAGCAGGTAGTCCGGGAGCCCTGTGTGTACCTCCTCCCCTCTCTTTTCCCATCCTGTCTCCTCTCCTTCCCTCCCAGTAACCCTGGAGCTCTGCAGACCCCCATGCAGCCATGCACACAGACCTTCCCTGAAAGGCCAGGAGCCACACAGATCTTTGCAGAGAGAAAAATGGAGTGTTGGACCCCAGCTTCCTCAGATTTCCCAAGTCTTACTATAGAGTCCCTTACCTTCTCCTGCTCTTACCCCAGGCCGTTTCCTCACTCACTGGCCACGCTGTCACCTTCTCTTTATAGCCGATGAGAATGAGGACTGTTCAGCACTAACCAATGAGATCATTGTCACCATGCACACCTTCCAGGATGTGAGTTGGAGCTGAGGGGCAGAGGAAGGGCAGGGCCTGGGGGAAATCCTAGGCAAAGTGGGCACAGGGTCTGGTGCCCAGTAACTATGGTCTTAATCACATAGGTAAAGATGGCACTTTCCATAGAGCCCCCATACCAGCTCTTTGAGGGGCTGAGATCATCTGGGCTCCAAGTTACCCTCATCCCTGACTCTCCTTGTCTATCGGTGGATGAATCCAGCAGGAAGCTAAAAGAACCAAACCCTAGTTTAACCCCTTCTCCCAACTCAGAGAACTGGGGCATCAAGTTGATATGGTTTCTTTCTAGGCTGATTGTCTACATTTGAGAGATGATGTTTGGTATCTTCAGTGTGGGATTTGAGAGATGATGTTTTGTATTTTCAGTGTGGGAAGTGACCAGGAAGAGGGTCTTGAGTAGGCAGGCTGGGAGTTAGGTATCTCTCCTCTCCTGCTGCACCAAGGGAAGATGCGAAGAAATCGGAGTTGAGAGTCTTTGGGGAACCATAGTGGCACCTTAGTGGAGGGCAGGCAGATACCCTGTTGTCACTTGGAGAAGAGGAAGGGAAGGTTGGAATGGAGGAAGGTACACATATGGCTGAGATCAGTGTCTCTATGGTTGGATGACCTCCCACTGCTCCACGGCCCCACCCAGGACTTCCCCTGGTGGCTCAGGCTGCACTCTGGTCTTCATGTCCCAGTTCCCAAAGAGCTCAGGGGCAAACATAAGGCTGAAGGTGCGGTTCTGAAGTCACAGGGAGACAGTGGGTAGAGGGTGCTGGGTGGAGCAGGGTTGTATCTCCTGGTAAGGTGGCTCTGAGTGACAGACTGAAGGAGAGACATGAGGAATGGAGGTAGGACTCCAGCTTCTTACTCAGGGGGATGGCTTGTGACCCCTAAGTGTGTTCCCTGCCCTGTGTTGACTCAGGGCTTGGAGACCAAGTATATGGAAATCCTCAGATTCCAGGCATCAGAGGAGGAATCCTGGGCAGCGCCACCACCTGTTTCCCAGCCGCCCCCATGCAATAGGTGAGACGGGGGTTGCTTGGGCTGCTGCCTGGGGGATGTTGGGTTCCTACCCTGGCACCCACAGGGTGACTACAGCATTTAGGGTGCATATGGGAGAACCAGAGTGGGTCTGTTTGTCCCTTTCTTCCAAGAACACCCTTTTCCCTGCCTAAGGCTGCCCCCAGAGCTCTTTGAGCAGCTGCGGATGTTATTGGAGCCAAACAGCATCACCGGCAATGACTGGCGCAGACTGGCCTCCCACCTGGGGCTTTGCGGCATGAAGATCCGGTAGGAAGAGGGGTGAGGTCTGTGGATGGTAGAGGAGGGTGGGCTGGAATGGGGTTCCTCAGGACACTCTGGAGACTGGATCACAGGCAAGGGAGTGACTTAAAAGTCAGAGAATGGCTACTGTCCACCCTATTTCCCATAAAAGGGCAGCTCTATTAATCACTGTATCATCAGTACCTAGAATGATGCCTGGTGCATAGTAGGTGCTCAATTAACATTTAACAGTGAATCCATTAACATGGAAGTTATTTGGTACATGTTGAGTGCTTGCCATGCTATGCCCTGAGGAGGAGCAAGACAGATTATAGGATAATGTGTGTAAAGCATGTAGCTGGGTGCCTGACACTTGTTAATTCAATAAATGTTATCAATAATGGTGACAGTGCAGTCATGATCCCTGTCAAGGAACTCAGAAAGCAGGAGAATACTGAGCTAAGCTCCAGAAACTACACTATGAGTGCAGCGGTCAGGGAAGACTTTATCCTGGTGATGGGGCTAGAGCTGGACCCTGAAAACAGGGTGGATTTTTATTTATTATTATTATCATTATTTGAGACGGAGTCTTGCTCTGTCGCCCAGGCTGGAGTGCAATGGCGCAATCTTGGCTCACTGCAACCTCCATCTCCCGGGTTCAAGTAATTCTCCTGCCTCAGCCTCCCGAGTAGCTGGGATTACAGGCACACGCCACCATGTCCAGCTAATTTTTTATTTTTAGTACAGACGGGGTTTCACCAGGTTGGCCAGGCTGGTCTGCAAACTACAGGGTGGATTTTTAAATCATTCATTTAAACATTTATCAAGTACCTATTATGCCCTGGAAACTGTGCTAAGCACTATGATACAAGATGAATGAGGCATGGTCCCGGCGCCTAGGAGCGCACACACTAGTAAAGGGTTCAGAGAGCTTGAAAAATAAAGGCAAGTGTTCCTTGTGCCTTCCTGTAAGAATCCAGTATTGTATAACACATTGAAGAGAGACAGAAAACAGCTGAAGCAAGAATAATAATGAACTGCGGGCGTTATGACCAGAAGTCTGAACTGAGGGATGCAGAATGTTCTCTTCCACCTGGGAGGGGTGAACTAGAAAGGGCTTCAGGGAGGAAGTGATGGGGAAGAGATCAGCCATTTTGTTTTGGGGAGTAGCAGAGGTGGCTGTGGGTGTAGTGTGTGCAAGGCGAGAAAGAGAGAGGCCTGAGCTAAGGGGGTTCAGGATGGGAGAAAGGAGAGAAAGCATAAAGACAGGGCAAGGCCAGGTGCTGGATGAGCCAGAAAGGCTCATGGAGCGTGGGCTGGTTAGGAGGTGAGAGACTCTGGAAGGTTTTAGTGGACGGGAGAGTCGTGATAAAAAGCCATGGTTTACAGCAACTGTTTCCTTAGTAGTGAGCAGGATGTTGTGGCCTAGGAGAGAGGGAGGAAGGAGGGAGTTAGGAGGCTAGGGGGAGGCTAGGGGTGTATTTGGAGTGGGGGAGGTAGAGAAGGCAATTACAGAACATCAGAACTGTAGCAAACTTAGAGGTCCTCTTGTCTAAGCCCTCATCTTAATAAGAGGAAACTGAAGCCTAGAGAGGAGTAGGGGTCAGAGTTGGCCTCCAAGCCAGGACAATCTCAAGTTTCAAAGCCCTGGGGCTTCCCACCTCCTGTGCCCTGGAAGGCAGGCAAGAGCAGGACAAGGACAAAAGCTACAGGATGGGGAAGGGACGGACCTTGCGCTGCGCAGCCCAGGGAGCCTGCAGCAGGGGGGGAGCCCCTCCCTGCTCCTACACCCTTCTCTTCCTCCCCTACCTCGGGCCAGGTTCCTGTCCTGCCAGCGCAGCCCCGCAGCGGCCATCCTGGAGTTGTTTGAGGAGCAGAACGGCAGCCTGCAGGAGCTGCACTACCTCATGACCGTCATGGAGCGGCTAGACTGCGCCTCCGCCATCCAGAACTACCTGAGTGGGACACACGGCGGCAGCCCAGGCCCCGAGCGCGGGGGCGCCCGGGATAACCAGGGCCTGGAGCTGGACGAGAAGCTCTGAGCGCCCAGCGGGCAGGGCCGGAGGAGGTGTAGGGGCGAGAGGGGTTGTTCTCCTACGCCTAAGAGGAACACAGCAGCTGTTCCTGGCTGTGCCCACCACCCTTCCCAGAACCCTCGGACGGTGCCAGGGCCGCCCGCGTCCTCGCCAGCCTCCCAGCAGCAGGCGCGCCCTTCCGGCCGCGAGCTGTCCCGCGTGCGGGTCCCCTCCTGGCCGGCAGAGGGCGCAGGAGCCCAGGAGATGGCCTCAGCGTGGCCAGCCTGCCAAACTGACCAGGGGACGGCCACGGTCCCCGCGTGCACTTTAGGGCCGGTCAGGCCCTAAAGTATTCACTGAGCACTTAGGAAGACCGGGCATTGGGCTGGTGTCATGAAGAATACTGGAATATAGGAGGTAGGGTCTGGAGCCCTGACAAGCACACAGTTCTTTTGCAGGAGTCAAGATGTGCTCATAGGAGCCAAGGGCAAACTCGAAAACAGCCCTGCCCTGTGGTTAGGGGAGGTGGGTGTGGCTTTAGGAGTTGAGAGGGGAAGAGCTGAGTGCGGGCTGGAGCAGCGAGAATGCTTCACGGAGGATGTTGGGGAGAGAGGATTTGATTTGCCGAGTGGTTTGGAGATCTTTAGGGGCGGGTAGGGGAAGAGGGTGGCTGGACTTAAGGTAGGAGCCGAAAGTGGGCATGGGAGCCCATCCCCGTGGGTGTGAGGCCGGGGTAGGACCAGGCTTCCCGGCTAGGCACGCCTGGCTGGCTGCCTCTGCCTCTACTAACTTCCTTTGTCTCTTTATCCTCCTGCTTAGGCCGTGTCTTCCTCTCTCTCTGCCATTTTCTCTATCAGAAAACATTAAAGCTGAGTAGAAACTTCAAGATGATCATTCTGGCCCAGCCCTTTTATCTCTTTATCTCCAATGGTGTGCGTTTTAAGTTTCTCTGACTTGGTTTTTCTGTCCCTGTCTCCCACAGTTGTTCCCGCTCTGCACCTGTGTTTCAGTTACTCTCTCTCTCTGTCTTAGATCTTTTTGTTTCTGCCTAGTCTCTGTGCCCTGTCTTTGTGTGTTTCTTTCTCTGCCTGAAACCCTCCCTCTTTTCCCTTCAGGCATATGTCTCTAAACCAATGTTATGTATCAAAGACTGTTGAAAGAGACAGGGCTACTCTAGGAATGGATGGGTGGGGATATTTTCCCCATGGATCAAGATCCAGTTTAGGGTTGGGAAATAAAGGATAGGGATAAAAGAGGCACCCCATTCAGTCAGCAGATACTTATTCAGCACCTACTATGTGTTTGATACTGTATACAAAAGACATGAATGGGCTGGGTCCTGAACAGAGAATAAAGGGTTTGACTCCATTCTGGAAATTCTTTTGTTTGCAAACAGGTGTTGTTAATTTGTTCAAAGGCAGGCAAACAATCTCTCTGGCAACACAATTTTCTTCTGTATTTAATTAAAAAATATTAAAGCTTTTTTTCTATGATGAATGATAAAATATGAAAATTGCCTTCCTTTGTTACTAACTATATTTTGCTCAGATTGGCAAATTTGGATGTGAGTATGAATGATTTTATTTGGTAAAATTGTACCTATGGGGATGGGTTGGAGGGAAGCATTTTGTAGATTGTGCTTCCAGTATGAAAATTACCTGGGTCCCGCATGGTAAGTCAGGGAGGTTCCCTTCCTTTTCTGTTAGATGCAAGCCTTCAGAAGCAGGCCTTTCCATCCCTTCCCTGTTCCCCTATCCCCACCAGTCCTCTCCTACCCTTCTCATCTGTCCTCCTTACCCCATCGGGTGCTGCCAGTCACGCCAGATTAGTGCCCCGGACTTTTCCCCCTTCACTTAGCTCAGGATTGAACTGTGCAGTAGCCCGGCACTGTTTAGCCAAAGACATCATTGTGTTCCTTCCTACCCTGGAAAAAATCATTTTAAGAGTTTCACATCTACTGGAGTTGCAAATAGAAGCCACACAGATTCCAGTGATGGGAATAGAATGCTTTCTGGCCCCAACTCCAATTTCTCAAAATGCGTTTCCAGTGCTGGCAAAGGGAGGCTTGGAAATCCTGGGGTAGATGCAGGCCAAGTGATTCCTATAAGGCAGACACTTCCTTTCTCACATCAAACCCATTTGGCATGTTATGTATTGGCACCTAATGCTGAGAGATGGTGTGCCCCAGTGAGCATCAGGAGACTTAACATTTAGCCCTGACTCATACTAACTAGAACAGCTCTTCTTTGTGCTTTAAACTCTTCCTTGGAATGAAGCTACCATATTAGAGGCTGTCCCAGGGCCTTTGATTTCATAGACTTATGCAGAGGTGGCACACTGGTCACCCAAGGAACGTTCACTTGGGGATTTTTTTTTCTTTTTGAATTGCCTTCAAATAGCAAACAATTGATCACTGCTTGTGGCCTTACTTCCAGCCCTTTCCCTGATGAAGAGTTGCCTAAATCACCTGCTGAAAAACACTGCGTTTGTGATTTCTGCTTTTTCACATGTTGCAGAGGCCCACGTCTACACTTCCTCCTGCTGGATTTGGAGTCTGGGGAAAGGCGATGGGGAAATGAAAGGGTAAGGTTGGGCCTAGGTCTGTGGGGTTGGAGCCTCTAGTGCTCAGAGGAAATGTGTGTCCTTGGCATCCCCTTTGACCACTGAGCAATATTTATGCTAATGTTCAGATCTGTGCTAACAGAAATTCAATGAAAGCCACATATATAATTTTACACTTTCTAGTAGTCACATCAAAAATTGTAAATAGAAATAGGTGAAGTCAACTTTAATGTTTCATTTAACCTAATATATTCAGAATATTATTTCCACATGTAATCAATATAACATTAATAGTATATTTTACATTCTTTTTTATATTATTTGGAATCTGGTGTATACTTTGCAATTACACCACATCTCAATTTGTATGCTAATTTTTCATTGGAAAGATTTCATCTGTATTCAGCTTTTATACAATTTATAGCTAAAATGTACATTTACATACACAAATGAGCCAAAAGTTTTCCAAAAATGGGATTAGGTATCAGTTTTTAAATTTTAGTTCACTGAAATAAAATAAAAATTCAGTTCCTCAATTGCACTAGCCACATTTCAGTTGTTTAGTGGCCATGTGTGGCTAGTGGGTACTGTTAATGGACAGCACAGATCTGGGTTAGGAATCCAGCTGGGTATAACTTTATAGTGTTTTTACCATTCACTTATTTATTAATTCGTCAAACATTTGCTGAATACCTACTCTGTGCTAAGCCCTGCACAAATTGTTGGTGATAACAATCCAGTGAAGAAGAAACATTCTTGTTCTGTAGGAGCTCCTGGAAAGCTGGGAGTCAGAAGGAAGTACGCTTTCCTCCCATCCTTCTTTGTACCTGACTCAAGAAGGCAATGGGAGATGAGGTTCAGGCCGATACTCTCTGTTGCAGAAATGGTTCACACTGCAGCCTGGTGTAGAGGCAGTAGATTCAGGGTCAGTGTTCCTGGCTTATCTAGCACATCAAGTGGGTTGTTGGTTGCTGACAACAGGATTCACTCTGGCTAGTTGAGGCAGATGGGATTTAATAAAGGAAACTGAAGGACAAACAATCATTTGGAGGGTGGAGAAATAGATTTGGGGTAAAGTTTCCAAGAACAATGCCCTAAACTGTGCTGTAGGGCTAGATCATGGAGGGAAACTGGTATTACTATGGCTGCTGCTACTGAGCACTGGACACCAGGAACTTGACTTTATTGCAGCCACTCTTGCCACCACCACTGATGCTACTTCTGAGGCAGGAACCAGACCTCACCACCACATTTTTTTTTTTTTTTTTTGAGATGGAGTCTTGCTCTGTCACCCAGGCTGGAGTGCAGTGGTGCGATCTCGGCTCACTGCAAGCTCCACCTCCCGGGTTCACGCCATTCTGCTACCTCAGCCTTCTGAGTAGCTGGGACTACAGGTGCCCGCCACCACGCCTGGCTAATTTCTTTTTGTATTTTTAGTAGAGACGGGGTTTCACCATGTTGGCCAGGATGGTCTTGCTCTCTTGACCTCGTGATTGGCCCCCGTCGGCCTCCCAAAGTGCTGGGAATACAGGCGTGAGCCACTGTGCCCGGCCCCTCACCACCACTTCTGAAAGCTAAGGCCTCTGCTGCCTTCCATGCCAGCAAAAACAGAAGCTCCGTGCACTGCCTGCTCTTTATGCTACTCACTTCTGAATCAAATCTCTAGTGGAGGCCTTGGGTTGTGAGAGCTCAGACCACATCCCTGAATCTTAGCTGCAAAGACACCTGAACGCTCTGAACTCTGACTCGATCTCTGACTTCAATATTAGGGAGATGAGACTTATTACATGAGAATATCCCCAGATACGGGAAAGCTACTCAAAAGTTGATGAGAAGCCACAAATATGACAGATGTCTACTACAGTCAGAGTGTGGTCATGCTGTAGCCTCAGGCAGCAAATTCCCTTCTTAAGAACAGCCATTCACTCAGTAGGTGCCATATCAAGGTTCTGGCAGCAGAGTAGACTGAGGATGTACTATGGATTGAATGTTTCTATGCCCCTAAAATTCATATGTTAAAATCCTAACCCTCAATAAGATGGTATTAGGAAGTGGGGCCTTTAGGAGGTAATTAGGTCATGAAGGTGGAGCCCTCATGAATGGCATTAGCACCCTTATAAGAAGAGACACAGGAGAGCTTGCTTCCTTTCTGTCTGCTTTTTATCACATGGGCGCACACAATGAGAAGATGGTGGTCTGAGAACCAGGAAGAGGGCCCTCACTAGACACCATATCTGTCAGAACCTTGATAAGGTGCCTGTGTAAGACCACTGACCTTCAGAATCTTCTCAATAAAGCGTGACTGCACACATTCCTTAGGATGGCTCTCATGCCAGTACACCCAAATGTGATTCTGTAACCCAGGCTTAGACCTTGACATGTTTTAGAAGTGCTGTGGTCTGACAAAAAGCTCACCAACAGTGGCTAACTGGTTCACTCCATGCCTTCTCCAGCCCCTGTGCCTCCCTGTACTGCAGAGGCTGAAAACTAAAACTACGTTTCCCAGACTCCTTGGCAGATGGGGATCTAGATATGCTTAGGTTCAGCCAATCAGCTGGGACTCATGCAGGACTTTGATTTGGAATATGGAGGGGTAATTTGGAATAATGGAGGGAGCTGAACAGGGCACAGAGCTGGTGCTCATTTTGAGGAGCTAGAGTGGTCAGCGGCTGTGGCAGCAGCTCCCTCAGTGGTAAGTTACGTGGCATAGTTTGGGGTGTTAATATGGAATTCAACTTGGAGTATATCCCTACAGCCTTTCCAGTGATTTGTGAACTATCTATCTGGGCTCCATAATATATTGTTTGTGCTTAAACTAGCCAGAGAGGGACTATATAGTGTAAAACAAAGACCCGTATCCAGTGTGCCGATGATTTTTCCCTGGAAAGACTGTCCTTTATTCTGTGATTATACTTCATACTTGGCTTGTGTTAACAGGTCTATTATCTTATGAAAGGATGGTAAAGCTTTATTAAAATGTCTCTACTTGGTAAAGTAAAAAGATAATAATCCTGTGTGGATTTTCCTCCCCAAAATAAAAAACAAAACACAAAAATATTGGTCTGTAAAATACAAAGCCTGGAAATGCTTTTTTTGTGAGACCTGTCTTCCTGATCCTTTTGAAAGCCTTGCACAGATATGTTTATGCATCTCCTCTGCACATATTTGACTATTTACTATGTGCTTAGAAGCATGGTGGGCCTTCATTTATTTTCTTATCTTCAGGTAATCTTTCTCATGCTGACTTTAATCCAGCCTATGCTAGTTTCTTGTTGGCAGAGATGTTATGGCTTCTGGCCAACAAAAACTAAGTCAGTTCTAGCTGGTTAGTGTCATGATGTCATAAAGATATTAGCCCAAGGGCAGGAATATGCTTCATATTAGCTCTCAACCTTCAGGTGAAACCAGATTTCATTTCCAAACAAACTAGAAAAGACACAATTAGAAAATGAAGAATAATATTTGGCAAATGCTGAGTATGGTGAAGATGGGATTATAGAAAAGTTCTTTAGTGGGGCAGAGAGTATAGATGGGGGTGGGGAAGGACCCACCCTCCCTAATCTAAAGGAGGAGCTGGCCATCCTGTCCCTGGGAATCTCGGATAAATATGAAGAAGGCACATGACAGAGAAGAGGACTCAGTGGCATTGGTCATCTTGGAAATTTACCAGGAAAGCCTTTACATGTGGCTTGTGCTTGCTGCATACCCACCCACAGGCTTTCACCACAGTTGGGCTTCTTGTGCTGTGGCTGAGGAGACCATCTGTGGCTAGGTGGCAGAAGCGGACCATGTTCAGTACACAGGGTGTAAACCCTTGGGAAGTTTTGAGTTCTGGAGACCGCCCGTCTCTGTGTGCCTGTGTTGTCCTTCCTTTCTGCCTGTGACTACCCTCTTCTTTCTGGGTCAAGCCAGTCAGATATGACTCAGGCACATTCTTCCTTGGGAGAAGATCAGGTGAACCCTTTACTTCAGTCTCTGTCTCTTTCCCTTAATAAACTCTTTTTAATTTATTTGACTTCATCAAAGCAAGAATGTGGTTCCATTCCCTTGAGGCCCTTCTTGGAAGCCTGGTTATGTGGGACAAGTAAGGACTCTGGAACCCCATAGACTTTAACTTAGAAGCCAGCTTCATCACTTTCCACGTGGATTCTGGCAAGTTACTTAATGTATCTGAGGTTCTGCCTCCTTGTCTGGATGACGGGGATAATATCATCCTCCTTTTAAGATTATTGTGAGGATTAATGACTATAAAGCCCACAGCCTACACGTAGCCTGGTTCAGTATTATTCAAGGCCTTCTTCTTTGTAACACCATCTAATGACCACTGGCTGGGCATTTATTGATGTTGGCTGCAGAGCATCCCATCCCCTTCTCTAAAAGCACCATGACTTGCTTTCAAGAATCATCTTTCCCTAGTGGGATTTGTCTCAGAGGGAAATAATACCAAGGGGCAGATGCTTTCTCTCACCCTTGGTGCAGTCAGGGGGCTGGAACATGATCAATGTCTCTGTCACTCTAGACACTGAATCCTCAGTGAGTACACGGAGGTTGTGCTATGGATTGAATGTTTGTGTGCCCCCAAAATTCATTTGTTAAAATCCTAACCCTCAATAAGATGCTATTCAGAAGTGGGGCCTTTGGGAGGTAATTAGGTCATGAAGGTGGAGCCTTCATGAATGGCATTAGTGCCCTTATAAGAAGAGACACAGGAGAACTTGCTTCTTTTCTCTCTGCTTCTTACCACATGAGCATACAATGAGAAGATGGTGGTCTGAGAACCAGGAAAAGGGCCCTCACCAGCCACCATATCTGTCAGAACCTTGATCTTGGACTTCCCATCCTCCAGAACTGTGAGAACCAAATGTTTGCTGTTTGAGCCACCCAGTCTTTGGTATTCTTTATGGCAGTCTGAACGGACTAAATCAAGATGTGTGGAATGATTAGTGGCTCTCTGGAGCCATGGAGGTGTGGAAACCTGGCTGTTCCTCTCCCTGAACTGGAGCTGGAGTTCTGTTGCCAGAGGATCCTACACTTGAGTCTCCAGTCTTTTCTTGGATTTGATGAGCCCTGACGCCCTCCCTGAAAATTCCCCTTTGGCTTACATGTACCAGAATAGTTTCTCTTGCTTGAAAACTAGAATTTTGGTTAATACCCAATAACCTTGTACTTAAGTCACAAGGTATCATAGGTGCTGTATGAATTATCTATTGCTGTATTACAAATTACCAACCCCTCCAACTTAGTGGCCTCACACAGTAGTCATTTATAATCTCTCACTGTGTCTGTGGCTCAAGGAGTCAGGAGCAGTTCCTGGTTCAGGGACTCCATGAGGCAGCAGTCATCTGAAGGTTTGACTGGGGCTGGAGGATCCACTTCCACAGTGACCCAGTCAATGGCTGGCAAGTTGGTGTTGATTATTGACCAGGGGTTTTTAGTTTTTCTGCATGTGGGGCTCGCCATAGGACTTCTTGAGAATCCTCAGAGCATGCCACTACATTATTGATTCCTAAATATTCTGATAAGGCGGTTGGGATAAAAACAACTGTGAGCTCTTAGGCTTGGAACCATTCTCTGCCAGGCAAATCAACAACATCCTTCCTCTAAAGTTGTTTCCAAACAGAGGAGGCTTAATTTAATCTTGGTTGCTAGTAACTGTTTTATTCTCTAGATGATCCTAAGGTAGATTCATCTTAGCAAAACTTGGAGCAATGTGGTTTGATTCTTTTACATTAGGTTTTGTAAGTTCACAGTGCACCTTGGCAATCACTTCTCAGTGGATCCTTGCAACAGCCCATAGGGCAAGCAAAGCTGGATGTAGTGGTTCCATTTCACAAACGAGGAGACTGAGGCCTATGGGCAACAAGTGTTAGACATGGTGGTTAGGTTAGGAATCAGACAGGCCTGAGTCTGCAGTTTACTAGCTGTGTGACCTTGAGTCAGTTGCTTAACATCTGTCTGCCTTCATTTCTGCACCCATAAAATAGGCTAATAACAGAGCCACAATAATAGTGCCAGTCCTCAGGGTAGTCAGGGTTAAATGAGATAGAATATATAAAACACTTAGTATAGTGCCTGGAGCTTAGTAAGCACTCAGCAACATGAGCCATTGTAGTGAATATTAGCTCAGACTAGGACAGATGATGTAGTTTAATAATTTGCACAATAGGTTGGTTTGTATTCATTGGTGAATGGACCCACTGGTGCTTCGAAACCAGAAGGACAACCAACCCTCCTCCTTCTCTTCTAACCCACTTTCCCATGGCTCCTCCTTCTCTAGTGTTTGCTCTTCCTTCCTCTTACTCCCTACTTATCTTTTATATTATTCCAATATTTGAAGAATGCAGGGTTGTAAAAACTTATAGGGTTCCTGTATAGCTTCCAATTTACTGCAGGCCTTTGCAAAACTGTGTTTAATAAGTACTTGTTAACTCAATCAAAAATCAAGTCATCCATATGAATAAATGACTGGCTGCTCAGCTGGCTGAAGCTGCTCGTGTGCATTTGCACATATACACACACATGCACACAAATGTGTGCACACGAACACAAACATGCACACAGATACACACACACACTCCTGTCAAGCTCCTTGCAGCTCACCTTTGGAAACTTGTTCATCCTCAGCCCAGACCTTGGACAGGGTCACCTGTTACCTTCCCAAAAGGCAGCTTTGGTGGTGGGATGTGCAGATCCCCTTAGATAAAAAATAACCCCCTACATGTGACAGCCACTTGCAGCTCACTAGCTGTGCCACATCCATTATCACCCTGGATTCTGTCTCAGAGCTGAGGGCTGAGATTTTTAGTGGTTTTCCCATATGAAGGACCTGGACTCATTCAAGACTCCCCGTTCTAAAGCCCGGACTATGATGCCACTCAAAAAGCCCTGCCAAACCCCCGACCCTGTATCTCCCGCTAGAGCTATGCTTCTGGGTTAAGTTTTGCATCTCCATTGGATCCCTATTAAAACACACAAAACGCATATTTTATCTGAAAGGGGTCCAGGTCTACTTCACTGGTTAAAATTAACTTATCAGATTAGATAGTTTTTACCTAGGGCAAGCATTTAACCATTCTGAACATCTTTGGTCATACCTGTGAGGAAGTGTGGTGGAGGGACAATGGTCCACCAGAACACATTTTCTCTTCTTTCACTGTAAAAGAATTGCTCGGGCACACATATCCCCATCTCCCCAGACTCCCTACAGTTAGGTGAGCCTGTGTAACTAAGTTCTCACCTGCAGAATGTTCTCATTAGCAGAATGTGAGTGGAGTGGTGCATGAGAGTCCCAGGCCCAGTGATGTGGGGCGATCAGCATGCCTCGTGCCTGCTGCCTCTCTCCTCCTGGTCTGCAAACAGGCATGGCAATGACCCAGCTGCCACCATGAGGCTGAGGACGTTTTGGGGGATGGCAGAGAAACAAGATGGAAAGAACCTGGGCCGTGGACTCTGCCTGAAGCAAAGCTGCTGCTGACCAGGGGGACTCCCTCAGATTATGTGAGAGAGAACTACATTTCTATCTTCTTTAAGCCACTGGGTTATTATTGATGGGTCTCTTTGTGGCAGCAGCTTACCTATCTATCAGAATTAGACAAGTTTACCCATGTGAATTGCTTGGTCTGGCACATAGTAAATGCTCAGTAAATGTTAGCTCTTACTGTAACTGCATTTGTGTTTCAAAACCTTGCACACATCTCTAAACCTCAGAGTGGAGGATTTGGGAGCAGTTTTCATGAGGGCTCTGTTGGACATATGCTGCCCTGCTTTGGTGCCAGGCAATCAAGATTGACCTTCAGTGGGCATCCACCCACTTTCTGTGTGGAATGCAGAGAAGCTTCAGGCCAGGGGAGTCCAGTGGAATTGGGTTGGGGTTTGCTAAGATCCAGAGGCCATTCTTGGGCACAGACCCTAGTCACCTCTGTGCCTGGCACAGGGGCCCTGCTGACGCAACACCCTGGAATTTCTGGGCACAGAGGGCACCTGCAGACAGGGTAGCAGGTGAGCAGCAGACTACAGCATCTGGCCAGTAGGCTTGTGTGAGACACCTCCAGAGGGCCCCAGCAGTGACTGGGTGGGTGAGGTTTGGGGTGGGCTGGAAGCTCTGTCATAGCAAGGAGGGGAAAGATTGGTGAAACATGAGTGATATCTGTAAAGGTGAGCCCCCCCTGTAGCCAGGTGAATCTGGAAAACTTGGGTTACCCTAAAATAAAGCTATACAAGAGTCCTGTAAGTAAGGGGGCAGCTGTATCATTTTGTAATTCTTAACGTTTGGAATGAAGGCTCCTACTGCCCTGGTAATGCCCTGGTGCTGTTCTTTACTTACTAGGAGCTGTTGAGTCTCCTTGGTCCTACTCTGGCCCTGTTTGTATTTTCAACAGGAGATTTCTACATGTATTTTTTCCAGATTTCTACTTCGAAAAAAGCATAGACTCACAAGAAATTGCAAAAAGAGAGCTTCTGTAGACTCATCTCCCAGCTTGCCCTAAAGGTGACATCTGACTAATTACAGTGCATTATCAAAACCAGAAAACAAACACTGGCACAATGCAATTAACTAGATCATAGATCTTCCTCGGATTTCCCCAGTTTTTGCAAGTACTCATTTTTTTTTAGTATGCCTTGTACATAATTCTATGACGTTTTATCACATGCATAGATTCATATACTACTGCTGCCACATCTGCATTTATTTTCCTTCACAGCAGCAAAAAAAGTATGTTCAAAACCTACAGTGAAGTGAGGAAGAGCAGGAGTGTTTTCATCAGACACACCTGGCTTGAATCCTGGCTTCGCCCCTGGCTGGCTGTGTGACCTCAGACATGAATGAATCTTTCTGAGTCTGCTTCCTCGTCTGTAGAAGGGTGGGATGAAAATAGTACCCTGCTCCTGGGTTGTTCTGAAAGATCGCATTCCCAACAGAGTAAGTTCACAATGTGCTAATATCAGCATCCTTTTGTGAAGGCCTTTTGACTTTATGATTCAGGGTTGTTTGTTGACTCAGTCTCTGGAATAATTAAGGTTCGCAAGAAAAATAAAGTAGGAAAGTAGGACTAGCATGTGATGTTATCAGCACACCTGGGGCTGCAGTTGTCAGCCCCCTCCCTAAGATGCTTGCTGTGGTGCCCTAGGCCCAGGTCCCTGCTTCAGCCTCTCGTACACAGCTCACTGCACTCCCTCCTCACCAATGCCTCGCAAAGGAAGCTCCTTGGAGGCCCCATTTGACTCCTCCCCATCTTCATTTATCGTTGCAGGGATCTTTGCAAACTTCTCTGCTTTGCTTCCGGCCTTCCCACCCTTCCACTCCTTGACACCCACCTCTTGATATTTTTAATCATGGCCGATGGGAACACCTGGCACTACACCTATAATGAGACCATGATATACAGGAATACACTTGTGTAAACCGTATTTTTTTTTGAACATTCTTTTCTTTTTTTTTTATTATACTTTAAGTTCTAGGGTACACCTGCACAACGTGCAGGTTTGTTACATATGTATACATGCGCCATGTTGGTGTGCTGCACCCATTAACTCATCATTTACATTAGGTATATCTCCTAATGCTGTCCCTCCCCGCTCCCCACCCCATGACAGGCCCCGGTGTGTGATGTTCCCCTTCCTGTATCCAAGTGTTCTCATTGTTCAATTCTCACCTATGAGTGAGAATATGCGGTGTTTGGTTTTCTGTCCTTGCGATAGTTTGCTGAGAATGATGGTTTCCAGCTTCATCCATGTCCCTGCAAAGGACATGAACTCATCCTTTTTTATGGCTGCATAGTATTCCATGGTGTATATATGCCACATTTTCTTAATCCAGTCTATCATTGATGGACATTTGGGTTGGTTCAAAGTCTGCTATTGTGAATAGTGCCGCAATAAACATACGTGTGCATGTGTCTTTATAGCAGCATGATTTATAATCCTTTGGGTATATACCCAGTAATGGGATGGCTGGGTCAAATGGTATTTCTAGTTCTAGATTCTTGAGGAATCGCCACATTGTCTTCTACAATGGTTGAACTAGTTTACAGTCCCACCAACAGTGTAAAAGTGTTCCTATTTCTCCACATCCTCTCTAGCACCTGTTATTTCCTGACTTTTTAATGATCGTCATTCTAACTGATGTAAACCATATTTTTATTTAGGGGGAACTTTATTGAATAGAGATGATCTGTCTCTTTCTCTTATTAGACTGTGAACTCCTTCATGGCAGAGATTCTGTTTTTGAGTGGTTAAGGCACTTTTGGGGGCACACAGCCCCACTGCCTTCCTCCAATCATAATCCCACACAAATAATCATAGCTTCCATTGACTGAGCTTTCCCGTGTCTTGGTCACAGTGCCTGAAGCTCTGATTCACACAACATTTTGCAGCTGGTGTTATGATCTCCCTTTTGTGGCTGCAGGAGCTGAGGCTCAGCACAGTTAAATGGCCAACCAGAACTTGTTTTCTTCCCAGAACCTATGCTCACTTCACACTGACCTACTGCCTCTCCACTCATGTCTGTTCGATTAATAACATTAGGCCCATCATGCAGCTCCCTGGGAGAGCTTATCTGTAAAATGGCACCAGGAGTCTCCAGCTTGTTCATGTCATAGGGTCCTCAGTGAGGATCCAATGACCTGGTGATGGGGACTGCCCCCCGCAAACCCTGGCATTATAAACGGTGAGCTGGATGGACTCTTCAGCACATGTGAGTGATGCGAATTCCTCAGCACACATGCACTGAGGGACCTGCCACCCTCCACTCCTTGTAAGATAGATATTTACTTTCATTTCTCTTTATTCCATCTACTGGCAATCCTGAACCTTACCTTATAATGCTCTCCTGGGCATATAGAAGGGAATAAATGCAGATTCATCAAAAATTTATTAAAAGTCATCTTTGCTGTAGCTACCTCCCCATTTTGTTTTGTTTTCTATTTTAGGCAGCCTCACTCTGTTGCCCATGTTGGAGTGCAGTGGTGTGATCTTGGCTCACTGCAACCTCGAGCTCCTGGGCTTAAGCGATCCTCCTGCCTCAGCCTCTTGAGTCACTGAGATTATAGGTGTGAGCCACCATGCCTGTCTCCACATAGGATATTTTTAAAAATACCATCTCAGTGAATGCTCACAACCACCCTGTGATATAGGTATTATTCTCATCCTTGTTTTACAAATGGGAAACAAAGCTCAAAGAGATTAAAGTGATCTGAAGTGACCTGCCCAACATCACATAGCCAGTGGATCTGGGTTTTGAACCTGGGTCTGTCTGACTCCAAGTCCCGTGCTTGTAAACAAAATTTAGTTGTCTTCAGCATTTTAAAATTCAAAATATATGAAAGAAAAGTCAGTGACTATCTTGTCTTTTGGCTTCTTGGATCCCTTCTTCAGAGACCAATATTATCATCTCTTGAGTTTTCTTTTGGTGTTATTCTATACATATTGAATATATAGTCTATGCATATTGAATACATATTACTTTTTCTCACTTTTTCTACATTCTTCTGGACCCTGCTGTTTTACTTAACAATGGATCTTGGAGATCTTTTCATAATCAGTTTATAGACATTTCTTCACAGTTTTCCACTGTTGCATAATATTCCATTGTATGGATGGACCATAATATATTCAGTAAAGTGTGAACATTTAGATTTTTTTCCCAGTCTCTGTGTCATAACAAATCCTGCAGTGAATAACTTTGCATTTACATCATTTTGTATGTGGGGGCATATCTGTAAAAAAAAAAATCCTAGAAACCAAAATTTAGGGTCAAGGGGACACGCGTTTAAAATTTTGAGCTATGAGCACATTGCTGTCTGTAGGAGTTACACCAATTTCTGTGTCCCCAGTGCTCCCTCCTCTGCACTCTGCCAGCTTGGAACAGGTGCCAAGGTCAAGGAAAGCAGCATATGCCACCGGGACCTATTCCTCTCATTCTGCTCCCTCAGGGAGAACCAGGTTTCTGGCCTTTATTGTACTCCACCCTTTTATCTCCTGGGAAGTCACCAGATGTTCTGCCATTGGAAGAAGGGGAGATATTGTCTCCAAACAGAAGACACCAATCTATCTGTTTACAATGATTCACATCCAGAGAATCAATGAACTCTAAAATCCTTGGCAGACTCCAACTCATGGCTGGAGGAGCTGATGGTGGAAACAGGCCGCAGACTTCAGTTAAATATTAATAATAATATTAAACATTTACTGTGTGTTTATTCAATTCTGGGAACTGTGCTAAGGTCCTTGCATGGATTACCTCACTGAAGCCTCAAGATCACCCTTCAAGATGTGTACTGTCATTCTTCCCATTTTAAGGATGCAGATAGGAGGATTGAGTAATTTCCTAAGCCACGTAATTAGCAAGTGACACCACTGGGATTTGGGCCTTGGTTGTTTGATTTCTTTTCTTTCTTTTTTTTGAGATGGAGTTTTGCCCTTGTCACCCAGGCTGGAGTGCAGTGGTGTGATCTTGGCTCACTGCAACCTCCACTTCCTGGGTTCAAGCAATTCTCCTGCCTCAGCTTCCCGAGTAGCTGGGATTACAGGTGCCCACCACCATACCTGGCTAATTTTTGTATTTGTAGTAGAGACGGGGTTTCGCCATGTTGGCCAGGCTGGACTTGAACTCCTGACCTCAGGTGACCAGCCTGGTGGGACTACAGGCATGAGCCACTGCTCCCGGCCTGGTTGTTTGATCTCACACTCGCAACCACGATACCAAACCAGAACTCTTAGGAGAGCAGAAAAAGACCCGACTCTTTTCCTCTTCCATGCTTGGCTTCCATCCCTTCGGGAGCCTCCACCTTTCCCTCTTCTGCACTATCCTGGCTGCCTTTTCTCTGGCAAGGCTCAGCTTGTCTCACTTCCTTTTCTCTCCACCAGCACAACTGTTCTTTCTTTGGTCCTAGTCCTCCAGCCTTTAAACTCCAGCTTCCCTGAAGTGCAGTGAGTATACACATATTGATAAACATAACAACTACTCTGGTCTCCACAGGACCTTAAATTGGCAGAATTTCAGGTGCTGAGGTGAGCCAATGGGAGAGATTTTTTGAGTGTGTGATGAATGTTTGTGTGTGTATATGTATGTATGTGTGTGTGTATGTGTGTATGAATGTTTTTTATGTCCTTTTAGATTACACTTCATGAGCAGCTGCCACCATGAAAATGTTGGCTGAGGGGCTTGATATGGTTTGGCTGTGTCCCCACCCAAATCTCATCTTGAATTGTAGCTCCCATAATTCCCATGTGTTGTGGGAGGGAATCAGTGGGAAATAATTGAATCATGGGGGCTGTTTCCCTGATACTGTTCCATGGTAGTGAATAAGTCTCATGAGATCTGATGATTTTATAAGGGGAAACCCTTTTCACTTGGCTCTCTTCCTCTCTTACCTGCTGTCACGTAAGATGTGCCTCTCGCCTTCTGCCATGACTGTGAGGCCTCCCCAGCCATGTGGAACTGTGAGTCCATTAAACCTCATTTTCTTAATAAATTACCCAGTCTTGGGTATGCCTTTATTGGCAGCATGAAAATGGACTAATAGAGGGCTACTGACAAGGTCAGGAAATCTCTGCCTACTTAATGACAATGGCTGAGGAGGAAGGTTCTGTGGTTGCTGGCCCCAGCCCACTGCCCAATTTTGTTTCTAAACATGTAACCCATTGGCCTGAAAGTCCCACCAGCTAGCAAAGGTGATGGTGGGAAAGGCAAAGGGAAAGCCCAGGTCAGCCTGGTGTCAGTGGAGTTGAAGTCATGGAAGGAGATGCTGCTGCTTGGGGTAGCTTTGTCTTTAGCCTTTGCTATTCCTACCTCCATCTCTCCTTTCTTCAATGATAAATCTTCACACAGTGGTTGAGGAACATCAGCCTTGGAGCTACTGTGTATGTGGCCTCAGGCAGCAGGGTAACTCATTGTAGGGTGGGGTTTGCAGCCCCTCCCTCACCAGGTAACTGGAGATGGACTGAACTGGACTGAGATGAAAGACAATGTCAACAAATGCCCTGCATTTGTCCTAGCGTCTGCTACAGAACAGGAGATCAATAAATGGTTGTTATTGGTGTTGCTGTTATTTTGTTCAGTGATTTCAATTCCCTCCTCCACTTCAGCCAAGTTCTCCCTCTCCGCCTGAACATTTATTTCTTGTCCAGAGAGCCAGGAATGCACACATGACTCTCCTCTTGTGTGAAGCCATCAAAGGCCCTGCTGGACACATGTGCTGATATTTTCTGAGAGAGAAGGACCCTCAGGGAGGCCTTGTGGGCTTGCCAGCTATCCCTGGAGTGTCAGAGGCCTGCAGCGAGGGCCTGAGAGGTAGGGGAAATCTCCAGACTTTGCCTCAGCCATAAACAGGACATCTAACTGATGCCAACTCAGTAGATTTTGATTGAGAACCTACTGTGTGTTGGGGAGACCCAGAGATAAAAGAAACATGGCCATACCGTTTGGGGCTTCTCCTTGCAGCTGGGATGCCGACTCCCAGGCACACACTCCACTGTAGGGGAGCTGTCTACACTGCTCTCTCCAGACCTCTCTTCCCATTTCCCCTCAGATCTTCTGCAGTGTGGACTTCTAGGATGCCCTCTCCCTCAATGTCCTGTCTCTAGCTGTGACCCCTTTTTAGGGGTCCTTCCTTGTCTCCTCAACCTCTGAAGGTTGGAGCCCTGCAGACCTCAGAGGTTCTCTCTGTCTACCATTGCTCCCTCATTGATCTCATCTACTTCTGGCTTTAAAGGCTATCTTGACTCTGATGGTTCCAAAATTTATGTTTCTGATCTCTTTCTCTCTTGGCTTCCATCTTTTTCCATCCCTTTCATCCCTTTCCATTTATCCATTCTAGATGAATCTGGGCTGCAGATTCATCCACTCTCCTGCCTCCTCTGGCCTCCATTCCCACCTCTATCGTAGTCTGTATTAGTCAGGGTCCTCCAGAGAAGCAGAACCAATAGGATATATTTAGATGCAGCTGTTCCTTGGCTTACAATAGGCCTACATTCTGGTAAACCCATTGTAAGTCAAAAATATTGTAAGTCAAAATGTATTTAATATCCTGATAAACCTCTTGTAAAGTTGAAAAATCAAAAGTCGAACCATTATAAGTCCAGATGCTCCTTGACTTATGATGGGGTTACACCCCTATAAACTCATTGTAAAGCTGAAAAATTATAAGTTGATCCATTGAAGGTTGGGGACCATCTGTATATATAAGAGGAAATTTATCATGGGAATTGGCTCACGCAATTTGGAGGCTGAGAAGTTCCACAATCTGCTGTCTGTAAGCTGGAGACCCAGGAAAGCCAGTGGTATAATTCACTGGTAAATAATAATTCACTGGTAAACCCAGTGGTATAGTTCTGAGGCCAAGGGCCTACAAACCAGGGAGAAGGAAGGATAGTGGTGTAAGTTTTGGAGTCTGAAGGCTCAAGGATCAAGAGCTCTAATGTTCAAAGGAAGGAGAAGATGGTTGTCCCAGCTCAGGGAGAGGAGGGACATTGCTCTTCCTCCACCTTTTTGCTCTATCCAGGCTCTCAAGGGATTGGGTGATACCTGCCCAGATTGGTGAGGTCGGATCTTCTTTACTTAGGCTACCAATTCAAATGCTAATCTCTTCCAGAAACACCCTCACAGACATACCCACAAATCCTGTTTTACCAAAGATCTGGGCATCCCTTAGCCCAGTCAAGTTGACACCTAAAGTGAACCATCACATAATGTCACTTTCATATTTATTTTCATATTTATTTTTCTTTTAGTTTTTTCAGGCCGTGATGTAAGTTTCTTGGAGGGAGAAACTGTTTTATTTACTCCTGCATCCCCAGTGACTACAGCATAGTAGTTATTCAATAAGTACTTGTTGAATGAATGAAAAAATGGGAAAGGTAGGGGAGGGGGAATGGAGGGAATGCAAGGTAGGCAGGAGAGAAATAAAGATGATTACCATTTACTGAACAATTACTAGGTGCCAAACACTTGAAACCCATTTTATTCTAACCCTTATAATGCATCCCCATTTTACAGGAAAGAAAGCTGAGGCACGGGGAAGTTATGCAGGCTGTGAGTGTTAGCCAGGATTCTAGCCCTGGTCTATGCACAGCCTCCTTGCCTTTTCTCCCTCTTGACTGGGGCATCTGGAAAGGCCCACAAAAGAAGCATTTGGGTGTGACTTTGTGTACAGATGTGTGGTCTCTCAGAACCTTATCCATAGCAACTAGGAGTTTTGAGGATCACCCTCCCTACCCAGCCCACTCTTAGGAGACTCTGCCTTGGAAACGAAAGCCAGGCACCACTTAGGGTTCCTTAGGCCTGGAATCTGGAAAAAACCAGAAACTCCAGTGCAAGGTATTCATCTACTAGCTGTTGTGGCTGAGTGGGTTTCTGGAAGAATAGATAGCCTTCTCCCCTTGGGCATCTCGGGGACCAGGGGTTGAGAAGAGGGATTTGGCTGCAAGTAGGTTATTCAACTGCTGTGGACTGAACTGTGTCTACCCAAAATCCAAATGTTGAAACCCCAATGTAGCTGTATCTGGAGATAGACTTTTGGAGGTATTTAGGGTTAGATGAGGTCATGAGGGTAGGGCCCCCATGACAGGATTAATGTCCTTTAAGAAGAGACGTTGGAGCATTCTCCTGAGCGCACTCTCTTTCTTCCTGTCTCTTGTTCTCCCTCTTTTTCTTACTTTTTCTCCATGTGCACACACCAGGGAAAGCCCACATGAGCACACGCTAGGAAGATGCTTTCTACAAGCCAGGGAGAGAGCATTCAACAGAAACCAAATTGGCCAGCACCTCGATGTTGGAAAACTGTGAGAAAGAAATTTGTCTGTTGTTTTATTCCATCATGGGATTTTGTTATGGCAGCTCAAGCTGACCAAGACATTAACCATCTCCCTTGACTGGGATTGAAGGTTGTCCCTGGATGTGGGACTTTCAATGCTAAAACAAGGAAAGTCCTGAGAAAACTGGGATGAGCTGGTCATCCTAGCTATGAGTGCCACTACCCCACAGTCTGCTGAATTGTGGGGGGCATGCCTCAGACTTTTCTGCCTCTGCTTTCTCATCCCCAACATCCCACTTCATCATCTGCAGAAAGGCATGTTCTTCACATGTTCAACAGCTGAGGTCTGTCTAGAAGAGCTCAGGGTTCTGACACCTCCTTGATGGCAGCGCAGTGGAAGACTCACTTCTCCCTGCAGAAGGGAGGTTCTGATCCCTGCGGAGAGATGTCTGGTAACAGAACACTTGAGGTGGTGGGGGTGAGGGGACAGCAGGGCTTTTCCAGGGAGGCCAAAGTCTGAGAGACCTTGCTTCCAAATCCAGAGACCATCCCTTACTGGCAGCATAGCCCTGGGCAAGTCACTCTTGATCCTGGGTTGCACAACTCCAGAGATTGCCATTCATACAGAAGACAATGCAGATCATGATACATTTTAGGCTTGTTCAACATGATGGAATGAAATTACTTTATCTCAGAGTCCATTTGCTCAGCTTCATCAAAAGAAGATAAGATTGACTTCACAGGGCTGCAGAGAGAATTCAACAAGATCATCTTAGTAGGCGCCTCATCAATATTGGCTCTTGCTTTCCTTCTCCTCCTTAAGTCCTATGTAGGCAGTCTAGCACCATGGCTAGAGGTGTGGGCTTTGGTCCGAGACTGCTGAGGTTCCAGCTGTGTGATGCTGGGGACACATGGTGTGAAGTGACAATGACAGTATGACCCACCCCATAAGGCTAGGCTGTTGATTTTATGAGATAACACAGATTCAGTGCGGCCACAGCACCTACACCTAGCAAGGGTCCAGTGTGAGGTGTCATGACTCTGTTCTTTGTAAAGAACAGAGTCCTTCCCACTCTCTTTGCTTCTTTGACCTTCAGCTTCTGCTTTTTTTTTTTTTTTTGGACAAAGTAAAACCCTTTGCCCATGTTTGATATGGGCTTTTCCTCCTCCCCCCTGAGGGTGACAGTGAGAGAGGCACAGTGTGAGTGAGCCCACCTCGGCTCACCTGGCACTCATTTATTGAGGGCGTGCCATGCAAGGTCCCTTGCTGGAGGCCTTATGAACAAGGGAGGAGGAAGAGAGGCCTGAGGTTTTCAGAGGCAGCCTGAAGGGGCAGAATGAGGGTTATCTCAGAGGGGCCTCTGAGAAGGGAGAGGCCTGGCAGGAGGAAGCCAGAAGGACCTAAAAGCAGTCAGGGTTCCTATGCTAAGCAGACACTTCTATGAAGACTCTTTACTCTCTCCTCCTTAGCCTGGGCTACTGACTCAGGGCTGCAAGGGCCTGCTGGAGACTCAGATGCCCCTGTGACCTTTAAGAGACTTATTTTCAGGGTCCTTGGGGGCTGAGGCAGGGTCTGAGGGCCTGGACATCATCATGAATCAGGTAGGCCAGTAGTTCTCAACCCTGGATGCACAGTAAACACTTCTGGAGAAATGCTATAAAAGAAACTTGGGCTGACCCCTAGAGATTTTGACTTAAATGGTTTGAGGTGAAGCCAGAGCATTCTCCTACTTCAATTTTTAATTTCAAAAAGTTTCAAATCTATGAATGAGTTGAAAGAAGAGTACGATGAACACCTGGAACGTTTCACTTACATTAGCCATGTCTCTCTCTCTCTATCTATGCCTATGCCTATCTATCTATCATCTATCTATCTATCTATCTATCTATCTATCTATCTATCTATCTATCTATTTATCTATGTTTCTTTCTTTTTTCTTTTTTTTTTTTTTTCTTGAGATGGAATTTTGCTCTTGTTGCTCAGGCTGGAGTGCAATGGCGTGATCTCGGCTCACTGCATCCTCTGCCTCCTAGGTTCAAATGATTCTCCTGCCTCAGCTTCCTGAGTAGCTGGGGTTACAGGCCTCAGCTTCCTGAGTAGCTGGGGTTACAGGCATGTGCTACCATGCTGGGCTAATTTTTGTATTTTTAGTACAGACAGGGTTTTGCCAGACAGGGTTTTGCCATGTTGGCCAGGCTGGTCTCAAACTCCTGACCTTAGGTGATCTGCCCGCCTCGGCCTCCCAAAATGCTGGGATTACAGGCATGAGCCACCACACCTAGCATATATATATTTCTAAAAAATCTGAATCATTTAAGTTATAGACATCATAATACTTTCTCTTAAACACTACAGCACATCTCTTCTAAAGATACTCTCCTTCACAATACCATATCACATTCAAGAAATGTAATATTGATATAGCACTATTTCATATACTATCCACATCCAAATATCCTCCATTGTCCCCACAATGTCCTTTGTAGTTCCCTCCTTGATTCAAGGATCATGCATTGCATGTGTCTTTATTATCCTTGAGTCTAGAATAGATCATTTTTTAAAATTCTTCTTGACTTTCTTTTTTCTTTTCTTTTTTCTTTCTTTCTTTTTTTTTTTTTTTTTGAGACAGGGTCTCACTCTGTTGCCCAGGCTGGAGTGCAGTGGCATGATCTCGGCTCATTGCAGCCTCCTCCTCCCTGTTCAAGCGATTCTCCTGCCTCAGCCTTCCGTGTAGCAGGGACCACAGACGTGCGCCACCTCCTGGCTAATTTTTGTATTTTTAGTAGAGACGGAGTTTCACTTCACTATGTCAGGCTGGTCTTGAATTCCTTGACCTCAAGTGATCCACCCGCCTTGGCCTCCCAAAGTGCTGAAATTACAGGCGTGAGCCACTGTGCTCGGTCCTTCCTGAGATTTTTGAAGAATCCGTGCCATTTCTATTGTAGAGAAATTGGCTGCCATTTCATGTCAGTTGGTCCCGTTATTAGATGCTGAGTTTGATCATTTGGTTAAGTGGTGTCCACCACTGTTCTCCATTGCACCCTTGCCCCTTTTTACTTACTAAGTAATCTGAAGGGGTTATATTTGAACTGCATGAATATCTCACCAACCTTTTATTCAATGGTAACAGAATACACCGATGATTCTTAGCCGAGTAACTCACTACGTTGTAAAATGGTAATTGTCTAATTCTATCATTCTACTTCATTAACAGGCATTCTTTCATGAAGAAGAGTTTCCCCACCCTTTTGAATATCACCATGAACTGGGGAACTTAAAAAAAATCCATGTGTCATAATTAATTACAAATATTAAAACTCAAATTGTCCAAAATTTGCCTGGTGGGAGCCCTTTCAGTTTGGCTCCCGTGCTCCTTTGACATGTCACCATTAGAATTTGAGCACTTTCTTGATTTTTAGCGCAACCTGACATCCTAGGCTTACCCTGTACTGTCTCTGCTCCAGAATCGGATCAGTCATTTCTCCCAAGGCTCCTGGCTCCTTTCAATGGAGAACACTATTAAAAAACCAAATTCTGGGTGCTTGGTGCACTCATTCCATTGGAGCATTGTTATTTCTAGGCTCTTTCAGTGGATAGAGCTAGCAAATACTTTTTCAAAAAAAGAAATCTTGTATTTACTTTGATACTTCCAATTCAAATCCAACACCCCAGGGTCTTCCTTCCCTTCCCACAATCCCTATTCATGTGTTCTTTCTCTCACAGTGAGAACTTGGTTCTCAAAATGCCAACATATTCATTAACTTTCTCTATTCTACAACACACACAAATCATTTCAGAGTTACTGCACCAGTTATACTACTAAGAACAAACCTACTCAGTCAGGTTTAAGGCATCTTTGTGGTGTTTATTCTCTTTAGAATATATTCCATTAAGGGTGTATAGTCAGGGTACTGTGTCCCAAATTCTTTGAATTAGAATTTTTCTATATGATTTGATACAGAATTAGGTTTCATTTGCTTTTGTTAAAACTCATCTTTAGGTTTAGTTTTTTTTCGCTCTTGGTAATTTAATTTTGTTTCTAAACATGTAAAAACATTTAAATGATTGAAAAATCAAACATATATAAGACGGTATACTAGAAGATGTCTCCCTCCGATCCCTAGCCCTTTTGCTACATTTCTACATTTCTATTCACACCCTGCAGATAACTATTTTCGTTAGATTCTCATTTACTCTTCCTGGTATTGTTGTTGTTTTAAAATAGCATTGATCCAGCTGAAGAGGAAAAATGGAAATTTAGCTAAAGAAACTAAGTGAATCTCTCTTATAGCTAGATTAGAAAAAAATAGTGCAAGAATGGAAGGGTAAGTTGTAGTAAGAAATTAGGGACGCAAGAGGCTTAGAAGCCAGGGAACCAGGGCATCTTCTGGGCTTGAGAGTCTCAAAAATTTGATGACCCTAAAGGCAATTGTTGGTGGCTAACCTTGCAGAAAAATGTTACTTCCTGAGGATGAGGCAGGATGGTCCTTCCCTTAAAGTGATGGAAAGGGGTGATTTCATGAGGCCTGCCCTCAGGAATAAAAGCCAAGAGAATTCAAAGTATGGGCCAGGGACTATAATTAAGAACTTTTAGTCTCTTGCCGGGCGCGGTCGCTCACGCCTGTAATCCCAGCACTTTGGGAGGCTGAGGTGGGTGGATCAGGAGGTCAGGAGTTCGAGACCAGCCTGGCCAACATAGTGAAACCTGGTCTCTACTAAAAATACAAAAATTAGCCGGGCATGGTGGCATGCTCCTGTAGTCCCAGCTACTTGGGAGGCTGAGGCAGGAGAATCGCTTGAACTTGGGGGGCGGAGGTTGCAGTGAGCCGAGATCATGCCACTGCACTCCAGCCTGGGCAACAGAGCGAGACTCCGTCTCAAAAAAAAAAAAAAAAAAACTTTTAGTCAGGCTCTTAAGTAGAGAGGTGGTTGGGAATAAAGGAGTGACAGCTGTCAGCAGGAGAAGAAGCAGCCTGGGTCCGAAAACAGTTGGCTTAGGATTCAGAAGTGGCCATGAAGGTTCACATTTTGTAAAACAGCCTTCAGCGTCCCCTAAGTGACAGAGGGCAAGGGCTGAATCCAGCAGTGTGGCCCCACCTGTAAGAAGTGGGGTAGGAAAATCTACTGTCTCAAATGAGCTAGGGGTTCTGAACTCTCTGAGGAACCCCATTGTTCTCTGTTCTACATGCAAAAATTAAGGGAAAGATTTGCGTGGAGAAAATGATTTAACATTCGCCGAAGGTAAAGTGAGGGCTGTGCTGCCTAACTATGATTTTACCTCCTTCTTTTCCAGTAAGGAAAGTGGTCTTCCAATTGAAAAGGGTAGAACAAACATTGCAAAGAGGGGATTGAAGTCAAGGACAGGCATTGAGGCAGTAAAGCCGGTAGCAGCAGCTGTGATAAACTCAGGGCTCTGACCCTGATGAATTATGTCGTGCAGCCTGGGAGGGACTTGACATGAGATTTCAGAGTCACTGTCATCAATCTTTGATAAATTATAGGGGAGGGATTTGCGCTCAATGACATGAGATGGGCATATGAGCTCTTGACATTCAAAAAGGGGAAAGGAATGAATTCTGGAAGTTACAGAGCAGTGTGCTGGGATGTTCTCACCAGTGGATGTTGGGAAGGTGCACACCTTCAGCAAAACTGGTTTTGAGTTCCAGCTCTGCTTCTGGACCAGGGCAGGGCCTGGGCAGATATTTAGAGGTTAAGTTTCTACATTCAGAACCAAGGTGGTCTGGAGGGGGTCCAACCAGGGGGACAACGGACACGTTTGGGGTCTTCTCTTCATTCCTTCTCTAGTAATTCCCGATTTACCACCATGGACTTCCGGCAGCCATGGTTTCCTGTTTTAGGTTGGTTTCCAGAAGCAGACCCTGAGGCAAAGGTTTGTGTGAAAGTGTTAGGAAGTGTGTTCCCAGGGAAAATCCAGAGGTCGTAGGGAACTGGAAGAAAGAAGGGAAAGAAGTGAGTATGAAGCAAAGTGTCCCCGAGGGTAACTTTGGAAGAGTCCCACAGGGGATGTCTGTTAATGGTGTAAGTCACACTTCAGAGTTGTTTCATCATGGAGAAGGCTGGAGAATGTTTAATCCTTATGTTGTCAATCATATTGATTGAGGGTTGTCTTAGGGGATGTGAATTCCCAGGGCTGAGGCTGCCCGAGAACAGTCCTCTGACACAGAGACTCAGGTGCCTGCTGACTCAGGTGGAAGCACACCAGGAGGGGATCAAATGCCCTGAGGGGACATCAGGAGGGCACCGACAGCCTTCACAGCACTGCCTGACCCCTTGCAAACTAGCTGAGACTGTCTCTGGAAAGCACCCCGTCCAAGGTTAGCCCACTGGCTTTCCTCTCCTAGGAGCTTGGAGAAGGGTCTGAGAACTGCAGGATGGAGCCTGGGCTCATTGGGCAGCCATGTCCCCCCACCATTTGGGCTCTAGGGACATTCGTCATGTCTGACTGCTTAGCACTTTTTGAGCATCATTCTAATCCTTGTTAGAGTTCCTGACATATGGGAACTGCTGCTCCAAGGCAGAATCCAGAGAACTGAGATTTTTAGTATTTTTTGCAGCTGGTGCCAGTCATGTGACCCAGGCTCCACCGGTGAGGAGAACCTACATTAGACTTTGATTTGGAAACACATAGCTCTGGGTGGTGTATTCATTTTACTCATGCAGCTGGCAACTCAGGCTTCTTATTTTTGGGATCCAGTATCAAATTTCCAGTGCAGAGGTGGCAGCCACACAATTGCAGTAGAGTTGAGTTCCCGGCATCCAGTGTCAGCCTACTTCCTTTTGGGGAGCGATATTAAGAGTAACAGGTCTAAGGAATGCTGTAGGCAGAGGCTCCTTGGTCAGAGAGATGTTTGACCAAGTAGCTTAGCCAGAAGACAGATGGCAGAAATGTGGTGGGCTAATCGTTGGTTCAACCATATCAGAAGAGAAAGGGGATTAGTGCATTGATATTGGCTGGAAGAAGGTCTCTAGTGGCATACCTTAGGGGTCTGTCTTAGCCCTGTTCCATTCAACATTGTTATCAATGACTTGGATGAAGACATGGGAGGTATGGTCCTCAACACTATGGATAACACAAAGTTGGCAAACATGTTGGGTTACAGAATCAGTTTTCAAGATGATCTTAATATCCTGGAAAACTAAGAAAAAGATAAAACCCAATAGAATACCTTTTAGTTGTGCATTGAGTTAAAAAGAAAAGCAACTGTATAAGGACAGACTTAATAAGAGTGGGCGGAAAGAAAACTTTGGAAGGAGAGGTAGTGTTCCTCTTTACATATTTATATCCCACATATTCCACAAAGGATTGTAGGGGGCTTATAAAAATACATGAAATAGGAAAGAGTTAAAACACAGTTGAGGGAATTGGGGCAAAGTTAAAAGTAGAAAAATACTAAAAGCACAGATAAGGCAAAGTCCCAGATATGCATATGGCCCAGTCCTGCAGTGGTTACAAAAGGTGCCCTGAGCTCCCCTGTGGCTGAAGCAAAGAGGGAAACTTGATCTAATTTGAGATGTGCATAACAAATCTCATAAAAGATAAAACATAAAAGATAAACAAACCATTTATCCAGAAGAAGCACTGCTTTTCTTTACAGTGAAACCTGAAAGAACGTTCTCTTCTGGGTCCCTATGAAAAGGACACCTTGTGAAGCAGAGGATAAAGCCCTCAAAAGGTAGGATATCAAAACAAATTCAGTGAAAGCAATTCTACTTGGAGCCAGAAAAATTTTATCCAAACACCAGTTCTGGTTTGAGGTTGAATGTTGTGTTTCTCTCTAACTCAATGTTTCTAGACTTTTCTTCAGCATTGTTCCCCTAAGGAAAAAAAATTCCCTTCCTTTCATTTTTTCCCTATCCTAAACACTATTTTAAATAATAACATAAAATAATATAAATTTATAGAGAGATAAGATATGTATTGATAAATAAATGTATAGTAAACATAAATTAAGAAATAATTACATACTATTTTGTTGGGCAGGATTAAACTTTGGAGGGTCATAAAACTTTGAAACATCTAAGATTTTTCACACCCCCACCCCAGCCAATTTCCACCCCCTTGGGAGCACTTGGGAGCATTCACACCCTGGAGAATGCATACTCTAATGAGATGGAGAATGGAATGTCTTTGGGCAGTTCTCCCCAATCATAGTTACTCTCTAGACAGCACTTCTCTCTCTGGTGAATTTCCCTCCAATTGTAATTGGTTTTTTGACCGATGTGACTCCATGGAGTACAATCAGGAGGTGGCTTTATTTTTCTCCAACTATTGTTTTCTAGCTCTCTGTTGCATTTCTCTTCCTTATTTCTGGACCATCCCTTGACGTTGTTTCAGGCACAGCCCACAGCTTTTTGGTCACCTTCAGTTATAATAACTAGTTTTATTTTGGCTGCCTCACCTCACTTTCAAGCATTGAAAGGTCGTGGCCGGGCTAAATCAAAACTTCAATCTCATACCCAGCACTATGCTTCTCCCCTCCCCATCCCTCAGCTCAAGCCTGAGCTAGGTCTGCCTTGGAGAGGTGGCCTAGTCTGCTTTTTACCACCTTCCCCCACACCTTGCCTCTAGTTCCTGGGCTTCCCTTTTAGGAGGAAGTCTTATCAGACCTAGAGTAGGGACACATTCCGTAGTGGTCACGTGGCCCAGATGAGAGGGATGCCCACCTCATGCCCTCTCTGTACTTGCCACTGCAAGCCAGCCCAGCCAGCTTCCTACATTCCTTTACAATTCTCTGGACAAAAAGCAGGTGCCAGCCTCCCTGTTCCAGAACCTGGGGGCAAGGGCAAGCCCCAAGCTCCTGTCTGGGGAGCACCATGTCAGCCTACTGGTTTCTGTGGCTCAGCCAGCACCCAGCTGGGTATTGGACTCACTCTCTCCCTCTCGAAGGCCTCCTGACCTCCCTGCTGTTCTCTTGGATCTTTGTGCCTCACTTGAGGATGGGAGAAACATCTTCCTCCTGCCTTCATGGGGAAAGGGAGGGATGGAGAAACACCCTAGCCTTTCCTACTAGGCTGACAACTCCCTACTCTTAGAAATGCGCCTATTTCAATGGACTCGCAAATCTTCTAGTATTCTCTTGGGGTGGTGGAGGTGGGATGGGAGGATTGGATCACTCATCTTTGAGAAAATCCTGCAGGTATCCTCTGATCACTTTCTTTTTAGACTGCGGGGGCACTTTTACTTATTGCTATCCACTTTAGGGCTTTTAGCAGAAGTTCTGAGATTGCAGGGAAAATCCCATTTGATGTCCCATTAAGTGTTCAAACTTCCTCTTTGACTTGGCTGCCTTGCCGGGGATCTGCTTGCCAAGGGCTCTCTAACCTTGACTCAGCACAGCTCCCTCCAGTGGTCTTAGGACCCAGATGTGCAGCTGAGGTCACAGCCTTGCTCCAGGCCCTGCCTTTCCACAGTGTGCTGGGAAGCAGATCTTCTCACCTCCTCTGTACTGTGGAGGCTGACATCTTTTCCATTTTGCTGTGCATACCACGTTTGTTAAGGGAAAGAGGCTTTGAAGGAAGAATGGACATTTCTTCAATAAAGACATGTTATTTCTTTTGGCTTTGGGGGTCAGTTTTTTGTTTGTTTGCCTTTTTTTTTTTTTTTTTTTTTTTTTAAATATCAACACTCTCTAAAGTTCTAAAGGTAGGAATAAGAAGGTCTAGTGTTTTTTTTTTTTTTTTCTGTTTGCTTGTTTTGTTTTTTGTTTGTTCTTTTTGGGTTAAATTAGAACTGGTGAGCCAGCTCCAACCTGGCATTTCCAACTCGAAGTTCATGGTTCTGTCTCCTCTCAGCTCCGTGCGCCATCTTTGCCTGTTTCTTGGGTACTGAACCACGCTCAGCAGCAGGGCTGCCAGCCCTGATTTCCTGGGTCAGTCAGGCAACATATCTGAATTCTAAGAAAGCCACCTGGAGCATAATGACTTTCCTCTCAAGGTGAGACTGTGGCCAGCTAGTGAGAAAATGTGAATGAGGGCGAGGGGCAACTCTGGCCACCTTTTAGTCCCGTGGGCCATGTATATTAGTCACATAGGCTAGGTTTTGCTGCAATTGCAGGTAACTCCACAACAGAACTTATTTTTCATCTGGGCTACGTGTCCACTGCAATCCAGCCACAGCTCTGTTCCATGCTTTCTTCTCTTGGGGACCAAGCCTGTTGGATAAGGCACTATCTGGAACATGTTCTGGTCATTGTGACAGCAAGAGAAAAGCCAGAGAACCACGTGCTAGCTCTTAAAACTTATACTCCAAAGTGACACATGTGACTTCTGCTCACATTTCATGGGCCAAAGCAAGTCATTTGGCCAGAGCTGCATATATCAGAAAGGAGGTGTCTATTTCTCCTGCAGGGAGGGGCACTGAATATTTGGGACGGTCTTTTTCCAGGAAGATACCAGCTCTGCCTAAAATATAGCAGTTGCATGCGATTTAGAAATCTGACAAACAGGATTGTCAGAAAAGATCTGAAGGAAGCTGCCATGTGGGGAATTGTAATTTTTTCCCCTAAAGATTATTTCATGCTTGTTGGATCCATCATATTCTGAAATCCTTTTGCTGTCCAACAAATATTGATAAGTGGAGGCTATTCAGTCACATAGTTCTTAGGCATATCACGCCATAGCTCCCTGACATATGCCTACTGGCTGCCTTAATTTTCTCCCAATTTGTAGCTCCATGTTTCCCCATCTTCCTCCCCACACCCCATCTTTTTCTTTTTTTCTTTTTTTTTTTTTTTTTGCCCTTCTTCATTTCTTCTCTGGTCTCCAAAACCCAGATGACTGTGACTTTTCTGTGATCACTTAAGATTTTCAAGCTCCTCCCTCAAGAGGCTGGTAATTTCCACTTGGAGCATTTTCCTACTATTTTGTCCAGCTAAGCAGTAGGTTCTTAGGAAAACTGTGTGTCTTGGAGAATGAATTTCCATCAGAGGTAAGTGATTGGCATGCTTTTTTCTGTTTTTGATTAAAAATAATTTTAATATAATATTTTACTAGATTGTCTGACCAGAAAAGAAATTACTAAAAATCATAGCTATAGAGGCACTTTAACAAAATAAATATTTAATACCTGGGACCTATTTGGTACTTTTCTCTTTGCCCCTTCTTATTACAAGTACCTGAATTCTCATGCTTGATTGCCAGATGGGATCTTGAAGTGTCTGGCCAAGTCCTGTGGGGGTCAGAGCCCTCTGTTGCGGCTGAGCCTTGGACCAGCAGTGATCAGAAACCTTTCCTGGGGGGAGGCTTTTGTTTGCTTGCAGGAATGTTTCTGGGCCACCACCCCAGGTAGCCCATTCACCGTCCTGGCAGGGAGAGCTCATAAAAGAGGCAGCCTATTTCACTTTTTTCTTTCCTCCTTATCAACTGGGACAGTTTGTTTTTCCCTCTGACTCATAGATCCGGAATTTCAGGACTAGAAAGGGGCTCCCCTGCTGTTTTCTTCAAGTGACAAAAAGACAAAGATAGAGTTTAGCTACCTATAGTGCATTTTACTTCAGCATGAAGAATACTTATAATTGTCTTTTCCAATCAGACATTTTCCTAGCCAGTTTGTTTACCTTATTTTGATTTTGAGGAGGCCCATTTCCTACCTTGTTTTCGTTTGTCTTATTTTTTACTGGTCTTAGCTGGGTCTTTTGTGAGCTGCTAATTTGCTCTCTGGTCTCTTAGCAACCAGGAACTTTTCCAGCTTGCTGCTGAATCAGACCTTGGAGTTGCAAAGTTTATAACAGAACCTGCTGAAGGACAGTATCTCTCCTAGAGCCAGCAATTTTAAACCAATGTTTGAACAAGAAAATTAACCAGGGTTTCAGGACATGTACATTCACAAAGGCAACAACTACAAAACAAATGTCTGGCTCTCCAGAATGGTTCCATTCTCTTCCGCTCCCAGCCCCAGATGGCCAAGTGCTCTCTGGCTTACTTTGTCTTCCCTCCTGCAGCACAAGGCATTTCCCATTCCCTGTTCTTGGGCTGATGTGAAGCAAATGGAGCCTGCTCAGATAGGAAACAACTGTGCCCTGCCTGGAGGAGAACCAGAAAGGGGTTCTGGGTCTGCTGCTTGTTAGCAGGGGGTCAGGGCCAGCTGGTCACATGGTCTTTGACAGTTTCATTCCACACGTATTTATTTCACGCCCACTAGGTGCTAGGCCTCAGCACAGGGAAATGCATAGAATACAGCTGTGTCCCTTTAGAGCCTGTAGTCTAGTGAAGACAAACATAAATAATCTGGTTGCTATCCGTGTGACAAGCCTGCACTCACGATATAAACAAAGGACCGTGGCAGGAGAGAGGAGAACTTTGCCTGGGCAGAGGAGTGAAAGCCTATGTGAACTGACCACACTGGAGGCAGGTGAGGGGATGTGCAGTGTGAGGAGGCAGAGGCTACCTCTCTCCACCTTCAGCACATGTGCTGCAAGTCACACACTCCTGGCATTGGTCACCTGGGGGAAGGGAGCCCAAGAATATTAGCCAACATGAGAGTTTACTAGTTCTTCAGGTTGTCTATGACGATGTAAAAAACTGCTCCAAAGCTTTGTGGCATGAAACAACCACTATTTTATTGTGATCCCAAATTCTGTGGGTCAGAAGTTAGAAAAAAGCACAGAGGTGGATCTTTCAGGGGAGGACTGGAATGGGGGTGCTTTCAACCACTGGGGGCTGGAGGATCCACTTCCAATAGTTTTTTCACTCATATGTCTGGCAGCTGGGCTGGGCTGGCTTACGGGTGGGCTCAGCTGAGAGAGCATGGAGTTCTCAGGATTGTTAGACTTTTTTTTTTTTTTTTGAGACAGAGCAAGGCTGGAGTGCAGTGTTTTAATCTTGGTTCACTGCAACCTCCGCCTCCGGGATTCAAGAGATCCTTCCACCTCAGCTCCGGAGTAAGTAGGATTACAGGTGTGCACCACCATATCCTGCTAATTTTTTTGTATCTTTAGTAGAGACAGGGTTTCACCATGCTGGCCAGGCTGGTCTTGAACTCCGGACCTCCGAGGTGATCCACCCACCTCGGCCTCCCAAAGTGCTGGGATTACAGGCGTGAGCCACAGCACCCAACCCATTGGACTTCTTACATGAAGGCTCTGAGAGAAAATAAATGTCCTTTGAGAGCTAGGCTGAAGCTGTATGGCCTTCTATGCACCCTGCCTTGGAAGTTACATAGCATTCATTCCAAATGTACTATTGGTGGGAGGTGCCAAGGACCCATTCAAATAAAAAGTAGGGGACAAGGTCTGCTGTGGTGGCTCACAGCTGTAATCTAAGCACTTTGGTAGGCTGAGGTGGGCGGATCACCTGAGGTTGCCAGTTTGAGACCAGCCTGACCAACATGGAGAAACCTCATCTCTACTAAAAATACAAAGTTAACTGGGTGTGATGGCACATGCCTGTAATCCCAGCTACTTGGGAGGCTGAGGCAGGAGAATCGCTTGAACCTGGGAAGTGGAGGTTGCGGTGAGCTGAGGTTGTGCCATTGCACTCCAGCCTGGGCAACAAGAGCGAGACTCCGTCTCAAAAAAAAAAAAAAAAAAAAAGAAAAAGAAAGTAGGGGACATAGATCTACCTCTTGATGGAAGGAGGATAAAAATATTTGCAGTCATGCTTAAAACACCACACAGGAAAAAAAGAGTAGTCTCAGGCCAGGACTTGTACATTTTAGACTGACTCTGCCTCTCACTGGCTGTGTGACCCCAGGATTAGGTGCTTCTCCTCTCTGGGCTCTGGTCTCTTCATCTATAAAAGGAGGGCTTCACCAGGTTAATCTACATTCCCTTCTAATGAGGCGCAGCAGCATAGCACATGCTCCGTAATGACCTATTGATGAGGAGAGAGCTGAATTTTAACTGTAGGAAGGATCTCCAATGGAATCATGTGGATCATTAAGTAAAATAGGAGTTTTTGAATTTTCACACTGAAAGAAACTTGAGGAAATATAGTCTGGCTCCCTTGTTTTATAAATGGGGAAATTGAGATCTAGAGAAGCTACAGGTCTTGCCCAAGTTCTGGAAGTAAGTTAATGAGGGCTATTAAAGAATAGAAGCTGGAGGCCAGGGCGCGGTGGCTCAGGTCTGTAATCCCACCACTTTGGGAGGCCGAGGTGGGTGGATCATGAGGTCAGGAGTTCAAGACCAGCCTGGCCAAGATGGTGAAACTCCGTCTCTACTTAAGAAAAAAAAAAACCCACAAAATTTAGCTGGTTGTGGTGGTGGGCACCTGTAATCCCAGCTACTTGGGAGGCTGAGGCAGGGAATTGCTTGAACCCTGGAGGTGGAGGTTGCAGTGAGCCGAGATTGCACCACTGCACTCCAGCCTGGGCAACAGAGCGAGACTCCATCTCAAGAAGAATAGAACCTGGGTCTCTGAACCACACATCCTGTGTGCCTGACCCTCCTGATATTCCATTTGGAATTTCATTCAAACATCCACTTCCAGGAAGGCATCTCTTACATAAATTGAAGGATATCTGTAAAAAGCCATCTGGAAATTTTCCCTGTGTCCAACCTAAGAAGTTAATTGGGCTTGAGGGTGTGTTGGCCAGATCTGGCTGTTTCGCTGGACCTTGCTCAGGACTGGAGCAGGATGACAATGGAGCTGTGAGACTGATAGGGAAGAGGTGTTTGCTTCTGCTTTGGGTCCTATTTTTTTCATGCCGACCATGTTCAGAAATGGCTCTTGTGCATACATAATATGGTGACTGAGTTAAATAATAAATGATAAGAGAGGCCATGGGAGGTGGGAAAGCAAAGGCAAGGGAGAAGGAATCTGATTTCAGCTGAAATTGGAAAGGACAGTGAGCTGCTGAGAGAAGGAGACGAGATAGAAAGGCAGAAGAGCCCAGAAGTAACGAGAACAAGAAAAGAGTTGGTGAAAGGAGCTGCGTGACTTATTTAAGGTCCCAGGAAGGCTGAGAGCTAGAGGGGCTGAAGGGAAGGGCAAACTGAGTGTGGAAATATAGGCATGTCATTGGGTACTGGAACAAGTGGGAGGTCCTGAAGTCCCATTTAGTGCTAGGGAATAAAGCAACAAAATAGACAGTAGGCCATGAAGCTTTGGTTCCTCATGATAAATGGGCTTTTCCAGAGCTGGATCAATCACAGACAGGGCTGTAAACAGAAACAACTGGCTAGGGCTGATTTTGTGATATTGTTTGGACATGGGCTGGGAACAAAATTTATCTGTGCAAAGCTATCCATCAGGGTACTGGGAAGGATGGAGGAAAGGAAACATTGAGGAAGCCAGGTGGGTTTTTCTGGGTGGAGCCTTACTCCCCTATCCATCCACCCTATTTCCAGCTCACGCAAATTCCATTAACTCCCTCTCTAACCCATTGCCTCCTGTTCTTACCACAATTCATGCTAGACCTATGCCCATCTCGTTTCTTCTGAGCCATTCCATCCTAGTCCCAATCCATACACAAGCTTTCATCACATTTTTCAGCATAGCCTGTCCCCCTCTCAACTCCTCATTCTTATCTTCATTTCATTGACAATTCCCTTTATTTGGTGCTTATGAGTGAAACAGTCTAAACCTTTGCAGGATTAGACCCTCAAGATGCTAGGCCCTTTGGTGCTAGGAATTCCACATCCCTAAAGCTAGGCTTTCAATCCTTTTTATTTTCATAAATACACAAAAGTGATGTTTTTACAGCCCACTAGGCTCAGCCCAATCCAGGCCCCACCTAGCTACTGCAAGGGCTGAAGTATCCAGATATACCTGGAATCAATTCTCAGCACACTGTTTGGGAGATTGTGTAGTTTGCACACCCCCAATCACAACATATTTCCCCTATAGAGTTGTATTTTGCCTATTTGCCCTTTGGCGGACTCAACAAGTGACATCAGTTTCAGTGACACGAAGGCTTCATCCCTCCTCTGGTATCTAAGGCAGCAGAAAAATGGACTAGCATGGCGGGGATGCAGTTCACAGCAGGGCTTTCTCATTTGCTTTAGTTAGGAAAAAGCAGTCATGGTGTTCAAACGCATTTAGGGGAGAACACTATTAGTAACAGAGCTAGCAACAGTACTCAGGTCAGAAAGGGAGACAAAAGGGAGTATCAAGTAGTCCCTGCTTTTGTGAGCTTTTATTTTGCAGCAGGAATGAGACCAGCCTGGGAGGACGTCACAGAAGACTGGAAAGATGAGAACTGTAAGAGAAGCTCACAGCCCCTGGGTTGAAAAGAAGCAGAGGGCCTGGCCAGCAGGGAGAGAACCGTACAGAGGTTTACCAAAGTCTTCATTTCAGATGGGCCTGAGGGAGGGATAGGATTTCCCCAGGAGCAGAGTGGGGAGGAAGAGCACATTCTAAATCCAGCAAAGATCATGAGGAAAGGTCTAGAGGGGAAAAACAACAGATGGGATGGAGAAAACCACATAGTCCAGGAACCCTGGGGAGTGTGTAGACTGTAGAGGGATAGTTGGAGATAATTTCAGAGAAGGAAATTGGAGGAGGGCATGTAGGGCTTTGATTCCAGAGTGAGGAGTGTTATGTGCTTAGGAGGCAACAGGGAGCCGCTTGTCTGAACTCTCATCTGGACTGGTGGAAGTCCAGGGTGCTGGCGGTGAGAGAACAAAGTAGACTCGGACTGCCCTGGAAAATGCAGAACCCTGGGCACGTAGGACCAAAAGGGGAATCAAGACTGAGACTGTCACTGAAGCATAAATTCAAAGAGATGCAGATGAGAGGAGGGGCCTGGTGGAAGATGAAAGTCTGGAAAACTGTGATGCCAGACAAGAAGTGGACTCTGTGCGGAGGTAAGAGAAAGTGCCTGGTGAGTATCCTTGAGCCGCTGGGGCATAGTCAGTCTTTTTTGGAGGGTGTGATAGGTTTCAGCCAGAAATGAGAAGGGATGATTAAGGGCTCAAGCTAGCTCAGACTCTGCTGGTATCTGAGGCAAGGACTTAGGTGACTACAGCCATGGACATTTGGGAGCTCTAGCTGGAAGATAAACACGGTGTTGGAAAGGCAGTTCACTATGAGCTCTGAACTTCCCTGCACTTTTTTGCTGAATGTCTCAGATTGCAGGGTTTGTCTCTTTCTCGATACTGAGCAGTTCTGTATCTGGTCATAAAGGTGACTAAGTAGGGCAAGGTAACCATCCCTACCTGGGAGGACAGGAGGAGAACCTATTTGTTGTTTGCTGCTTACTGCTTTTTTGGGCCCTTGGCTTGGGGTTCTTCTCCTGTAATGCAACCCACTGGGTGTGTAGGTACCACATGGGCCCACAGTGTTGTCCCTGTGTGACTTGAGAAGAAGGGGAACTGATGCAAACATGGTGCTTGCTGTACCATGAGTAATACAATATTTTGCCTCTGACCAAGAAGTTTTATGCCTTTCACCAGGGTTCATGCTCAGTTGTTAGCCTGTAGATAGGGTAAAATCTAAGACCCTTCACAGTTTCTCACAGTAGGATAGATTTGAAGGGAAGAGCCTGGAACTATGGATAACAGTCAGGAGGCTATAGAAGTCAGGATGCTTTTGGCTGCAAGTAAGAAAGTATATAACTAAGAGTGGCTTAAATAAGAATGACAGTGATCTTGCATCAGATATGAAGATTGGGAAGTTCCAGAATTGATTAATTTGAAAGTTTAACATCAGGTTTTGGATTAGCTTTCCTGTGATCCTCTCCACTTTCTCCTCATGGTCCCAGGATAGCAGCCATAGCTCCAAGCATCACAGCCTCACATGAGAACAGGTCCTATTACTCACATAAAGTATACATATTGGAGAAAGAGCTTTTTTTAAAATATGGCTCCCTTTTTCTATCAGGGAGAAAACATTTTTTTTCCAGAAGCCCTCCTGGAAGATTTTCTTTCATGTTTCATTGGCCAGAACTGGGTTATGTGCACACTGAAAATCAATCATTAGCAAGTGGGAATGAGATTTCCATGAGTAGTTTGGATAGGTGATTCTTGAACCTGAATGTGCATCAAAATGACCTGAAGGGATTGTTAAAGCACAGCTCTCTGGGTCTTACCCCCAGGGTTCTGATTCAGTAGACTTGGGGTGGAGGTCCAAGAATTTTCATTTCTAACAAGTTCCCAGGTATGTTGATGCTGCTGGTACAAGGACATACTTTTAGAACCACATATCTAAAACGAAGTTAGAATAACTTTGGGAGATTATATCTCTTTGTGTGTGTGCGTGTGTGTGTGTGTGTGTGTGTGTGTGCATGTGTGTGATGCCTGAGCCCTACACCCGACCTATTGAATCAGAGTTTCAAATGGCTTTGGACATCCAAATCCAGTAGCGATTGCCACAGGGAATGTCACAAGGATTCAAGCCATAAATGAAAGAGCCTGAATAAGAGAGGGGCTGGGGAGTGACAGGGAAGAGCTGTTCTGACAGTCTTTGAGGATAAAAGCAACAAGACCTGCTGATTGATTGGATGTGGGAAAAGAGGGGAGAGAGGGAGAGGAGTTGATGATGGACCTGGAGGGGTGGAGGGTTTCTAGGGAGCCATGAGGGGAATGAAGGAAACCTTAGGAAAACCTGCAGGAACAGGCTCTGGGGGAATGTAATAATTCCAATGAGGATGTGATGAGCTGGAGATGTCTGTGGGACACCTAGTGGGAGAGATGCAGGAGGCAGTTGGAAGTGCTTGAGGCTGGAGGTGGTCAGAACCATAGCAGGGGCCTCTCTCAGGGGGCTCCGCACCTCAACCCCCACAGCCATTCCATTCATCTACGTGGCCTCAGGCCTCAGCATCCCTGACCTGGACTATTTCAGTAGAAACCCGCTTGGTTTCCCGGCTTCCAGAGTTACTGGAGAATGGAAAATAATTCATTTTCGATGCAACCCTCAGAATGATCTTCCTAAGACAAAACTCTGATCATTTGACTTCATTTCTTAAAGCTATTCCGCAAATTCCTAATACTATGAAGAGCTTCTCAACCCAGCCACACATTAGAATCGCTGGAGAGAGTATTTAACAAATTCTGGAGCCTGGGCCACCTCATCACCATCTCCTATGATCTTCCGATTTAATTGCTTTGACATGGGTCCTGGGCATTGGTATTTTAAAAAGTTCTCCTGGTGATTCCAATGCGCGGCCAGAGTTGAGACTACTGACCCAACAGGACAAAGTCCAAACCCCTCTGCACGGTGTGTAGTTCTTTTACTGCAAAGTTTCTGCTTATGTTGCTCGTCTTATCTCCCTCCACTTTCTTATGTCAAACCCACACTGTTCCCTGAATGCACCACGCAGTTTCATGCTTCTGGGGTTTCACGCCAGCTGCTTCCTCTGCTGGGAAAGCTCTCTCCTGCCTGTTGGCTTCGTGGATATCTTTATTCTGGGCTTACTCAGCTTAAGCGTCATGTCTATCTGGAGGTCTTCCTTGGCCTTCCAAGGTGGAGTTGGATGCTTTCTCCTGGGTTCCCCATGTGGCTCCATTCCAGCGTCCATCACTCTGAACAGCACAGGTGTGTATTCCTCTTTCTGATGGACTCTGGAGCCCCATAGCTTCTCAGTCTTGCTCACCCACTTACTGTGTGGCTGTAGGCAAGGTGCTTCAGTCCACCGAGCCTCCGCTTTAGTGGTAAGAGGAAATAATGATGTCTACTGCATGAGTTTATTATGAGGACTAGATGAAATAACTTGTGTTCCATGTAGAGAGAGAGTATGTGGAACACAGGCACAGGGTGAACCCTCAATAAATGGGAATTGTGGGTATCACGTGACTCCCTGCCTCTAGACCAGGGTGGTCCAAGGGAAATGTGACAAGAGCCACAAATGTGAGTCCGATGTGGAATGCCACATTACACATTAAAAAAACTAAAAAGAAGTGAAATGAATTTCAATAGTATATTTTATTTAATTCAACATACCCCAAATATTATTGTTTTACAATCAATATAAAAATATTGATGAGATATTTTTACTTTTTTCATATGTCTTTGAAATCCACTGTTATTTTAGAGTGACAACTTATCTCATTTCAGACCAGCCACATTGCAAGTACTTGGTAGCCAGATGTAACCAGTAGCTACTGTATTGGATGGCACAATGCTAGAATCAAGACACTTTGTGACTGTCTTGAGGATAGGTGCAATGTCTGATTTTTCTCTGCATCACTCAATTCATGGTACAAAGTAGTGTTTAATAAGTGTTTATGAGACATTATTGAACTATGCCTGGTGCTACAGGGTTATGTCATTGGGCAGGTTGCTAAGGGGAATACTGTATATACAAACATCAGCTACAATAATAGGGAAGGGAAACCAGGCAGTGACCAAGAGTGAGGTACTGCCTTGTGTTGACAGAGCCAGGTTGGAGGAGGAGCACAGGACATCTCTGCAGCAAGTCTGAGATTCAAAGTCCAGAATTGGAAAGGCCCAGATCTTGGTCCTGATGCTAGTGGCCACCAAAAATTGGTCTCCCTTCAAATTAGTCTCATGCTAAATTAGAGGCAACCAACCTTACTCATTGACAGAATGAGTGACCTTCTTTTGATAGGATATTGGGACCACTATGGGAAAATCACTTGACCAAGCTGAACTCAGTGAATGATTATAAAATCAGATTCGTATGTGAGATCTGATTCCACCATCAGCAAGCTATGTGACTTTGGACAACTGACTTAACCTCTCTGAGCTTCCACATCTGGAAAATTCATAGAACAGGAATAGCATCTATCTCACAGGGTTGCCTTGAGGAGGTCATGTGCTTCTGACTGGCTCCCAACAATCCCCACCTCCTAGTATTTATCCCCTCTGTATCCCATCCCGTTGAGTGTGCATGGGACCTAGTGACTTGATTCTAACAAATGGAATAGAGCGAAGTAAGGGGTTGTTACTTCCATGGTTAAGTCTGTAGTCTGTGACTTCTTTCTTGCTAGCGTTCTCCTTCTCTCTCTCTCTCTTTCTGTCACTGGTACTGTTCCTTGCCCTCTCACTTGCTCAGTCTAATGAGGCAAGCTGCCATGGTATGAGATGGTCTATGGAGAAGGGCACATAGTAAGGAAGTGTGGAGGTCTCCAGCCAAAAGCTCATGGGGGCTCCCTGAGGAGGAGAACTCTCAGTCCAACAATTCAAGAGGGAAGAAATCTTTACAATAATCATGGACATGAGCTTGGAAGTGAGTCTTTCCCAGTCCAGCCTCAAGATGAGACTGCAGCATTGTGAGAGCCAGAGGACCCAGCTAGGCTGTGCCTGGACCCACAGAAACTGCAAGACAGTCGATGCATGTTGTTTTAAGACGCTGAATCGTGGAAGATAATTTGTTACACAGCAATGGTTAACTAACACATGCGTGTAAGAGTTTGACACAACATCTACAATGTAGAAGGTGCTTGGTAAATTTAAATATGACTTTTAGTAGTGACACCAAAAAATTCTGCTACTGGTTATAAGGTCTTGTACTGTACCAGAGAAATTTGATAAGCTAGGCAGCCTATGCATGGCCTTCACAAGCAGCTAGGATTAAATTAGACTAACTAGAGTAGCATCACAGTTTTTTGAGCTGTAAGCTCATTCCTCTGCAGTGGAGTCAGCCTCCTTAATCCAGGCTTGGTTTTCATCCCATCCCATCATGTCCCCCTCCCAACCAGTTCCCAATTTGTTCACACTGTGAAGACACAAACTGGACCCTTTTCTGAGACAAAGAGCCAACTTAGAGGATGAGAGCAGCAACAGGCCTGAGAATAAGTCCTGTTTTTTTCCCCTTTTTATTTTTCAGAACATGGTTGTCCTCTGAGATTATGTTAGTAAGAAGAATCCATGCATAATGAAGTTAAACATCTGGGATTGTGAAACCTAATCAATTGTGAAATCTAATCAATCACAATGTGCCTCGTCTGGGAAACAAATGTATTAACCAAAGTGGGGTGGTCTGTGCATGGTCTAGAGGAAGGGGATGCCACGGAGCAGTAATTTGTCAGTGTTTTTCCGGCATTGTCCAAAGCAAGGGGTCCCGACTGGCTGACAGAAACATCCGCTCTGCTTGACAGATGGGTCTAGGAGGAGCAGGGAGCACCAGACAATCATAACTCACTGACACAAGCCATTAACATCATCCTGTGGCTCTCTGGCACCGAGTCCTTGCTTTCCACGCAAGCTTCAGATGAGGCTGATCCTTTTCCCATGTACATTGACCTCCCACCAATGGACGTGAGACTCTGGTTTTCTTGGAAGTAATAGTTCTCTCTGAAACTAATAAACTGATTGATATTCTGGCTTATTCATCAGTCACTTGAGAGTTTGTTCAACCTGGGTCAGTCTCTGGACTGTAGGGTACTGACCGTATAGAGTTGCTGCCTCTCAAGGTGGAAAGCCTGTGCCCGGGACCTAGTGGCCTCCCTTCCATCCACCTCACTTTTTCTCCTCCTCTGTCCCTCCCTGCCTACCACCCTTCTTTTCTTGTCTTTCTCTTTCTTCCTTCTACCCCTGCCCCTGCCCACCTTCACCCTGACACACACACACTTTCAATATCTCTTGTATGAGTCATGAGCATTTCAGTTAAGCTAAAGAATTCTGTAGCCGATTGAGTTTGTGTCCTGGTTCTGTCACTTAGTAGCTGTGGGCTCTTGGGCAAGTGATTTCAAGTTCTCTGTGACTTACTTGTAAAATGGGACTAATAGCATTTGCCTCTTAAGGCTGATGTCAGGATTAAATGAACTGCAACAGTGCATGGCACTACTACATGCTCATTCATTGTTAGCTAAACAACAAATACTGCCTGTCATGTACCGGGACTATGCTGGGGGCTGGTGATGAATGGTGAGGAGTTGCAGAGCTGCTTTCAGGGTGCTTACTTGGAGGAGGCAGAGGCTGAGACATCTACAGGCCATTTCAAAGTGTACCCCAACCAGGTGCTGGCTCCCTGTGAGGGCTGGTGTCTTTTGGGGACATTTGGGTCCCATTATTTTCTATTTTCTCACTGTGATGTGCGTCAGTGCTTAGGGACAATGAGGTGCAGCATGAGGGTCCAGGGGTCTTAAGGTGCATAAGTGGTCCCAAGAGAGGGGAAAAACCTTCAAAGAAAGGAGGAAAGGGCATGGGGGACGAGGTTAGCCTCTCTTCCAGTGCTTCCAGGTGTGCCTCTCCTTGTGTGGCGAGGGTGGTCTTCGTATGCTGTACTAGTTAGTGAGTAATTCTGCCCAGCAATGAGGTCTTCTCTCCCAGTTTCTGGCTGCAGCAGCTGTCCTCCTGAGTGGACAGGTGGGCATGGCAGCAAGGATGTGAATGCCACATGATGTGGATGAATCTGTATCAGCCTTGAGACTGGCAGTGGTGAGATTGTTGAGGCTGGCAGAGAAACCCTGATGTCATTACCAAGAATGAATGGAGAACTACAATTGCTTCCTTAGAATTATGAGAAGAGAGCTATAATTCTCTCCACTCTGGTCTCCTGGGGACTTTGATTTCCACTCCCCTGGGCCTCCCACTGAAGAGTTTGCTGTCTGAGTCTGCTCTCCTGAGAGCTTTGTCACATTCTACAGTTCTCTGTTTTGTCAAATGCATGAATTCTGTGTCTTTGCTAATAAATGATATATTTTTAAACAATTTAAAACATTAAATTAATTTATCTGGGGAGAAGGTGACATATTGACATACATGAAATTCCAGAGGTACTAAAGGGTGTGCAAAATGCTTCTCTCCCATCCCTCTCCCTAACTACTGAGTTCTCCTCATCAGCAACTAGTGTTACTAGTTTCTCATCAGATAGTAAGATTTTTTAGATAAAAGGGACCAGGATTTATAACATTAATATCAATTCAACAGTTATTTAGTCAGCATCAATCTTGTGCCAGGGACTAGAGATATAGGAGCCAATAGGGAACAGTCTCAGTCCTCTGAGAGCCACAGTGTGCAGTAGGGAAGCAGCCAGGGTGGCCAACAGTTATAATCTATTGCTATTGAAGGAGAAACAGAAATATGTATAAGCTGCAGAGGTAGCACCAAGGGGCAGAGAAAAGAAAATAATCTCGCAATGGAGACAGAAAAGATTACATAGCACGTCTTTGGGCTTTCCACAAGCTGCCAGGATAGAGGTGTTATAAAATTCACTTTTTCCTTGCTGACTTATTTTTTGATTCTTTCTTTGGTCGTGTAGAATTGAAGTCTACTTTGAACCAACTGCCACCTTTGTTAAAAAGCAGCTTTATTGAGATATAATTCATATAACATACAATTTACCATTTACAGTGTATAATTCAATGTGTTTTAGTATAGAGTTGTACATTCATCCACCATCAATTTTACAACATTTTTATTACCCCAAAAGGAAACCCCATACCTCTTAATTATTACCCATTAGCCTCCCAATCTTCCCAGCCCTAAGCAATCACCAATCTGTGATACTTTCTGTCTCTAGAGATCTGCATATGCTGGACATTTTATATAAATGAAATCTTACAATATGTGGCCTTTTGTTTCTGGCTTCTTTCACTTGGCATAAAATGCTTTCAAGGTATTATCATGTTGCAATATGCAACATACTTCATTCCTTTTTATGGCTGAATAATATTCCATTGTATTGGATATACAACATTTTGTCTATCCATTCATCAGTTGATGAATGGATGCTTTCTATGCTTTGGGTGGCTTCTATACTTTTAGGTTAATTTTCCAGAAGCTACACTCTTGACTTTTTCAGAGCTACAGCTTGCCTTATTCTATGGAGAAGAGTGAGCACTGTGTGGGGAGCAAGTGCTCCACAGAGTTGGCTTCACATTCACTATGTTGCCCAACCTCAGCCTCCTGGGCTCTGAGCAAGCACACTTCTGATCTGCCCATGGGAAGGGCCTCTTTGGCCCCAACTTTGGCTTCTGTCCTTGTTTCTGAAGCCCACCCTCCTGCCTCTCATCTCTGTGTTCCTTTCCATTTCTGGAATGATTCTGCTTTGGGAGGTTGTTCTTTATGCTCAAATGTTGACAATTATATTCTTTCCCAAGACTTGACTCTTTTTTTGACCATTAACAGCCCTGCCCATGCACAATTAACTCATGACAACTGGTATCCCTAGCCTTCATGCTTGAAATCTAATGTTGGCCACCATCTTGGCCCAACCCTTGAACTTGGCCAAGACATTTCCATCCATCCAGCCCTTAGCTAGGACTCAGGAGCTTGAATGTTAGGAAAAGCATTTGTTCTTTATCTAATAGGCCTTTAAGGTAGTCATTGAAAGCCTTTGTTGGGAGAATCCAAGTGAGGAGAAAGTGTTGTCTTGCAAAACTCCCTTTGACAGTGGCATTTACAAGTGATTGGGGAGAGGAGATGCAGTGATGAGAAGGTAATCAGAAAGCTGCCACAGTGACCTATCAATCTCTGGACTGGGATGGGGGCAGGTGGAAGGGCCTGGTAGAAAAAAATATGAAAGATTGTATTAATAGTATTTGGGACATGATCAGTTTAGTTTGGGATGAGAAGAAGAAGCACAAGAGGAAATTGTTTCTAGCAGAATTGTTATTAGGACTAGCAAGTAAGGATACATTGAACCCACTTTCACTGGTTTGTTTGCGTTTTTTTTAGAAGACGCATTTTTTTTAGAAGACGCACAGGAAGGGGAACATCACACACCGGGGCCTGTTGTGGGGTTGGGGGAGAGGGGAACGATAGCATTAGGAGACATACCTAATGTAAATGACGAGTTAATGGGTGCAGCACACCAACATGGCACAAGTATACATACGTAACAAACCTGCACGTTGTGCACATGTACCCTAGAACTTAAAGTATAATAAAAAAAAAAAAAAAAAAAAAAAAGGAAGACGCATTTGGCTGCAGGCTTAGTTTCCAGGGGCAGCAAGGCTTCTGGGGGTGTGTGTCTGAGAGGCATTTAGAGAGATGGTAAGGGGGTTGAGAAATGATCCTGCATGAAGATGTAGATTTGAAGGTGTTAGCTAGAACAGGGAGAAATAACAGGGAGGATAGGCAAGAGCAGGGAGTGAAAAAGGACCCTTAGAGCAGGCACAGTGTGGAGTGGGGAGGGAAGGGAAGTCAGAGAGGGAGCTGCAGGGGAGTGGGACAGGTGAGCACTCAAGAAGCAAGAATAGGAGAGTCTTGTATAGGAAGGAGTGGGCAGCAACGAGTGGCCACAGGCATTTTCCTTTGCAAGGTAAAGAATTTGAATCCTTTTGCTGGGTCCTTGTCATTTCTGAGTCCAGTCCTGGCCCTGTGATCATTAAGTGCCCTCTCTGTCCTCCAGTTTTCTCCCTCTGGGTGCTGATTTTGACTTTTGGAGCAAGATGCTTCTTCAATAGATTTTGACCTAAGTTATCTCTAATTTTTATCTGCCTGTCACAATGAGTGAACTCCTCCATTCTCCCAACTTGATCATTTCTCAATTTTCAGAAGACTTGAAAAAACAAAATGAAACAAAACAGAAAGCTAAAAAACCTAAAGACAAAATATCATGTGTGGCTTGTTAGCCAAGCAGTGCTGTTAATATTTGGTTGCCTTGTGAATTTTTTTTTTTTTGGCTTCTTGTTAAATGTTTTCTCTGAGCTTCCTGAGATATGCTAGTGAACATTCTCCAGGATTCCTGTGGATGTTTTACTTCTTTCTATTCTTAGCTTATTCTTGTATTTTCCTAGTTCCTATGTCAAAGCCTGAGGTATCTTATTATGAATTTCTTTTCTCTTCTCTCAGATTATTGGAATTAATTCTGTGTTATAATGTTAGTAACAGCTAACATTTGTACAATGCTTTACAATTTACAAAGCATGTCGTTTTCTTATTTTATCTTCACAGCAATTCTGTGAAGACTCTTAGATACCATTGTCCTTATTTTATGAACAAAGCCTCTGAAGGTCAGTGAGCTTGGGAGACACAGCTCAGCGGGCAATAGAAGGAGCCATGGTGACTTAAGATCTTTGGCTCCTTTCTTTTTTGTAATAATGCTGTTTTTCCTCTAAAAAAGAAAACATGATTATTTGAGAAAATGTGGAGAGTATAGGAAAGAATACAGACAGAAATATGCATTACTGTTCATCCCACTGTCCAGTAACTGTGATTATCAGTGCTTTGTTGTATTTCTTTCCAGTCACATTTCTATGAATTAGCAAAGATTTTTATGTAATTAGAAATCATGTACATTTTAATGTTGGACCCTGGTTTTTTCTTTTTGAGACAGGGTCTTGCTCTGTCGCCCAGGCTAAAGTGCAGTGGCACAATCTCAGCTCACTGCAACCTCTGCCTCCTGGTTTCAAGTGATTCTTTTGCCTCAGCGTCCTGAGTAGCTGGGATTGCAGGTGCCCACCACCACACCTGGCTAATTTTTATAGTTTTAGTAGAGACGGGGTTTCACCATGTTGGCCAGGCTGGTCTTGAACTTCTGACCTCAGGTGATCTGCCTGCCTTGGCCTCCCAAAGTGTTAGGATTACAGGTGTGAGCCACCATGCCTGGCTGGAACCCTGGTTTTTAAATGTAACGTTATATGGTGATGCCATCCAACTATTTCAAAATCCATTCTAGCATATAGGTATATTATAACTTATGTAACCATTCCCCTCTTTCTTTTCTTTTTTTATTCATAGATAATTATACATATTTATGGGGTACATGTGATATTTTGATACATGCATGTGATGTGTACTGATCAAATGAAGGTATTTAGGATATCCATCACCTCAAACATTTATTAATTCTTTGTGTTCAAAACATTTCAAGTCTTCCCTTTTAGCTATTTTGAAATATACAATAAATTGTTTACTATAGTCACCTTACTGTGTCCACTAGGACTTATTCCTTCTATCTAAATGTAGGTTTATTCCTACCTAAATGTAGGACTTATTCCTTCTGTCTAAATGTAGGTTTATACCCATTAACCAACCTCTTTTCATTCCCCCCACCCATTTCCAGCTGCTGGCATCTATCATTCTACTCTTCCATAAGGTCAACAATTCCCTTCTTGCTGCATATACAAGTTGTTTCAATTACTGGCTTGTACAATAAGAATCTTGATTAATGACTTTATATAATTAACACCCATCTTAATCTCTGAGTTTTATGATAAGAATAAGGATGGAATGCCTGGGTTTAAGAGCACATTGTTCAACTTTATTCTACAGATGGACTACATTTTATTCCAGTGAGAACTTGAGTCTATCTTACCATACCCTTGCCACCACTGAATATTATATTTTAACTAATTGTTAATATTATGGATGAAAAACAAATGTTCATTGCTTTGTTTTACATTTCTTTGATTGCTTGTGAAATAGAACTTTTTCCTGGAAGCATTCCCCTCAAGAACTAGAATAAGACAAGGATGCCCACTCTCACCACTCCTATTCAACATAGTACTGGAAGTCCTAGCCAGAGCAATCTGGCAAGAGAAAAGATAAAAGGCATCCAAATAGGAAAAGAGGAAGACGAATTATTTCTCTTCACTGATGATATGTTTCTATACCTAGAAAACCCTAAAGACTCTGCCAAAAGGCTCCTGGAACTGATAAATGACTTCAGTAAAGTTTCAGGATACAAAATCAATGTACAAAAATCACCAGCATTTCTATACACCAATAATGTTCAAGCTGAGCGTTAAATCAAGAACCTAATCTCATTTACAATCGCCACACACACACACACAAATACCTAGGAATACATCTAACCAAGGAAGTGAAACATCTCTACAAGAAAAACTACAAAACACTTCTGAAAGAAATCATAGATGACACAAACAAATGGAAAAACATTCCATACTCATGAATTGGAAGAATCAATTCTTTAAAAAGTCCATACTGCCAAAACAATCTTCAGATTCAATGCTATTCTGATCAAACTACCAATGTCATTTTTCACGGAATTAGAAAAAACTTCTAAAATCCTTATGGAACCAAAAAAAAAAAGAGCCCAAATATCCAAAGCAATCCTAAGCAAAAAGAACAAAGCCAGAGGCATCACATTACCTGACTTCAAACTATACTACAAGGCTACAGTGACCAAAACAGCATGGTACTGGTACAAAAACAGACACATAGACCAATGGAACAGAATAGAAAACCCAGAAATAAAGCTGCATAGCTACAACCAACTGATCTTTGACAAAGTTGACAAAAATAAGCAATGGAGAAAGTCCGTATTCAATAAATGGTGCTGGAGTAACTGACTATCCATATGCAGAAGAATGAAACTGAGCTCAGAGGACTAGCTCCAAGATGGCTGCTGACTAGACACAGCCAGGAGGAACATCTCTCACCGAGAGACTGGGATATCAGGAAGACTGGTGCACTCCTAGCATGTCTTCAGAGGGAAGGCATTCAGGGTGAATATAAGGAAGACACAGAGGCTGGGCTGAAGCAGGAGGAAGCTGGGAACCCTGCAAGGGGCTTCTGCACACTGGGACTCGTTCCTGCCCCTCAATGATGCCTGCATGAAGGGGTGAGTTCAACAGGCAAGGAGCAACCTGCTCTAACCTTGGGCCTCTGGAATTCCACCAGGAGGTGACCACTCGACTACCATGGACACTTGAATTGGCAGGAATTGCTGCTTAGAGAAGAGATGGGGAAGAACTCCAGGTAGTGTGGAGCCCAGAGGGTTTGGTGTAGGGGCATCTGTAGTGAAGCATGGCCAGGGATGCCCATCCTCTTAGGCTCAACTTGCTGCCATAAGAGACTATAGCCCTAGGGGAACTGTTAGACTGGAACTGCAGGGTGGTCTTGCCCATGAGACAGGACTAGTCTGATCTGAGCACCCCTTAGTCTGATGGCCTCTCCTGAGGCCCCAGCCTGGCCACAACTGCTTGCAGTGCAGCCCTCAGGTACTGCCTTGGCCTGCATCATAGCTTCAGGGCTGGCAGGCTGTACCTGACCGGCAGAGTGCTCCAGCAGAGCCACCCGTGGACACACACTAACTCCACCCCTGCTCTTCCCCTACTGTAGCCTCCCCTGTGCCACTTTGCCTGTATATACTCACCCAGGGTCTCCCCACATCACTTTGCCAGCACATGTGGACCTTGTGCAGGTGGACTTTGCCTTTCCTTCTCCACAAGGATATGTGTGTGCAGGCACCCTGACATGCCACTGCTGCTGACTTGAGTGCACTGCCCCCCCAACTGCCATTGTTGTCAGAGTATTAGTAGGCATGAAGCCTGCTAGCCTTGCCTGCCAATGCCTGACCCCAGCTGAAACAGTGGACCCGTCCCCACCCTGGGTAGCCACTGCTGCCCTCATGTACGTGCACAAGGGTACACACAGTCCTGCCCCCACTAGCACCCTGTCTCCATGCTAACACCACCATTGGTGTTAATGCATGCACAGTTGCCCAGTGTCCAGTGGGGCCCACCCCAAGCTGTGCTGCCACTGCTGCTGCTGTGAACACTTGCACAGAGGCCAGCACCCCAGTACCCACTAACACCCTGCTGCAGCTGAGCATGCACCCTGCTGCACTGCCACTGCACTGCTACTGGCATGTGCAAATGAGGACAGAGCTCACTACCACTGCCCTGTGAAGTGCTTTGGCTGGCACCATCCACCAGAGCACTGTGACCAGTGGTCCAGCAGCATCTTGGCCCCCCCAGTGCATCAGGTTCCTAACCTCGAGGAGTCAGGGAACAAAGCTGGGGCTCAATACCAGTCTCCCAGAGTTAGAGAATGTGGCCCAGGAGTCCTGAGCTGAGACTTGGCTCCCTAAAATCTTTTAGAAATGAAGCCAGTTGACTGAATCCACCTTATGCCACAATCAAACCCCTAAGGTCATCAAATAGGATAAAAGAAAAAAAAAATCCAAAGGTCAGCAACTTCAAAGACTGAAGGAACATCAGCCCACACAGATGAGAAAGAACTAGCACAAGAACTCTGACAACTCAAAAACGCAGAGTGTCTTCTTTCCTCCAAACAACCACATTAGTTCTCCAGCAAGTGTTCTTAACTGGGCTGAGATGGCTGAAATGACAGAACTAGAATTCAGAATATGGGTAGAAATGAAGATCATCAACAGTCAGGAGAATGTTGAAACACAACCTAAGGAAGCTAAGAATTACAATAAAATGATACAGGAACTGACAGAAAAAATAGCCAGTATAGAAAATAACATAACTGACTTGACAGGGCTGGTAATTGTAAATGTATTACAAGAATTTCATAATGCTATTCCAAGTATTAACAGTAGAATAGACCAGGCTAAGAAAAAAATCTCAGAGCTTGAAGACTGGCTTTCTGAAATGAGACAGTCAGACAAGAATAAAGAAGAGAGAATGAAAAGGAATGAATAAAACCTCTGAGAAATATGATACTATGTAGAGAGACTGAATCTGTGACTCATTAGCATCCCTGAAAAGGATGGGGAGAATGGAAGCAACTTGGAAAACATATTTCAGGATATCATCCGTGAGAACTTCCCCAACATAGCTAGAGAGGCCAACATTAAACTTTAGGAAATGCAGAGAGCCCCTGCAAAAACTTCACAAAAAGATAATTCCCCAAGACACAACCGTCAGATTCTCCAGGGTTGAAATGAAAGAAAAAAATGTTAAAGGCAACTATGGAGAAAGGACAGGTCACTTACAAAGGGAAGCCCATCAGACTAACGTGGACCTCTAAGCAGAAACCCTACAAGCCAGAAGAGATTGGGGGCCTATATTCAACATTCTTAAATAAAAGAAATTCCAACCAAGGATTTTAGATCTGGCCAAACTAAGCTTCACAAGCGAAAGAGAAGTAAAATCCTTTTTAGACAAGCAAAGTTGAGGCAATTCATTGCCACCAGACCTGCCTTACAAGGAGTCCCGAAAGAAGCACTAAATATGGAAAGGAAAGACTATTACCAGCCGCTACAAAAACACAAGTACACAGACCAGTGACATCATAAAGCTACCACACAAACAAGTTGACATAATTACCACCTAACAACATGATGACGGGATCAAATCCACACATATCAATACTAACCTTGAAGGCAAATGGGCTAAATGTTCCAATTAAAAGACACAGAGTGGCAAGCTGGATAAAGAAGCAAGACCCAATAATATCTTGTCTTCAAGAGATCCATTTCATATGCAATGACACCCATAGGCTCAAAATAAAGGGATAGAGAAAAATCTACCAAGAAAATGTAAAACTGAAAAAAGCAGGAGTTGTGATCCTAATTTCAGACAAAACAGACATTAAAACAACAAAAATAAAGAAAAAGACAAAGAAGGGCATTATATAATGGTGAAGGGTTCAATTCAACAAGAAGACCTAACTATTCTAAATATATATGCAGCACCTAACACAAGAGCACACAGATTCATAAAGCAAGTACGAAGAAACTTAGACTCACATACAATAATAGTGGGAAATTTCAATACCCTACTGACAGTATAAGACAGATCATTGAGGCAGAAAATTAACACAGATATTTAGGACCTGAATTCAACAGTGGACCAAATGGACCTGACACACATCTACAGAACTCTCTACCCTCAAATAACATAATATACATTCTTCGCATAACCACATATCATGTACTCTAAAATTGACCACACAGTTGGACATAGAACAATCCTCAGCAAATGCAAAAGAACCAAAATCATACCAACCACTCTCTCAGATCACAGAGCAATAAAAATAGAATTTGACTAAGAAAATCACTCAAAACCATACAATTACATGGAAATTAAGCAACCTGATCCTGAGTGACTTTTGGTTAAATAATGAAATTAAGGCAGAAATAAAAAGTTCTTTGAAGCTAACAAGAACAAAGATACAACACACCAGAATCTCTTTGACACAGCTAAGGTAGAGTTAAGAGAGAAATTTATAGCGTTAAATGCCCACATCAAAAAGTTAGAAAGTTCTCAAATTAACAACCTAACATCACAATGAAAAGAACTAGAGAAGCAAGAGCAAAGCAACCCCAAAATTAGCAGAAGACAAGAAATAACCAAAATCATATTGCACTGAAAGTGATTGAGACACAAAAATCCATCCAAAAGATCAATTAATCCAGGAGTTAGTTTTTTTTGAAAAAAATAATAAAATAGATAGACTGCTAGCTAGACTGATAAAGAAAAGAGAGAAGATCCAAATAAACACAATTAGAAATGACAAAGGGGATATTATCACTGACCCCACAGAAATAGAAAGAACCATCAGAGACTACTATGAACACCTCTATGCAAACAAACTGGAAAATCTAGAAGAGATGGATACATTCCTGGACACATACACCCTCCCAAGACTGAACCAGGAATAAATTGAATCCCTGAACAGACCAATAACAAGCTCTCAAATGGAATCAGTTATAAATAGCATACCAATAAAAAAAGTCCAGGACCAGAGGGATTCACAGCCAAATTCTACCAGAATTGGTACCATTCTTACTGAAACTCTTCCAAAACAATTGAAGAGGAGGGACTCCTCCCCAATTCATTCTATAAGGTCAGCATCATCCTGATACCAAAACCTGGCAGAGACACAACAATAACAAAATAGAAAAGTTGAGGCTAATATCCCTGATGAACATTGATGCAAAAATCCTTAACAAAATACTATCAAACCAAATCCAGCAGCACATCAAAAAGCTAATCCACCATGATCAAGTAGGCTTCATCCCTGGGATGCAAGGTTGGTGCAACATACACAAATCAATAAACATGATTCATCAAATAGACAGAACTAAAGACAAAAACCGCATGATCACCTCAGTAGATGCAGAAAAGGCTTTCAATAAAACTCAAAATCCCTTCATGTTAAAAACTCTCAACAAACTAGGTATTGAAGGAATGTACCTCAAAATAATAAGAACAATCTATGACAAACCCACGGCCAACATTTACTGAATGGGCAAAAGCTGGAAGCATTTCCCATGAGAAGCAGAAAAAGAAAAGTATGCCCTCTTTCACTACTCCTATTCAACGTACTATTGGAAGTCCTGGCCAGAGCAATCAGGAAAGATAAAGCAATAAAAAGCACCCAGATAGGAAGAGAGGAAGTAAAACTATCTCTGTTTGCAGATGACATGATGCTGTATCTACAAAATCCCATAGTCTCAGTCCAAAGCTCCTTAAGCTGATAAACAACTCCAGCAAAGTTTTAGGATGCAAAATCAATGTATTCATATAAAAATAATTAGTATTCCTATACACCAACAACAACCAGGCCCTGAGCCAAATCAAGAATGCTATCCTATTCACAATTTCCACAAAAAGAATAAAAGACCTAAAGAATGGATACAGCTAACTAGGAAAGTAAAAGATCTTTACAATGAGAATTACAAAACACTGCTCAAAGAAATCAGAGATGACACAAACAAGTGGAAAAACATTCCATGCTTGCGGGTGGAAAGAATCAATATTGTAAAAATGGCCATACTGCCTGAAGAAATTTTTATAGATTCAATGCTATTTCTATCAAACTACCAATTACACTCTTCACAGAACTAGAAAAAACTGTTTAAAAATTCATATGGAACCAAAATGAGCCTGAATAGCCAAAGCAATCCTGAGCAAAAAGAATAAAACTGGAGGCATCACATTACCTGACTTCAAACTATACTACTGGATTACAGTAACCAGAACAGTATGGTACTGGTAAAAAACAGACACATAGACCAATAGAACAGAGTAGAGAGCCCAGAAGTAAGGCTGCACACCTTTGACAAAGCTGACAAAAACAAGCAAGAGGGAAAACCTACTCAATAAATGGTGCTGGGATAACTGGCTAGCCATATGTGGAAGATTGAGACTGGACCCCTTCCTTACACCATATACAAAAATCAACTCAAGATGGATCAAAGACTTAAATGTAAAATCCCGAACTATAAAACCCCTAGAAGACAACCTAGGAAATACCATGCTGGACATAGGCACAGGCAATGATTTCATGATGAAGATACCAAAAGCAATTGCAACAAAAGCAGAAATTGACAAATGGGATCTAATTAAATAGCTTCTGCACAGCAAAATAAACTAACAGAGTAAACAGAAAACTTACAGAATAGAAGACAATATTTGCAAACTATGCATCTGACAAAGACCTAAAAATATCCAGCATTTGTAAGGAACTTAAACAAATTTACAAGAACAAAACAAACAACCCCATTAAAAAGTGGGCAAAGGACATGAACAGATACTTTCCAAAAGAAGACATACGTGTGCCCAACAAGCATATAAAAAAAGCTCAACATCACTGATCATTACAGGATTGCAAATCAAAACCACAGTGAGATACCATTTCACACCAGTCACAATAGCTATTACTACAACGTCAAAAAATAACTGATGCTGGCAAGGTTGCAGAGAAAAGGGGACGCTTACACACTGTTGGTAGGAGTGTAAATTAGTTCAACCATTGTGGAAAGCAGTGTGGCAATTTCTCAAAGAGCTAAAAACAGAACTGCCATTCAACCCAGCAATCCCACTACTGGGTATATACGCAAAAGAATGTAAATTATTCTACCATAAAGACACCTGCATGTGTATGTTTGTCACAGCATTATTCACAGTAGCAAGGACATGGAATTAACCTAAACAGTAGATTGGATAAAGAAAATGTGGTACAATACTCCATGGAATACTACAAAGCCATAAAAAATAATGAGACTATGCCCTTTGCAGGAACATGGTTGGAACTGGAGGCCAGTATCCTTAGCAAACTAACTCAGGAACAGAAAACCAAATACCACGTGTTCTCACGTATAAGTGGGAGCTAAATGATGAGAGCACATGGACACAAAGAGGGCAACAACAGACATCAGGGCATACCTGAGAGTGGAAGAAGAGAAGAGGGAGAAGAGCAGAAAAAAAAACTGTTTTGTACGAGGCATAATACCTGCGTGACAAAATAATCCATACAACAAACTCCTGTGATATGAATTTACCTATGTAACAAACCTGCCCATGTACCCTTGAATCTAAAATAAGGGTTAAAAATACCTAAAAAATACTTTAAAAAAGTTAAAAATACTTAAAAAAACCTTAATTTGTGTGCACTTATCACTTAACTCAAGATGGATGAAAGACTTAAATCTGAGACCTCGACCTATAAAAACCCTAGAAAAAAATCTAGGAAATACCCTTTTGGACATTGGCCTTGGCAAAGAATTTATGACTAAGTCCTCAAAAACAATTGCAACAAAAACAAATATTGACAAGTAGGACTTAATTAAACTAAAGAGCTTCTGCACAACAAAAGAAACTATCAACAGAGTAAACAGACAACCTGCAGAAAGGGAAAAAATATTCGCAAGGTATGCACCTGACAAAGGTCTATAAGGAACTTAAACAAATCAACAAGTGAAAAACAACTTCATTATACAGTGGGTAAAGGACATGAACAGACACTTTTCAAAAGAAGACATACGAGTGGCCAAGAAACATATAAAAAATGGTCCACATCACTAATCGTCAGAGAAATATAAATAAGAACCACTATGAAATACCATCTCACATCAGTCAGAATGGCTATTACTAAAAAGTAAAAAAACAACAGATGTTGGCGAGGTTGCGGAGAATAGGCAATGCTTTTGCACTGTTGGTGGGAGTGTAAATTAGTTCAGGCACTGTGGAAAGCTGTTAGGAGATTTCTCAAATAACTAAAAATAGAGCTATCATTCAACTTAGCAATATCATTACTGGGGATATACCCAAAGGAAAATAAATATTCTACCAAAAGGACACTTGTACTCGTATGTTCATCACAGCACTATTCACAATAGGAAAGGCATGGAATCAACTTAGGTGCTCATCAGCAGTGGATTGGATAAATAATATGTGGTACATATGTACCATGGAATACTATACAGCCATAAAAAATAATGAGATTATGTCCTTTGCAGCAACATGGATGCAGCTGGATGCCATAATCCTAAGAGAATTAATACAGAATCAGAAAACCAAATACTGCGTGTTCTCACTTATAAGCGGGAGCTAAACATTGAGTATACATGGCATAAAGATGGGAACACTAGATGCTGGGGACTACAAGAGAGGGATGGAAGGAGAGGGGCAAGGGTTGAAAAACTACCTATTGGGTACTATACTCACTACCTGGATGATGAGTTCAATTGTACCCCAAACCTCAGCATCATGCAATATACCCTTGCAACAAACCTGCACATGTACCCTCTGAATCTGAAATAAAAGTTGAAATAAAAAAATAGAACTTCTTTTTGTTCCTCAAAGATGGACTGAGCTACACCAGTACAATAGTAGTGAGTTCCTAGACACAGGGATATCCTAGTCTTAGCATCATCTCAAGGACAGAAATAGACATTCTGGTGCCGTCATGGTTTCCTCTGTGTCCATGGACATGGCTTCAAATGTTTTACAAAACAAAGGAAATGTTGGTTTATAAGCATTCATCATGGGCATAGTCACCAACATTTCCTTTGGGTACCGTTGTCCTAGATTGGGAATGGTAAACACATTTCATCCCATGTGCCCGTTCGTATGTGTTTGTGGTGGCTGTCTAAAGGGCTAGTTGAGTAGTAGTATCTTGCTCTCTCTGGGCTCAGCAGAGAAGCACATTGTGAGCTTATTGGCTATTTGTGTAACTTTTTTGGAGAAAATATATACAGTATTCAAGGTTTTTTAAATTTTCTTGATGATGTTCTTTGAAGCACAACATTTTTAAATTTTGTTAATGTCCAATTTATATGTCTTTTTCTTTGATTGCTTTTGGTGTCATATCTAAGAAACCATTGCCTAATCCAAGGTCATGGATTTATACATGCATTCTCTTTTAAAGTTTAGTAGTCTTAGTGCTTACATTTAGATATTTGATCCATTTGAGCTATTTTTTTATATGGTGTGTGATAGGGTTCTGAATTCATATTTTGCATGTGGATATATTCTGTTATCTAGCACTATTTGGCAAAAAGCCTATTATTTCCCCCATTGAATTTTCTTAGCACCCTTGTTGAGAATCAGTTGACCATAAATATGAGAGTTTGTTTCTGGACCCTCCATTTTATTCCATTGATCTATATGTCAGATATGGACGACTTTTAAGTTTTCTCCCAAATTCTTGGATTCTTGAATTTTCTACATAGATTCCTAGTAGATCACATTATGTCTACAAGGTAGAATCTACCAACACCTTGATAAAGTTTGTGATAGGCAAATTGATGCTTACTTGATAAAACTTTGGAATGCTTCTGCCTGCAACTAACTGAGCTCTTGACTAAAATAGGCTTAAGAAATATGGAAGCTTAATTGTTCCTTGTCACAGAAAATCTAGAGACTGGTGGTTCCATACCCCATTCCCATTGGTTTGGAGTTGGTTTATTTAACAGCTCAGGGCTCCAGTCAGTATCTCTGCAATTCTTGTGACCCTTTCCTCATGTTGCAAGATCATTGCCACAGGTTCAAGCATCAAGGCCTCACATAATAGCACCCAAGGTAGGAACAGTGGGGGATTATTCTTACAGATTTCTCTCTTCTATTAAGAAGAAAACTCTTCCAGTGGGCTAGTGTCCCACCTCATGTGGCCAGGATTGAGTGACATAGTTACCCGTAACCACGGAAATGTTGGAAAAGTGCCCACTCTTAACTCTTAGAAATTAGACAAGGAGGGGAAGGGAGAGAATGGATGGAAAAGACAACTACTCTCTACTCCCTAGCTTGGTGGAGTTGAAGGGGTGGATGTCTATGTTGGGTGCCAGGGATAGGTGAGATTCTACAGGGTTAAGAGCTGGAGCCAGTGGCTTTGCCCTGAGCCAATAATCTGAGTCAACATTTGAGATGGAAAGGGCTAGAGATGTACGGGAAAGACGTTCTAAGCCACAAATCATGCAAGAAAACTTAGAAAGAACACCAAATCTTTCAGCCCAGAGGCAGGGGGTGAACTGATGGAACATAATCAAGAGATCCAAGCATGACAGCCAAGAGTAAAAACCAGTGAAGCTCAACTGGAGCAATTCCTTAGCACCCCAACTGCCACAGAGGCTGGTTTTCATGAGCTGGCAGGCCCAGGGCATATGTAGATGGCCTTGGGTTAAAGACCCAGGATTTAGGCACATCATTTGTGCTTGGTATTGTGTCAGACAACAAAACGATATCTGGGGCTGTCTCCTGCCTTCAAGGACTTTCAATCTTATCATTTATCCAGAGAACATGACTGACACCTGTGAAACAGAGAAAACATTCCTGTGTTAGACTGGTTCTCAGTGCAACATTGAGTTCATGCCCTGCCTCAATGTTCTAGGTCAGGGCAAGCTAAACTCCTGTAGAAGTGACTCTTAGCACCAGGGATAATGCCCATGATCATCATAATCATATTCACCATATTCATCATGGGCATAGTCACTGACATTTATTGAATACTTACTACATGGTAGACACAATTCTAATTTTTTTCCTGTGTTTATTAAAGCTTCCAACAACTCAATGGAGCACATACTTTTATTTTCATCCCTGTTTTATATATGAGAAAACAGTTACTGAGAGGTTAATTAGCTTTCTCAAGGTCTTGTACAGCAAGGAAATGGTGGGTCAGGCATTAAAACTCAAGCATTTGGATGCCAAAGCTAAGGGCATCACAGCACTGCTTCCCACCTATCAACACTTTGCTGCGGAGGAGATTCCTGTATCTGCCTGAAAAGGTGGGGTGTACTGATGTTGGAGAGGTGTGCTGATCCTGTGCTGGGTGGTCCTGCCCTCTCCGTGCCTCAGTTTTTACATGTATGAAATGAGATGGTCCCCTGACATTCTCTAGTCCCTGAGGCCCAGAGGTCCGTGGACAGTACTCTGGAAAGCAGGGCAGCCATGGCTGATGCTTGGTAGAAGTTTCAACTCTCTCTGGCCCTTAAATCTTAGCTTCACTGAATCCTCACAGACAGAGCTACAATGAAGATCCAATAAAAACTCTGAAACATCTCAAACACTGTTGACAGGAGCAAAGAGGATTCCCTGTGGGAGGATCAGGCGAGGGGGAAAGAGGTGAAGGATTTGGAAACAATGTGTCTCTCATGATTCCTCTTCCTCAGGAAGAGACAGGGAGTGTGAGCAGGTCAGTTCATTATAACTATTTACTGCATTGATTTCCGTTGCTTTGATGAGGAAGACTTCCAACAGGAGATGCAAATTGCCTTGGGACCTGCAAACCCTGCTAGCTCAGCC